>NC_000010.11:101203701-101506731 GCF_000001405.40 Homo sapiens | reverse complement strand
ATCCACCTTGCATACCTAGGGTTAGTCAACTGAGATTGAAATAGTCTGCTGAAAGATTTCCTTTCAGTCAATTTTGAATCTGAGCTTGGAATTTTAACATTTAACTATGGCAGAGTTGGCATCTTGGCTTGGTACAGCATGACTGTTACACTTTTTATAACCAACACTACCAAGGACAATAAACAAGGTATATAATAGAACTGCTGCTCATCAATGCCTGTCCTCCCCACCCCCAAGACTGATAACAGGGCTGAAAACAAATCTGTATAAAAATTGCCAAGTCTATCAGACTGAACACTCTAATATTGAAATATTACAAAAAAACATGAGCTAAATTTTGGGAGGACAGAGAAAGGCAGGAAAGGTCTTATAGGACTTAGAGTTGAAGCCTAACTTGAGCAACTGTATTTAACATTCACCATGTGCTACAATAGTGCCAATGAGCTGATGGCTTCATGCTTCAGTTCAAAGGGCCACCCATTTTGAAAGGTAAAAAAATTTGGAAAACTAGCCAGGCGCGAAAACTACAGGTGGCTCACGCCTGTAACCCCAGCACTTTGGGAGGCTGAGGCGGCGGATCACCTGAGGTTGGGAGTTCGAGATCAGCCTGACCAACATGGTGAAACCCCGTCTCTACTAAAAATAGAAAAATTAGCAGTGCATGGTGGCCGGCACCGGTAGTCCCAGCTAATGGGAGGCTGAGGCAGGAGAATTGCTTGAATCCTGGAGGCGGAGGTTGCAGTGAGCTGAGATTGTGCCACTGCACTCCAGCCTGGGCGACACAGCGAGACTCCGTCTCAAAAAAAAAAAAAAATTGGAAAACTGAACATCAAAATAGCAAACCAAATTCATCTTCAAAAAGGATCAAATCTGAGTCATTTTGTTTTCACTTTGATTAAATAAAGATCTATGGGGGGGGTCAAGCAAAGAATGTTTAATTCATTTTCTAAAAATAGCATTTACAGTAGACACATTTTAGTAAATATGAAAAATTCAGATACACAAAAAACATGGAAATTGCCCATAATTTCAACTATCAACAAAGACATAATGTTCACATTTTGGTGGGTATATTTGTTTTTTTATTATTATTTTTTTTTTTTTATTTTTTTGAGACGGAGTCTCGCTCTGTCGCCCAGGTTGGAGTGCAGTGGCACAATCTCTGCTCACTGCAAGCTCCACCTCCTAGGTTCACGCCATTCTCCTGCCTCAGCTTCCTGAGCAGCTGGGACTACAGGCGCCTGCCACCACGCCCGGCTAATTTTTTTGAATTTTTAGTAGAGACGGGGTTTCACCGTGTTAACCAGGATGGTCTTGATCTCCTGACCTCATGATCCGCCCGCCTCGGCCTCCCAGAGTGCTGGGATTACAGGCGTAAGCCACCGCGCCCGGCCATCTTTCTGTTTATTTAAAAATGTATTAGTCAACGGCCAGGCATGGTGGCTCATGCCTGTAATCCCAGCACTTTGGGAGGCTGAGGCAGGCGGATCACTTAAGGTCAAGAGTCTTAGACCAGCCTGGCCAACATGGTGAAACCTCGTGTCTACTAAAAAATATATATATATATATATATACATATACATATATATATACATATATATACACATATATATATATAAATATATACTCAGGTGCAGTGGTGCACGCCTGTAATCCCAGCTACTTGGGAGGCTGAGGCAGGAGGATTGCTTGAACACGGGAGGCAGAAGTTGCAGTGAGCTGAGATTGTACCACTGCACTCCAGCCTGGGTGACAGAGTAAGACTTCATCTCAAAAAGAAAACAAAATTTTTTTAAAATTTATTAGTCAAATATTTGAAGAATATGGGGGAGGGGGAGTGTATCTGTGCCATCTAGAGAATTCTTTGTTCATAATATCAAATTGATCAGAGCAAGCAAAATTAATCTTTGCTGTTAGAGAAGTCAAGATCTGATCCTGGAGGACAGAGAATTATAGGTTATTGTGATGAGGGGAGCTGAAAGGAGGGGAGGAAAGAGGAGAAAAGAAAGAGAGTCAAAGGGAGAGAAAGTGAGGAGAGAAAGAAAAGGGAAATGGAAGGGGGAAAATGGGAAAGCAGAAGGAGGAACGCAAGGAGAGGAAGGGCTAGGGCTAGAGAAGAGGGTAGAAGAGGAAGAGGAATGACAAAAGTGACCGAGGATTGGGGAAAGGACAGTGGATACTAGGCAGTGGGGTTGGTGAGAGATGGGATAAGGATGAAGGAAGAGGGATAAGCAGGTCTAGGGGAAAGATAGGGATGGGGAGAGATGATGAGCTGGGGAAGAGATGGAGGGAGATGGCTACAGGAGAGATGAAGTGAGAAATAGGTGGGAAGGGGGAGAATGAATATAACCAAATGCAAAAGGGACCCAGCATTACCAAGCTCACCTGCTCTAAGAGGAGCAATATGCTTGTTGGACAAACATCCTCTCCCACACAATAAACATCAAGAGGGAGAGGAGATAAAAAACTATTTTTTAAAACCACTACTTAATGTTTCAGGCGGAGTAATAAAGTTTAATTGTCTGGAATCTGGTTGTTCTTTCTGTGTAACTTCCTCAGGTGGAGGTTGTTCACCTAGATGTCAAATTATGTTAAGATTACCAGAATAAAATTTCTGTGATGCTGAAAGTTGAAACTGAGAGTCTTCTGCCCAACTTACCCCCAACACCCTTCTCCCTTCAGTTAGCATCAGAAAATTCAGTTCTAACATTAGCAGGGAATGCATCAGATGTCAGAGCAAAACACAGAGGCACATGTAAAACAGTTAAAAAGTGTATGGGAAAAATACAGTCGGGTTTAAATAAAGAAGGAAAAAACTACCCTGCTCTTCTTTGTGCTCTAATCCTTCAATTTCTGTGTTCTATAAAAAGGCCTCAACAACTTGGTAAAACTTGCTCCTGAAAAAAGCCTTTGAGAAGGCTTTATCTAAAACTGGGATTAGGAAAATACAAAGTTTTTTGGATAGGATCTCAAGAAGCCAACTCAACTTTCTAGAAGAAATTCAACTCTTTTCAAATGCTTGTTAATGCATGTTAAATGCAGCAAGAAATAATTCTATGAGGCAGCAGCACAAGCTTCTCTTAGCTGCAGTGAATGAAGTAAATGACTTGTAATTTCTGGAAGTCTTGGTTATCTTCAGGTAAAACTTTAATAACCCTGGGAACATCAAGGGACTGAAGACATTTCTCTCTGGAATACTTTGGTAATTGTTTTCTTAATTTATCCAGGAAAAGCTTAGTTTAGATGCAGCATCTGTTTTTTCAGCACAGGTGATCAAAATAACTTGCTCAGATTCACACAAGTTAGTAAAGTTCAGATTTCAAAATGCAGTTATTATATAAGCTGAACAGTTTTTCTAAAATGAAATTCTGGTCCTCTTCCTCTTTTCAATGACAATGAAGCTCCAAGTCAATGACTATGACTAAATGTAGAAGACCAGGACTGCTTTGCATAGATGGATAAATGCATTTCTATAACCAAAAGAGGTTTACATATGCACTGAGACTCAAAGTGCCACACTGAAGCAAGCTTAAATGTCTTTCTGAAGGAGTTTATGTAATAGAATATCATTAAAAAATCATAATTTGACACTGATTCTATCCCAGCTCTACTATTTACCTGGAGTGTGATCTTCAGTAAATTAATTAACTTCTCTGGGCTTCAAATTCCTCATCTATAAAATGGTGATAGTTACAATACTTAGCTAGAAGGGCTAATGTTAAGATTAAAATAATACATATAAAGGTATTCAGAAAGAGTACCTGGCACATAGTAAGGGCATAAGTTGTGATGAGTTTTAACTAAAAAGGATTGTAATCTACATAGTTACTTATTATAATTAGCTTAATGCTTCACTATATTTAAATATACTCTTCTTTGCTTTTACAATAATATTATGTCCAGAAACTTTCACTTTAAAATAGATTATCACATAAGTTTTCAGTATCTATATAACAGCAGCTCAAAAATATTTGATAAACTGAACTGTTAATCTAAATGAACGAGGAGGTGGGTATTGCTTTTTGTGAGTACAGTGGTAAAATGTCTTGTGGTGTAAACATATTTGGAGTCCCCTTCTCTCACCAAGAAGGATGCTACTATCACTATATTGATGCTTTGTCCATAGGCACTCAAATTTGGCAATCTAATCCATTTTCTAAGATTGGTATGCAAAAATTTAAGAACCAAAGTAAAACTGAACTCCCAAAAGGAATGAAGACTAACAGTAGGTTAATGTTTCATGAAACTTAATAATTGAAGACAGAAAAGAGCAAAAGGAAGCCCTCAAAGATCTTCTACAATATGGAATAAAAGACATTTGCCATTGATTTTTTTTTTTCATTTTCAATCTTTCAGAGCTATTGCTACAATGTTTTCCCATAACACCCAACTTCAGGGAAGGAAGAACAGTAAGGAAATTATCAGAATGGTAACAAGACTCTCAGTGCATTACTCTAATTTTTAAAATCCACTTGAACAATTTCTACCAAAGAGCTAACATCCTGTAGGGCACAGAGTATATTTTGCTTCCTTCTGATTTGTGGCATTGTTTTAGAATCAGCAAAGACAAGAGCCAGGGCAGAAACCAGACTAAAATTCTGGCTGTTGTCAGCATCCACTTTCCTTTCTCTCAGAAATAGGCAGAAAAACTCTACTACCCTGTAACTTTGGAGGTTATTTATATGTCCCCTACATGGGCACCATTTTTAATGGGGTTTCATAGACCAGAGATTGCAGATTTTTGGTCTTTCTGAGAAAAGACATAGAATTTTGAGGGTCACTAAAAATGGTTTGTTTGTTTGTTTAACCTAGAATGGGACAAACTTCCACCAGGGGTTTTGTGTAGGTGTTTTCTGGGAAGAGGGGTTGTAATAAGAAAATGAAAATCAGGAAGACAGTCACCTCCATAAAATTTATGCATCTGATTTAAAATTAGGACTTGTATCCTTTCTTTGAAGAACTTGGCTTTTCTTAGAGCATGAAATAGTTTCTATAAAGACATTTTCTGGTTTACTACCTAACCTTTTTATTTTACCTGGGAGTGGTTTAAGTTCATATGGAGCACTATAAATACGAGGCTCAAGAGTACTAATAACTCTTTCCCATGGAATTTTTCTATGTATCAAACACTGTAGTTTATTTCTATTTTCCATTTAAGGAATACATACTGAACTTTGATGCTCTGGAAACAAACCATTCATCAAAAAGTTTTCTTATAGTTGACATAAATGTTTTAATGTAGCCTGAAAGCAAAAGTGAGGCAACACGATGCTAAAGAGATTTAGGCCCAGTCTAAATCACTAATTAGCCATACAACCTGGGGGAAGTATCTGCTGGCATGGGAGTTCATGTGTAACATGAGTGAGTGGATGGGATTATCTGAAGCTCAGTCTGGCTCTTAAACTTTGAGTCTATAATCCAGTTCTACTGTAAGTTAAAATAAAATTGCGTACATAAATTTAAAAATAGAGATTCATTCTTCACATGTTCTTACTTAAAACCCATCATATTGGCGTTTAAGCATACACCTCTTTTTTTTTTTTTGAGACGCAGTCTCACTCTGTTGCCCAGGCTGGAGTGCAGTGTACTCCACTCACTGCAACCTCTGCCCCGCAGGTTCAGGCAATTCTGCCTCAGCCTCCTGAGTAGCTGGGACTACAGGCGTGTGCCACCATGCCTGGCTAATTTTTTGTATTTTTAGTGGAGGCGGGGTTTTGCCATGTTGGCCAGGCTGGTCTTGAACTCCTTGACCTCAGGTGATCCACCTGCCTTGGCCTCCCAAAGTGCTGGGATTACAGACTTGAGCCACTGTGCCTGGCCCTCGAATTTTAAAAAACATTTTTCACAATATTATTTGGGCAAGCAAGATATTCTATAACCCCAAGAATAGGTCAAACTTTTCTTAAACAATTGAATTTTTAATGCAAAGAAATGCTATCATTCTGAGTGACAGGTACACAGGTAATATTATTATTCTCTGACTTTTCTACATGCTGACTTTAAAATTAATAATTTAAAATCTTAAAAGCTTTAAGGTTTTAGCCTTCTTCATGGCTGACACTAGGATCTGAAGCCCTAGTAATGCCTTCTTGAAGTTTTCTGTTTCAATATGCCTCATTTCTTTCACATCAACTCTTCTGATAATTACCCCAACTATCCCTCCCCACAGTTTCCAGTATTTAATAAAGGCTTTCAGAAAACTGTCTATACATGAATCTATCTCTTTATTAATAATCCCTTTGCTTCATAAGAAGGCAAAAAGTTATATACACCAACTGGTCTCCATTAGGGCCAAATCAAAGTACAGTCATGCACCATGTGATGATATTTTAGTCAATAACTGCATATACAACTACGGTCCCTAAGATTATAGTATTGTATTCTTACTATACCTTTTCTATGTTTAGAAATGTTTAGATACACAAACACCATCATGTTATGATTGCGTACAGTATTCAGTATGCTGACATGGTGTACAGGTTTGTTGCCTAGGAGTAATAGGTATACCATATAGCCTAGGTGTATAGGAGGCTGTACCATTTAGATTTGCGGAAGTACACTCTATAATGTTTGCAATACAACAAAATTGCCTAATGACACATTTTCATACATATCCCCATCATTAAGCAGTGCACAACCACAGTAGGGCCACAAGAAAAGTCTGCAACTAGATATAAAAAACCCATTGGAATCCTCTCAAAACTTTATTAAGAGCTCATGATCAGATGGCCACTGTTCTTTGCCAGTTGTATTTTCAGCATTATAGTCCATAGCCTGCTGTATTGCAGAGAGCTTTTTCTTTCAGATTCGAAAGTCCATCAAGTGCCCTCAAGACCAAGGTGGCATACTAGCTATTGTAATAACTAAATGAATATGGACAAGCACTGAGGCTTGATTTCCATTTGAAAGAATTAAGTTTCAATGGAAGGTAGAAGCAGAATTTGTAACCTCATCTTTCTGTGGTGATAGCATTTTTTGATAGTGAGCAATCTCGTAGGCCTACATAGTAAGGATGGAAGAGTGGGCTGATATCAGAATAGACATGAACTAGGAGAGCAGCAGTGAGAATGGGGGTTAGGGGTGTGACAAAGACAGAATCAAGACATTTTGGAGGGTATATTCTTAAATATAATATGAAGGACCCAGGGCTTTATTTATGGAGGTGGTAAGATACATAATTATTTAAAAGGTAGTACTGCATAGTGGCCAAGCATGGTGGCTCATACCTGTAATCCTAGCACTTTGGGAGGCCGAGGTGGGCAGATCACTTTGAGGCCAGGAGTTTGACAGCAGCCTGGGCAACATGGTGAAACCCCACCTCTACTAAAAATACAAAAAAATTTAGCTGGGCATGGTGGTGCATGCCTATAATCCCGGCTACTCACGAGAATTGCTTGAGCCCAGAAGGCGGAGGTTGCAGTGAGCCCAGATCGCACCACTGCACTCCAGCCCGACAGAACGAGACTCCTGTCTCAAAAAAAAGGTAGTACTGCATAGTGTCAGACAAGCCCAGGTACAGGCCAAGTGTCTGCCATGTACAAGCTATATAGACCTGAACAAGTTAGTTGCCTTCTTTAAGCTTCACTTTTTCCCCCTGTAAACAAAACTAATACCACCTACTTCCTACAATTGTCATATGAAATAACAGATTATGTATATGAAATACTTGGAACAGGATCTAGCATGTACATGGTTACTAAAGGTGGCTATTATTATTATTTTTTTCTGTTTTTTTTTTGAGACAGAGTCTCGCTCTTGTTGCCCAGGCTGGAGTGCAATGGCATGATCTCAGCTCACTGCAACCTCCGCCTCCTGGGTTTAAGTGATTCTCCTGCCTCAGCCTCCTGAGTAGCTGGGATTACAGGCGCGCACCACTACACCCAGCTACTTTTTTTGTATTTTTAGTAGAGACGGGGTTTCACCATGTTGGTCAGGCTGGTCTCGAACTCCTGACCTTCGGTCATCTGCCTGCCTTGGCTTCCCAAAGTGCTGGGAATACAGGCGTGAACCACCACGGCTGGCCTGCTATTATTATTTTCTAGCACCAAGAAACCATCTCAACAATTCAGGCTGTATTAGGACGTGCCCACTAAACTTTAAAACTGTAGTTTTAATAGAAACTTAATGCCAAATTCCCCAGGAGGGGAATTATGACTAAAATACTTTAAAAATGTGCTAACCTGTGTGGCCACCATTAGCTTATGGGACTGAGGATAGAATTGTGAAGAAAAGAAAAAAGAGTTATGATGTGATTTAGATCGTAACAGCAGCTTCGGAGGCCGGGTGTGGTGGCTCACACCTGTAATCACAGCACTTTGGGAGGCCAAGGGGGGCAGATCACCTGAGTTCAGGAGTTCGAGACCAGCCTGGCCAAAATAGTGAAACCCCCATCTCTACTAAAAATACAAAAATTAGCTGTGCGTGGTGGCACATGTCTGTGGTCCCAGCTACTAGGGAGGCTGAGGCAGGGGAATTGCTTGAATCCAGGAAGCAGAGGTTGCAGTGAGCTGAGATCACGCCACCGCACTCCAGCCTGGGCGACAGGATGAGACTCCATCTCAAAAAAAGCAGCTTAAGAAAGCCAGGTTAAAAGGCTCTGGGCAAAATCAGAAGAAACTACAACTTAGGGAATTTTTGTGTGTATATGTCACACAAAATCACTCTCTCTGTATATGTCAATATATATCTCAACTTTAATTAATTAATTAATTAAGAGACGGAGTCTCGCTCTGTCACCAGGCTGGAGTGCAGTGGAACGATCACGGCTCACTGCAGGCTCTGCCTCCCAGGTTCAAGCAATTCTCCTGCCTCAGCCTCCTGAGTAGCTTGGACTACAGGCACGTGCCACCATGCCCAGTTAATTTTTGTGTTTTTCGTAGAGATGGGGTTTCACCATGTTGGCCAAGATGTTCTTGATCTCTTGACCTTGTGACATGCCCGCGTTGGCCTCCCAAAGTGCTGGGATTACAGGCATGAGTCATCACGCCCAGCCAACTTCGTTTATTTATTATGGGTTGATTGACTGATAGACAGGGTCTCACTCTATCACCCAGCCTGGAGTGCAGTGGCATGATCACGGTTCACTGCAGCCTCAACCTCCCAAGCTCAAGTGATCTTCTCACCTCAGCCTCCTGAATAGCTGGGACTACAGGTGCGCACCACCATGCCTGGATAAATTTTTTTTATATTTTTTATTTGTAGAGACAGGGGTCTCACTTTGTTGACCAGGCTGGTCTCAAACTCCTAGGCTCAATCCTTCCACCTGGGCATTCCAAAGTGCCAGGATTACAGGCATAAACTACCATGCCCAGCTTTAATATATTCATATTTAAACAAATATATGAAGACTGTTCCACGTTCAAGTGCTGTAGTACACAAGGCGTGGATCACACAGCTGGTAAATATTGGCGATTCTAAAATTTATATGGAAATGAAAATAACCAAGAATAACCAAGATAATCTTGAAGAGTAACAACAAAGCTAGGGCACTTACTATCAGAGTTCAAGATTTTGATAAAGACCTATAAGCATATGGTCAAAGAAAACAATCCGGTATAATGGGAACTACACATTTCAATAAATGGTGCTAGGTCAACTGGGTATCACACTGGAAAACAAAGAATTCTCACCTCTACCACGCATCATATACAAAAATCAAACGAATTAAACATGAAATGTAAAACCATAAAAACTAGATAAAACAATGTCTTTAAGACATTGGGACAGGCAGATTTCTTAAGTAGAATGTAAAAACACTAATTGTATAAGGCAAAGATCCATAAATTGGACTCTTAAATTAAGAACCTCTGTTCATCACAGACATCATTTAAAAAGTGAAAAGGCAAGTCACAGTTTAGGAGAAATATATGCAATACATACATCAGACAAATAACCTGTATCCAGAATTTATAAAGAACTCTTATAAATCTTTAAGAAAAATACATAAAACCCAATTAAAAAAAGGGCAAATGCGTTGAACAAGAACTTCACATCCAAATGGCCAATCAACATAAAAAAAATGCTCAATTTTAATAGTGTTCAGAGAAATGTGAATGAAAAACAATGTGACAACAATGTGAATACACTTAAAGCTAATAAACTGTATACTTAAAAATAGTAAGATGGTAAATTTTATATTATTATTATTTTTTAAATTGCAATTTTAAAAAAAGTCAGTAATTCCAGCACTTTGGGAGGCTGAGGCAAGAGGACTGCCTGAGGCCAGGAGCTCGAGGTTACAGTGAGCTATGATTGCGCTGATGCACTCCAGACTGGGTGACAGAGTGAAGCCATGCCTCTAAAATAAAAACTTAAAACAAAATCCAAAATGTCATACATAATACTACTACGTATCACCAGAATGCTACAATGAAAAAGGTAGACAACACCAAGTGTTGGTTGGTGAGAAAAAGGAATGATGGAACTTTTATTCACTGCTGTATAAAAATTGGTGCTAGTTTGGAAATTCCAATTCCTCTGCTGGTTAATATACCCATTCAAATACACTCATTGTATATATTCAGGAAAATATATGTAAAATAATTTTTTGTAGTTATGAAAATCTGAAAGAAACCCAATGTTCACTTATAGTAAAATGGATAAATTATGGCATATATGTATAATGAAATATTACATATCAATAACAAATTATAACTATACATACATAACAATATAAATGACTCTCAAAAACAGTGAAATAATTCAGACAGTAAAAAAAAAAAAATACTATATGATTCCATTTATATGAGGCTCAAAACCAGGCAGAACTAATGTATGGTGTTAGAAGTGAGGATAATGTTTACCCTTGAAAGGGTAGTGACTTAAAGAGGGTAGTAGTGGGCTCCGGTAATGGTCTTTTCATTTCTCTTTTCCTATTAAAATCTGGGTGGATGTGAACTTAATCTGGAATTTTTTAAAAATAAAAATAAAATCTGATGGTAATCACACAGGTATGTTCACTTCGTGAAAATTCACTATGATTGTATTCACAGAAAGGGCAATAAGGATGAACACAGTTCTGTTTGGCTATAGATAGACTGTCCTAGCCCTTATTTTCAGATATAAAGGAAACAGGGACTTCTAATAAAAAAGATTTAAATTTTTGCCACAGAAGAGCCTGAGACTATATCTTCACTTGCAAACCTATGGCCACATACAGACAATTGTTCCCATATGCCACCACTCTGAACAAGGTTAGAGCTCCCTCTAGCACTTTTAACTAAGGAAACACCACAGGCCCTTACAGAGCTGACACAGTTTGGTGCTGCCCACGGTTAAATGCAATACGGTGATTTTTATTTTTAATTTGCTTTAATTGTTGCTATGATATGAATAATTAATAGGCTGCCTATGCCAGTTTTGCAAAGTTCACAGCACAGGAAGCCAGGAGAGAAATATCTACTTAGAAAGGAGGCTTAAAAATGGTTATAACTGCTATAATATTAGATAATTCAGAATATTTATTCATGGTTTGTGGCAACATTATGTTCCACCAACAAAGCAACATGTTACCAAACACTTCCTACCAAAAAATCTTTCTGGTCTCATTTATTTTTCTCTTCATGGATGTATAACCACTGTACCTGTAGTATTGTCTAAGAGCAAAGTAGGTCAGTATTAGGAGAACCCTGCTCTTTGGTAGAGGAAAATAGAAAGTTTTGGCTGTAAACACTTAACCTAGTTCCATCCATTCCAAAACAAGTATTTATTAGCATTAAATAACCCCCTGGATGACAGAGACCTTTTTCAACGTAAAGCCTGTGTTCTCTTCCTATGCTTGTAAACTCCCTTTACCACTGACACTTTAAAACATTGAAAATTATGATGATGTCACTGCCTCCACACAACAATGTCTATTTCACATTTGAATATTATCAGAAAGTATAATTTAGATGTGATGCTGTAATCCTCTGCAATCCAGACAGAATTTGAGCAGGTATTAAAAGTTCAATAATTATACTACACACAACTATTCTGGGAATGCAGCCAGAAATACAAGGGGCTTCATTTTTCATGGTTGGATTTCAAATCTTTCTCATCCTGAAAGAAACATGGCTTTTCCATATTCTTGTTAAAATCAATACGTGTATAAAACCAGCTAATTAATAAGTTCCTTGAATCAGGGAGGGAAAATGAGAGAAAGAAAAAGAAGAAAATGCAGAGTCACCTTAAAAGTAAATTCATTTTAGGGAAGATAATTATGTCTTGCTCAATATTCCGCATTCTCAAAATTAAGAAAATATTTTTTGAGTTATGATATAGCAAACATTTCCTATCAACTTATTTAAAGCATATGGATCCCTCAAAAAGTATGTCTATAAAGTCAGCTTTAGCAATTTCCTAGAGAAATGGTTGCCATTTTGTTTTTTAGCATATGAAATGAAGATTAATATAAATCAGTATGACTTCCTCTCTTGTACTCTGGTTATGGACAAGCACTCTTCTGCCAAAGACAGTATACCTCTGACACCAGTCCTGGATCTTTCCTGCATGTGCAACAAAGCCAAGATGCCAATTTACCACCTTAGTTTGGTTTTGCATTATGTCTGCTGGTCACATTAACCTGGCCACATTCATTCTAAGAGCAGCTCAAACTAGGGGTGAAATGTTGTCTGAAAACAGTTATTCATTAACCTGCTGATAGCCTCAATCAAGAGCTGTGTTTTTCCTAAGACAGTATTTTCACTACAGCTCCTCTTTCAATTCACCAAGTGAGTATCTGGTGGGAGCTGTACATCATGAACTAGAACAAGACCGACAGGGCTAAATTAACATGACAGAAAAGCTATTTGATGCTGCCCCTTGGTTTCTCCACTTCACTCTCTTTTGTGGCATCCAAAGGCTTCAGAACCCTGGCATTAATTAAGCCACAGTTTTATTACACACAATCAAAGCTTGAAAAGAAAAGCCTAACAGACAGTAAGAGATTACAAGGTTCAATTAACAGTTTTACTTTTTTGTGGCTGCTAATTGAGGCGTTTTTAATTTTTATCATCTCATATGGAATGCTAGAAAGGAAAATACTATAAGTGCAAGAGAAGAAAAACAAACCTAAGATGTATTACTCTATCATAATTTTATATAACCAATTTGCATACTTCTGCGATTTCCAAATCCTGGCTAGTTGTTAGTAAATTGTTAACATTCAATAGACACCACAGAGAATGTTTTAGATAATCCCCCCATTTGCTACATCTACCCTAATTTCTATGTATTAAAATTCACAAACACAGTGGTTTGAAAGCACAAGGCCATGGGGCCAGATGGTCTGGGTTCAAATTCCAGTTCTGCAACATACAGTATGACCTTGGGCAAATTACTTAATCTGAATTCTACTTCATTTGTGTGTAAACACAATGAGACTATTGTGATGATTTCAGTGAAAATGTATATGCCTAGTACATCATAAACATTCAATAAATACCTGTAATGGTGCAAAAAGGCTGTCAAATTTGATGACAAAATCTTTGGATTTTAGTACTTTTTAAAAATTTTTCACTTTTTTTTGTTTGAAGTCATTCACATTCAAATACATTTTGAGAACCTACCCGTGCAAGTGAAAATAAATCCTATACAAACTCTATAATAAGACCATTTAGCTTTGGATACAATTAGTCTTTTATAAATAACCTTTACTACACATTTTCTATTGAAGGAAAGCAGGGAGTAACTAACAATTGAAACCTCCAACTTCAGAAGTTTCAAGGGCACTAAATAATACTAGTAATTTGCAATCAACAGCAACCTAAACTGCTGACTAAAAAATCAGTTTTATAAAATCTCACTTAGTACTTACCTTTATTGCATGTTATAATGTTATAATGTTGAGACAGTAGCTCCTCTAGTGTCCCAGGCTAGATGTATTCAAGTTTATATTAATTAGTACCTAAACCTTTGAAAAGCATACCATATCCACAAAACTATCACTGCAAATGGAATCTGCTATAATCTGGACACTCGTGGTATCTATACTCCATCTTTCGTAAGAAAAACAATTAAAAATAGCTGTATTTTATGAATTCAATACATTTCAGAAACTACCTTGTCTCCTTATTATCTAAAGAAAGGGTTAAAGAAAACGCCTTCAATCTATCAATTTTAAAGTCCAAAATGACACTATATTAATACTACAAAAATAAATATGGAGCAAGATTCATGGAAACAGATTTTTTAAAAAATCAGTAGAAAGTTCCGTAATTAAAATGTCAGATTTGTAAATACTATAATCACAAGAATAAGAGAAAAATATACAAACTGAAAATGAACGTCACACATAGATGTAAATAAAAGCACTCTTTAGGTTGCCCATTAATCCACAAGTGGCATATTCATCTTATTTACAGTATTATACCCCCTGCCATGATATTCCATTACAGAGTCACGCTACAGACTCCATAGTTAACACTGTAGGAACCATTTCTTTTTAAACATGGTTTTCTCTCTATATTTCCCTTTTGGCTTGCTCCCACATTGAAAACAAACAAACAAACCCAAAACTGTATAATTAAATTTCTTATGCTCTTAGATACTCCTAGAAAATGTGGATTAAATTAGAGAAGTGATGTTTGAGGTATAAAACATAAATTTATGTTCATTCTTCTAGAAATATTTTGCTGTTCCTGTTTGTCATGGTCTTAGTGCTCCATGTTGAGCAAGTGTTTCTTACATACTTTATGAGTCTGTGTGAAAAATTTATGCCACCCTTAACTGTCAAGCATTTCTAACCTTTCCATTAGAGAATATCCAGGGAGTTAAAAAAAAAACAACAACAACTACACATACACACAAAATAGTAATATTGGTGTTTGTCTGCTTTGTTTTCATTTGCTTTAAAAAAAACCTATTTCTTCTAATCACTCATCCCTGTCCCAAGCCTTTTCTCCGAGACAGAGGATTTCAAGGTCCAGCTACATTCTCATGACCTCATCATGTCTTCACAATCACCGAACCATCTAGAAGCATGAATCAAAATATAAAAATATTTACTGAAGTGTAATCAGACAGACCTGAAGCCTTAAGAGACTTTTTTTTTTTTTGAGATGGAGTCTTACTCTGTCACCCAGGCTGGAGTGCAGAGGCGCGATCTTGGCTCACTGCAACCTCCGCCTCCTGGGTTCAAGCAATTCTCCTGCCTCAGCCTCCTGAGCAGCTGGGCTTATAGGCGCCTGCCACCACACCCAGCTAATTTTTTTGTAGTTTTAGTAGAAACTGGGTTTCAGCACATTGGCCAGGCTGGTCTTGAACTCCTGACCTCAGGTGTTCCTCCCACCTCAGCCTCCCAAAGTACTGGGATTACAAGTGTGAGCCGAACCAGGCCAAGGGACACATTTTTAATTGACAAAATTAATAACCAAGTTTAAGTGGGAAAAACAAATGTGTTGGTATGAAAGGACTGCCAGTGCATGCTTACACTACAAATTGTGACACAGACAACAGGATAAAATCTGTATTCCAAAACAACTTCTAAAACAATTACTAAAGTAAGTCACCACCCTGAACCAGTTGTCTAATATTATCTCAGTCATTTTATATACAGAACAATGTAATATGGAGCCAAGAAGTCAACTTAGATCCTTGAAAGATCTGTATACTATGTTAATAAGGCAGGTGACTATTTAAGTTACATGGAATTACTGACTAGGTAACCCAGAAAAGAGAGTTTTTTTTTTTTTTTGAGACAGAGTCTTGCTCCTTCACCCAGGCTGGAGTACAGTGGCGCAATCTTGGCCTACTGCAACCTCTGCCTCCCAGGTTCAAGTGAGTCTCCCCACCTCAGCTTCCTGAGTAGCTGGGACAACAGGTGCAGCCACCACATCCACCTAATTTTTGTATTTTTAGTAGAGACAAAGTTTCATCCTGTTGGCCAGGCTGGCCTTGAACTCCTGACCTCAAGTGATCCGCCCACCTAGGCCTCCCAAAGTGCTGGGATTACAGGTGTGAGGCACCACACCCAGCCGAAAAGAGATAGTAAGTTTTCTGAATACACTACTTCTCTCAGTTCAGCCTGAACAAGATATTTATACAAGCAGCAAGAGGTAGGAAGAGGAGGAAGATGAGAAAATAACATTTGCTAGATGTCAAAGTGCTATAGAAATGAAATGGAGAAAAGCTACACAATGCGATGGGGGAAGTATCCTGGTAGGAGAGGTGCAGAGGCCTCCAAATACTACCTGAAAGGCAATCTAGTGAGCAAGAACTCTGAAGTCAGATCTTAGTTCAAAACTTGACTCTATCATTTAAAGATGTGAAAATTTGGAAAAGGTTTAACTTATCTAAGCTTCTCGTTCCTCGTTTGTAAAGTGGGATCCAGTCCATCTCACCAGGTTCACATGAGAATCCAAATAAGTAACACATAGCTAGCACTATATAGTGCCTGAACACTGGGGCTGAATACATTTTAATGTATTCTCTCTCCTCCTCAAACTTCTGAGTAGTATAAAACTGAAAAGGAAGGAAGGAAGAAGAAAGGAAGGAAGGGAGGGAGGCAGGGAGTGAGGGAGGGAAGGAGGGAGTGAGGGAGGGAAGAAGGGAGGAAGGAAGGGAAGGAAAAGATCTTCCATCTTGAAGATACATGAAAAGAAAATGGACTTTTTCGATCTTTATATGGAAACACACCCTGAAAAAAAAATGGGGGTGGGAGAGAAAACTTAGAATTATGATAATCTTTATAATAGATACAACTGGTCCCATGCATAAGAACTTTAATTAAGGGTGTATTGGGTAAGTGCCAAAGGACTAGACTAATGAAAATTTCTCCAAGGTGAACTTAATTGGAATTAGTAGACTTTAAGGTGACTTGTTAACTTTAGCTCTATTAGGAAATTACAAGGGAGTTTCTTGGCCATTCAGCCAGTTGGACATTTTTGGGATTACAGTATAAACAAAAAAAGATGCCTTCAAAAACAGGATGTCTATTTTAATGCTAATCTTAAGAAACAAATCTTTTAACAATGGGAACAAATACCGGCAGAAACACTAGTCAGATGAAACTTTCCTTTTAGGAAAAAGGAAAAAATACAATTTTATTTTCATAGAAACTTGGTATAGAGTAGAAGAGTCATTTAAATTCATAGCTCATTTCCCTCATAAGCTGAAGTCATGACGCAAGAATAAAATTTTGCATGTATGGTTCCTGAGCTCATGGGTAGTAAAAGGTTCAAAAGGAAGGCTCAGGTTTCACAAGCTTTGTAAGCGATCTTTTTACATCACATGACTAAGAACATATTTATTCATGGAGAGCTTATGAACCTAGGCTTTTGAAACTGTCAAACGAGAGAGGAGAATATTTACACCCATAAAAAGCCACAAAAATCCATACAAGTATTAAGAATAAAAATCTCTCTTTCAGATTAAGGAATGCAGAAAAGGATCTGCAAAATAATAACAAGTGGACTTTAAATATTAATATGCACAGTAGCATCAGACTATTAAAGAGTTGTCTGGGTTGCTTTTATTCTTGATTCTGGGAAAGAAAAAAAAAGAGTTGTCTGGGGGGAGTCCTAGATACTATTTGGTATTACATCACTGATTCTAAAATATTGGTACATACAAGTCTAAATGAATGTTTTCAGGAAAAGCTCACTATCAGTCAAAATAAAACATGACAAAAAATCAGATTTCTGTTCTAACAGAATCCTAAGTTTTTTCAGGGAAGAGGGTAGGGAGATGGTACTAGGGGGAAGTGAGGTACTTTTGTACAATGAGTTTTAAGTAGAGGCATAATATTAGAGACTTAAGTTTCTGTAAATGCAGTATCTTAGCACTGAAAGCCTAGAGAGTTATACCTATTATGATACATATAATCTACATTAGTTATAAATATTGTGAAAAAAAGTCCTATGAGAAAAGATCACCTCATACCTAACCTAAATATTTCACACTAACTTTAGGCTCTTTCCTACCAATTCTGTACCCAGGTGGGTACCTGGTAACCAGCTTTTGCATATTAGTACTTCAAATAAATGCCTAATTATTAGTATCAAGAAAAAAATATTTTGTGTATCTTTAGAAGATATTTGAATTCATTTACATAGCCTATAACATATTACTTGCTTTTACAGTAAGCCACTAAGTCTAATATGTAAAGACTAACACGCTGCAAATCATGATGGCTTCATATACTTTCCCAAAATTAAAGCCTTCCAAAAAAGGTCTAGGAAACAGAAGCTGATTTGGCTCAGAAAATTTTGCTCATTTATGTCTTCTATAGCCTAATACCATTTGATTAACAAGGTTACAATTTTAGTATATCTGAGCTTTGAATGGATGAATCAACCTTTAGTCTCAGTTAATGCCTAGATTTTCTCCTTCTTCCTCCTATAAACACCTTACTTGATTGATATTCAGTTCTCAATTACATAAATTGAAATAACACAGCCCAACACTGAGAAGTCAATAGCACAGGTAATAGAAAAACAAAACAGCAAATTTCTAATAAACAGAATCAGGAAAGGAATATAATTTAAATATGACATAGCTGGCTGCCTGGATTTTGCTCCTCTTTTAAATAACTCAAAGTGACAGAAATGCTCCAAACCAGAAAACTCTCATGTTACTTGCAAGGAAAACTCTAAATTGGAGTGATGAGGAGAGAGGAGGCTGACAAGGCAGAACTTTAAAAAATGTAATTCCTCTGGTTACCTGATTTTTAGAAAAATCAAGCTTAAAACCCAGAGTACAATGCCAAAGAAAGTATGCTGGTAATCAAAATCAAATGACTCCTGATAGAATTACAGTCTATAGATTATTAATATATCAACCATATTTGTGGCATTACTTTGGAAAGTAGGCAGTATTTCTTAAGCCTGCAACCAGCTCTAGAATGGAAAGATAATGCCTGTACACAGCAAGAAAAAAAGTAACATAAAACACAGATTTTTTTGCTTTCCTTTTCAGAAACTGAGCCTGGCATTGTGCAGCTGTGGTGCTCCCTTCATCATTCCCTCTGTTTCCACTCTTGCTAATTAAAAGGTTGATCACAGAACACTGTTCTTCTCATTAATTTCAGTGTTCCGACTGGGTAGGATCCCTGCTTACCCCACCTGATCTTTTCACACTGTTGAAGTTAATGTGACAGGAGTCCAAAGATGGATTACCTGCTGCCATATTGCCCATCGCCTCCAATCAGGAGCTATCTGTGTAAACTGATTGTTCTAATTTGCTCTCATTATTTTTACAATATCAGGAGAAAATAACGCACACAGCTCACTGTCAAAGCCATGAAAATCAGCCATTAGTTAAACCCAGACACTGAGTGGCTTTATTAGAGGCACTGCAGTTTATTGATGTAGCTCCAGTCAAAGAAGGCTGCATTTGTTTCAGCAAAAGGAAATGTTTAAGTCTGCAAGTAAGTATTTATTGTGGTAATACCCACAGCAACAGGATATTCTGAAAAATCCTGTTCTTCATATAGTTGGTTTTGACACAAATTATATAGCAATGAAGAAATGGGTTGGCATAAGAAAGTAGGTAACATTTAATAAACATTGAGTAGCATGAAAATCTATTAACTCAAATCCATAAGCACGCTTCACCTCCTATACCTTATATAACAAGAAACCCTATTCTGTGACTACAAATGCTAATCAATTAATAAGGGTGATTTTATTTTGTCCCATATAACAACAAATATTTTTTCCAAAACAGAAATTTTATTACTTAGGAATCAAAATTATTTCTATAATGATCACACAAGTATAAATTTAAATGATATGTTCTTATAAAATGTAATGTTTCAATAAGATTGATTACTAATCCTAGTATCATAGATATTCACAATATGTTTCAGAATGAGAAAAGAAGCAGTGCAGCTAAGCAAACAAGCTGAGATTTAAACCCTTCAGTAAGTGACAGTTTCTTAAAGCAGAAGTCAGAACACCACAGAAAGGTCTGATATTCAGTGAGATAATATCTTCAAAAGATTTGTCCTGGTCATAAAGAATATATATTTCATGTTGTAAAGAAAATGCTAACTCCAGAAGAAAACAGATTTTAACTTGGCATTTCTAGGCTTGTCTTGAGTATGACCATTTTATAAAAATGTTAGCTAAACCCTGCCTGAACAGCATTTTAGGGGGCTGGAGATGAAGGTATAAATAATAGAAACCGATGCCTTTTAAATAAAGAAATTTAACTAATTCACACACTCTTTTCCCCACCTCCCCTCTTTAGTATTAGGAGGAAACATGGCTTCCTCCTGTTTTCTTTCTACACTAAGATTCCTAGGTAATGTGACGGCAAGAGTATGCCCTTCTTGCTGTTCCCCTTTTAATGGCCACTTTTTTTTTTTTCCCTGAGAAATGTGCCACGCTTTTCTCCTTAAAATTCCTGCACTAAAAGACTGCACCATACTGCACTCCGCAAAACGTGCTGATGGCGCCAATTACAAGCCCCCAGCCGAATGCTCCAGCCCCCACCATTCGGGCAGATTTATGCGGACTCTTGCCGACGTTATTACAAGTCAGAGTTTATTGGGAAATTGTTACATTATGCGGAGTGTCTAACAAATTGCTTATGCTGCTATAATTGGATTACAACAGCCGCTTGCTCCCACCGGTAAGATTAGGCAAGTAGGACTCCTGCCGATCTCTGAGCGTTAGCAGTAATTTTATTTGCCTTGCCTCTCTCTTTCCTAACAACATGCCTCTCTCCCTGCCAGCTGTCTGCTGAAAAGGCACAGCCTTGTTCCTTGGCCCTAACAATGCAATTACAGCCCCGCAGATCGCACTGTTTGTGCATTAAGTACAGAGCCAAAACGAGGCGAATTGATCGTTTGACTTTTGGAGAAGCCATGTGATCTCTCTGTGCGGGTGATCCGACATGCATCAGCAGGCAATACTGCAGTCAATTCTTGATGAAGAACTTTCTTCTTTCATCCCTCTTTCCCCTAACCTCTCCCTTTTCACTGAGGAAGACACTGACTGGGCTCATTTCATGCTAATCTAGATCAATCCACAAAGACAAGCTCGAGCCTATTAGCTCCCTGGCTAGATAGAAATATGAATAAATTCTAGCATCTTGAAGTGCCTCAGTCAGATATATCAGTGGTTCCCAACAGCTGAACCGCTGCTATTTAAAAACAAAAACAAAAACAAAAAAAACGGTTCATAGAGTTCACTGAAGAAATTTACAGAAACACGGTAGTTCAAAAGAACTACCGAAAGTTTTAGATTTGTAAAATAAAACTGCCTTGGAATGGCTTTGTTATAAGCTGTCTATATTCTGTCTATATTCAAGGGCCATCCAGAATCAGCACTAAAACCTGGGTCCTGCCTTTCTCTGCAGATCTGCTCTGCTGGAAGATGCTGATGGCCAACGTGCCTAATCAATGCGGCTGGACTTCAGGCTTAAAAACAGCCAGTCTGATGCCCACTCAGGGCAAAGTTTTAAACACATTTTGTTGACAGCTTTCAGTTTCTTGTTTCTTTTTCTTGTATGTTTAACAATGAGTGCCGGTAGCAAGAAGACTGCACAAGCAATTACTCTTATTTTAGGGCATAATTCATAAAGATTCTGGGCTGGGGTCTGGACTTTTTTTTTTAAGTCTCTTTTTGGTTGAAAATGGTTTAAATTTTACCAACTTTAACACAGACCAAGATTCCTGTTTACACTTTCCTCAACCAATGGCATATGCTACTTAGGGTTCCTGAAGCTGATTACACAACAAATGTGCAGTCAATCTGCTGATCCGTTTTGGTGCCCCATGTCTGTATTTTTCTTAAACGGCACGCACATCTAGAAGAAAATGTATTCTTACATCCTTAATCTGACAAACACACAAACTCTTGTCTATAAGAGGGGTCCTGGCTTCTCTTATTAATGCAAAGTGAACTTGGAAAAGTCATTTAACTGTGTATATCTCTGTAACCCAATTAACACATTAAGCTCATATGAATATTAAGATTTTCAAAAAGAATATTACATCTGAAGTTCCTTCCTATCTTTTTGAAAGAGCAATAAGCCCAATGTGTAACACATTATACTCCACAGTTTTTCCAACCACATCAGCCTCAATGACGTGGTTATATCTTAGTATGTTCTCTGTAAAGCTAATGTTTAGACCTGACAGAGGCGCCTGTGTGAAGAACGGACCATATGACATGCTACTTGTGGAACAGTATCTTAAAGAAGCCTGTTAACATGTAGTTTAAAACTCAAAAGAAACTCTGAACAGCTGAAATGCCTTATAAATAGCACAGACCCAGAGGAAGTGCAAACGTCTGCATTGTGAATTGTAGATCTTAATTACCGACAATGGCTGGTACAGCAAGTAGCATGGAAAAAAAGTGAAACAGTTGCACTGTTCATGGTTGGCAATAATTCTTCAGGAAAATATTTACTATCAATCAGTTATGAGAAAAGGGACTCTGTGCTCGTAAAACAGCACGTTGCTTCTCATACCAGGACCATTTTGCTTCAGCATAATCTGAATTTAAACAGCTTGTTTCCTGCGGATATAATTTTGGAAATAAATAAAACAAGTCTTCTATCAAAATCTGGAGTGAGTGGAAAGGAACATCACATTTTTCTGTCTCAGTCAGTTTCAAACAGATTATTAGTCTCAAATAAAAAAACAGTGACAACAACCAATAACAACTAAAATACAGAACATCCACAAAGGGCTACTGAAGGGGTTTATTTCCCAAACATAAAGAGGAAAAACTTCTCTTATCTGGGCCAGGAATCTGGATAGATGTATTCAAACAATTCAATTTTAACTGCATGTATTTGTGTATCTGTGGGTGTGGGTAAGGGTAAATTAGGGAAAAAAACCTAAGACCAAAATTTGCAGTAATAGTTTAATAAAGCCAATAGCAAGATAACATAAAAAAGTAATGCTTTTCAGCCTTCCAGTGAGTTTTCTTTACCAATTAAAAAAAATCATGAAGGTTGACAAGTAATAAGCACAATGTGATTATGGATTTTAAAGACTAAGTTGACAGTTAATAATGACTGTCCATTTAAAGCTACAATAAACACAGAGCTCATCATGCTCCAAACACAAATCTCATGAAACACAGGGCCATAACCAGGAGAAAGAATTCTGAAAAAAAACAAAAAGGTATCTCAATGCCTCCAAATATTACTTGGATTAAGTTATAGGGATAAAATAGACCCTCCTACATTTTCAGTTTTTTTTTTGAGACTGAGTCTCACTCTGTCGCCCAGGCTGGAGTGCTGTGGCACGATCTCAGCTTACTGCAACCTCTGCCTCCCAGGTTCAAGTGATTCTCCTGCCTCAGCCTCCTGAGTAGCTGGGATTATAGGCATGTGCCACCACGCCCAGCTAATTTTTATACTTTTAGTATAGACAGGGTTTCACCATGTTGGTTGGGCTGGTCTTGAACTCCTGACCTCGTGATCCACCCGTCTCGGCCTCCCAAAGTACTGGGATTACAGGTGTGAGCCACCGTGCCCGGCCATTTTTAGTTTTAAATTTTTTCTTAGGCCTCTTTCTTCAAGTTAAAGACTAACAAGATTATTGCCAACTTAGGGTGGTTGTAATTTGTTTTACAGCTTTGTTTCTTGTATTCTACAGAGGACTAATTGGTACCCTTCGTATAGAGCTATCATAAGACTATGATATTTCTGGCAAAGAGTTACAATCAAGGTATTATAGGGGTCCAAACATAATACCATTGCTGCTTTTAGGGAAATAAATAGTATTAATGTCTTCTCTAAAACTTACATGAACCATATTCAATAAATAATAAGGTTTTGGCCTATAATTAGTATCTCTAGCCAAGCCAAAGTCACTCTTTGAACTAAAGGACAAAAATGGTTGATATCACAATATTACAGTTGTTCTCACATGGAAATGGTTACAGATTCAGGCCACAATGGAGTACAATCTGAATCAACAACAGACACTTGTACCAAGTTGAGAAAACACTGCAGCCATATCAATGCAGCAGATGAAACTATTCAGTTAAGGGCTAAAGGTGAAGAACAGGAAATAGGGACAAGCTTGCAGACCAACAAAAATAATGACAAGTCATTCCATTCAAAGGTCAAGCAATAGAGGCCAATAGAAACAGTTGGCCGGATGCGGCAGCTCACGACTGTAATCCCATTGCTTTGGGAGGCTGAGGCAAGCGGATCACGACGTCAGGAGATCAAGACCATCCCGGCCAACGCGGTGAAACCCCGTCTCTACTAAAAATACAAAAAATTAGCCGGGCGTGGTGGCGGGCGCCTATAGTCCCAGCTACTCAGGAGGCTGAGGCAGGAAAATGGCGTGAAACCGGGAGGCGGAGCTTGCAGTGAGCCGAGATCATGCCACTGCACTCCAACCTGGGTGACAGAGCAAGACTCCGTCTCAAAAAAAAAAAAAAAAAAAAGAAACAAACAAACAAAAAAGAAACAGGGATCATGAGACACACAAAACACATGTAAATAAAAAAGAAAAAACTTGGCCAGGCACAGTGGCTCACACCTGTAATCCCAGCACTTTGGGAGGCTGAGGCAGAGAGATCACCTGAGGTCAGAAGCTCGAGACCAGCCTGGCCAACATGGCGAAACCCTGTCTCTACTTAAAAATATAAAAATTAGCTGGGTGTGGTGACACACTTCTGTAATCCCAGCCACTCGGGAGGCTGAGGCAGGATAATGGCTTGAACCCAGGAGGTGGAGGTTGTAGTAAGCCAAGATGGCACCACCGCACTCCAGCCTGGGTGACAAAGTGAGACTCCATCTCACAAAAAAAAGGAAAACCTTTTTCAGTATTCTCATGCTATGGGTACCTCACTGGAGACTGTTGCAAGAAAGAAAATTTTTCAGCTATGTGTTTTTATTTGACATTGACCAACTGATTATTTGGCTCAAATCTGAAGCAATGAACCAGAAGACAGGATGTGGGCCAATAAAAGGAACCAGTGATTTAACTGGGTTCCAATAGGAAATGATAGACATCATCATTAAATTAGATTATTTAAGAGGATGACGAAAGGATATAGGTGTCAGAATAATGTTAAAATAAGCAACAATGCAATGAGAAGGTCACCACCTGGGAGCAAGTGAAACACACTGATGAGCAGCAATGAGCAAACTTACTTTCTCACTCAAGATCCAAAAGCATGGAAGAAATTAAATAATTGTGCTAGATGGCAGAAGATTTTTAACCATGTACCAATAAAGCAGAGGGTGGGAGAAAAAAACAATTAAAAAAAAAAAACTCCACATCATATAGACACACACCAACCTATTTAGATTAGAGATCCTGGCTTACAAAGTATGGAGAAAACAAAAGGAACAGATGCTCACTTGGCCAGCTCTCAGTGAAACTCATTAAAATCATCACCCTGTCCTTGGATTGGTGCTCATGCTAAAATTTTACCTTATTTAGCCAGAAGTCACCCACTTGTGATGAAACTAAGAGCAGCATGGCCAAAAACAAAAAAAAGAAAAAAAGAAAGAAAGAATATTTTTAAAGGCCCAAATAACTGTGTATCCCTGTTTCCATGCACAAAAGCAGGATATAAAGTAGACTTGGGCTGGGTGCAGTGGCTCACGCTTGTAATCCCAACTCTTTGGCAGGCCTAGTGGGGAGGATTACTCGAGGCCAGGAGTTCGAGACCAGCCTAGGCAATACAGCGACACCTCATCTCTACAAAACAAAACAACTCTAAAAAACCGAAAACCAAAAATTAGCTGGGTGTGGTGGCATGCACTCATGTTTTCAGCTACTCGGGAGGCTGAGGCAGGAAGATCAGGGCTTGAGCCCTGGAGGTAAAGGCTGCATTGAGCTAGGATTAGTGCCATTGCACTCTACCCTGGGCAACAGAGCAAGACTCTGTCTCTAAAAATAAAATAAAACAAAACAAAATAAAATAGGGTCAATTAGCACTTGTTAGTTGTGACTAAATGACTGAAAAATATGTAATTTATAATTACATTTTATAGCAAAATATTAACATATTTGGATTTGAGACATTTAACTGATGAACTCTACCTTTTTAAACTGTAATTTTAAATAAATTCTGATATTTCTTATATGTATGATTTCGATGGTTATATTTTGTGTGATACATTTCCAGTTGATAGAGCAGGCCCAGAGACTACTGCATGTTTTAAGGAAAAATAAACAAAAACTCTGCTTTTGCTATGGTCTGAACGTTTGTGTTCTCCAAAATTCATGAAGGCAGACCCCTTGTAAGTGGGATTAGTGCCCTTAAAAAAAAGAGACCTCGGATATCTAGCTAGTCTCTTCTATCATGTGAGGATGCAGTGAGAAGGCACCATCTATGAGGCAGAGAGCAAGCCCTCACCAGACACTGAATCTGCTAGTGCTCTCATCTTGGACTTCTCAGCCCCTATAAGAAAAAAATTAGTTTTGTTTATAAGCCACCCAGCTTACAGTATTTTTGTTATAGCAGCTCACATGGACTAAGACAACTGTCATTAGATTTTTGTAGCAAAGATAGCAATGACATGACACCAGTCCTAAGCTCTAATAATAACAGTAAGAAACTGAGGGCCTGGATCTATAATAAAATAGGTTAAACTAAAATAGTTCAAGTTGGGAATGTTGTAACAGTAGCAAATCTATGAATAGATATAAAGGCAATATTTTTGCAGATAATTCAAGTAAAAGAAACAAAGCCCATACTTAATAGTACTTATTCCTAAAATGTCTGACACTTGAATTTTAGTCAAAATTCCTCAGTAATTACAGATATTTGGAAAATGTGAGTTATGATAGATATAAAAAGCATCAGATCTCTAATATTTAAGATTAATTTTACATCTAGGCTATAGAGATGACATATATACATGAAAAAGAGGTAGCCCATACACATGACTAAACATACTTGTCCATGTGGATCAAGATCAACAAAAGCAGTATTTCCAACATTAGCCACTCAATAAATAATAATAGTGATATAATAATTGGGTTGTCTATAGCATATTTCACAGTCCTTGCAATGATGTGATGTACTCTATACGTAACTGTATTTAAAAACCATAAACTTATCAAAACAATTGTACATTATCTTATACAAATCCTACTGATATGTGATAATCTACAACTAGTGTCAAGAAACAAATGTGAATCAGTCTAAAGAGTGACCAGAATTCATAAGCAAAACATTCTGTTGCAATTAAGAGGTGGAGAATCTAACTTGCAATCTGTTCTAGATAAAATGATGCCTGTTTGTATTTTTTTCTTAACTATATAATCCTGTAATAATCCTTAAGCAATACTGAGTAAAGATGCCTACAGATATGGCACTGTTATGGTGTGGTGTAATATACATTGATGAGCAATATTACTTACTTTGGCCACACAATTCTCAGTCTTCATAGCAGTGCTTGCTAAACATACTGTTTCTTGGTTTAAGCAGAGTCTGGCACAGCTGTTGTATGTCTGTAAAGAGAATTTGTTGGAAACAGGTTTTTAAAATATTGAAATACTGCCATATCCTGTTTTCAAATTCTGCTCTATTTCTCAAGTCAAAACACAAATAGATTTTATCTATAAGTTAAGACTTATGGGAACTGAGAGGTAAGTTAGAAAAGGAGGAGGGCAAAGATAGAGGCTACAAAAGCCACTGATGTGCCCATGAACAAGTATGTAAGCAGCAGTGGCTTCACTGTATTAATGATTAATGGAAGCTGGGGGTACTGATTATGTAGCATTTTAAAATGCAAATTGGAAGAGCTTAGTTCTGTTTAAAACAGCAGTTACCGTTCTGAGAAAAGATTTATTTTTGTTGTTTTTCCTTCTAAACTTTCAAAACCATCAAGATCTGAAGGTAGTTAGAGGGCATGTTTCTTTTTTTTTTTTTTTTTTCCCCAGATGGAGTCTTGCTCTGTCACCCAGGCTGGGGTGCAGTGGCGTGATCTCGGCTCACTGCAACCTCCGCCTCCGGGGTTCAAGCGATTCTCCTGCCTCAGCCTCCCACAGAGGACATGTTTCTTTCTCTTTTTTTCTTTTCTTTTTTTTTTTTTTTGAGATAGGGTCTTACTCTGTCACCCCAGCTGGAAGTACAGTGGTGAGATCTTGGCTCTCTGCAATCTATGCCTCTGGGACTCAAGTGATCCTCCAGAGTAGGTGGGGGACTACAGGGGCACGCTACCACGCCCAGCTAATTTTTTGTATTTTTTGTAGAGATGGGGTTTTGCCATGTTGCCTAAACTGGTCTTGAACTCCTGAGCTCAAGTGATCCTCCTGCCTCAGCCTTCTAATGTGCTGGGATTACAGGGACGAGCCATTGTGCTCAGCTGACATGTTTCTTATTCAGAACAATAAATGAAAAAATTTTAAACCATCCAGAAAAAAAAAATTATTTTAAAACTAATCATGAAATATTTTTATAAAAGAATCTCAATACAAGCTTTGACTTTTGGCTTTAAAAAGAAAAGAGAAATAAACCAAAATTGAAAGAACATTGAAAAAAGATAAACCAACACTTACCTATTTTTTTTTTTTTTGAGATGGAGTCTTGCTCTGCTGCCCAGGCTGGAGTGCAGTGGCACAATCTCGGCTCACTACAACCTCCGCCTCCCAGGTTCAAGTGATTCTCCCACCTGAGTCTCCCGAGTAGCTGGGCTTACAGGCGCCTGCCACCATGCCCAGCTAATTTTTTGTATTTTTAGTAGAGATGGGGTTTCATCATGTTGGCCAGGCTGGTCTTGAACTACTGACCTCAGGTGACCCACCCGCCTCGGCCTCCCAAAGTGCTGGGATTACAGGCAAGAGCAGCCTCACTGGGCCTATCTAGACCTTAGAAGTTATCCCTTAAGTACATCTGGTAATGTTGAAGAGATAAAATAGAAAAATCAGGCCAGGTGCGGTGGCTCATACCTGTAATCCTAACACTTTGGGAAGCCGAGGTGGGAAGATCGCCTGAGCTCAGGAGTTTGAGGCCACCCTGGGCAACATGGTGAAACCCTGTCTCTACTAAAATACAAAATATTAGCCAGGCATGGTGGTGGGTGCCTGTAGTTCCAGCTACTCAGGAGGCTGAGGGACGAGAATCGCTTGAGCCCAGGAGATGGAGGTTGTAGTGAGCTGAGATCACGCCACTGCACTCCAGCCTGGGCAACAGAGCAAGACATTGTCTCCAAATAAAAAAGAAAGAAAAAAATCATAGGAAATGGATTTTAAAAACTGGTGATAGCTGGGCACAGTGGCTCATGCCTGTGATCCCAGCACTTTGGGAGGCCGAGGCAGGGGAATCACTTGAGCCTAGGAGTTTGAGATCAGCCTGGGCAGCACAGCGAGGCCCTGTCTCTACCAAAAACAAAACAAAACATTGGTAATACTATAGTTATACTTTATGAAAAGCAAACTTATTAATTACTGGACAATATATTAATAGAAATGTTTCCTTTTAGTCTTAAGTTTTTACTGATGGTATAAATTATGTTTATCAAACTTTAGTGCGCATCAGAATCATCTGGAAGGAGGGCTTGTTAAAACACAGATCACGGTGGGGCCTGGTGGCTAACACCTGTAATCCCAGCACTTTGGGGGGCGAAGGCAGGAGGATCACTTGAGATCAGAAGTTTGAGACCAGCCTGACCAACATGGTGAAACCCCGTCTCTACTAAAAATACAAAAAAAGAAAATAAAAAAATAAAAAAATTTAGCCAGGCGTGGTGGTGCATGCCTGTAATCCCAGCTACTCGGGAGGCTGAGGCAGAAGAATCGCTTGAACCCGGGAGGCAGAGGCTGCAGTAAGCCTAGATCGTGCCACGGCACTCCAGCGTGGGTGACAGAGCAAGACTCTGTCTCAAAACAAAACAAACACAGATTGCTAGGTTTCCATCCCCAGAGCTTCTGAACATTTGCATTTTTAACAAGGCCCCAGTTGACGTTAGTGCTGCTGATCCAGGAACACTCTTCGAGAACCATTGCTATAAATACTTGTGTTGGATTTAAGAAGAAAAATCTTAAGACACTCAAAACCAACAGTAACAAAGAATTCAATTTTTTAACATTTTGAGATAATTTTAGATTTATAGAACAAGTACAAAAATAGTAAAGTTCAAGCACAGTGGCTCATGCCTATAATCCCAGCACTTTGGGAGGTAGAGGCAGGAGGGCTACTTGAAACCGGGAGTTCCATACAAGCCCACATTTCTATTTAAAAAAAAAAAAAAATTAACTGGGCGTGGCAGCACAGGCCTGTAGTCCTGGCTACTCAGGAGGACTGACTGAGCCCTGGAGTTGAAGACTGCAGGGAGCTATGATTATGCCATTGCACTCCAGCCTGGGCAACAAATCAAGACATCATCTCTTTAAAAAAAGAAAGAAAGAAAAAGTAAAGATTTCCTATATACTTGTCACCCAGCTTCTCCATATGTTAATATCTTACATAATTACAGAACATTTATCGAAACTAAGAAATTAACTTGGTACTATATAAAGTACAGAACTTACTCAGGTTTCACCAGTTTTTCCACTAATGTCCTTTTTCTGTTCAGCATCTAATCTAGGATCCCACATGGCATTTATTTGTCATGTCTCTTAGGGCTCCTCTTATTTTCAACAATCCCTCAGTCTTTCCTTGTCTTTCATGACTGACACTGCTAAACAGCACTGATCAGTTAATCTACAGACTGTGCCTCAAGTTGGGTTTGTCTGATATTTTCTCATGATCAGATTGAGGTTATTTTGGGGAAAGATACTTTAGAGGTGATGTGCCCCTCTCACTGCATCAAATCAGAAGGTATGCTGGTATTTCTGGTGATGTTAGCCTTGATTATACAGCTAAGGACATGTCTGCCAAGATTCTCCAGTATAAACATTATTTTCCCCTTAGGAATTACTGAATATATATATATATATATATATATATATATATGGCAAAATACTTGGAGACTATGCAAATATTCTGTTTCTACTTGCATCTCAGCTTGCTAATTTTAGCATCCATTGGGTGCTAATCATGCCTATGGTAATTTTTACTGTGTATTCTAATAGTGAATTTATTATTTTTGTCTTTCCTTCCACATTAACTGGAATTCTTCTGTAAGGAAAAGATGTGATTTCACCCCTCATTTATTTATTTACTCATTTGTTTATATCAGCATGAAGAGATATTTTAAAGAATCTGATTTTGGTCAACTATCATTCTTTGGAAAGAAAATAGATAAAATTTAAGAAAAAATGGGGAAAATAGTAGAGATATATAACTCCCCATCGATATTATAAAGTCAGTTCTGTTTTTGTTTTTGTTTTTGTTTTGAGACGGAGTCTCACTCTGTCTCCCAGGCTGGAGTACAGTGGTGCAATCTCGGCTCACTGTAACCTGCACCTCCCAGGTTCGAGTGATTCTCCTGCCTCAGCCTACCAAGTAGCTGGGATTACAGACATGTGCCACCACGGCCGGCTAATTTTTGTATTTTTAGTAGAGACAGGGTTTTACCATGTTGGCCAGGCTGGTCTTGAACTCCTGACCTTAATTGATCCACCTGCCTTGGCCTCCCAAAGTGCTGGGATTGCAGGCGTGAGCCACCACGCCCAGCTGTTTTTCTTTTAAACAGGCTAAACCTTAAAAAATTTACCAACTTGTTTTATTCTTATAATTTAAGTAAAAATTATTTCAAAATATATATGAAAAAATAGAGCATTAGAAATTAGTGTACAGATTTAAATATTGGTGCATGTAAATTCTGGGCTCTAGATTTGTTATTTCTTTTGCGTTGTCTAATTCCACAAACATTTACTATTCATACACACACAAACATAAATATTTTTAAAATAAAATTCACTATGTTTTAAAGATAAATTTATGAAGTAATCAGTATTTGCTGAAAAAAATATAACTTGACTCAAAGAGTTCCGCTTCCAGTAATGGCAGAAATGTTTGTATCAGATAAACCCTCTTGCAGATAGGAAAAACATTTTAAAGCTACATAAAGGCACTGGAGATCGACTTAAAAAAGACGGAAAATGGGGAAGGAGTGGCCTGATCTTGAAAGAAGAGAACCACACTGGGTGAGATGTGTGTTTATGTGCTTTTCCCCTGAAGGCACTCACGAGTCCACTTGGTGCAGGGTGACTAGAATTCAATCTGAAAGCCACAGTCTATTGGCTTGAGATATCAAGTGATAAGAGTTCAAAACTGCCATAGTGGCTGGCAATAGAGAACAGAAATCCCAGAAATGAAAGAGAACCACAGGGGAAGGAGGAAGACTAAAAAATTACATATAAATTCCCCTCAAATCTATGGCTAACACCCAAACTACGTACATGAAGGGGAGATTCCAAGGATTTCAATGGAGAGCAACAGCTGGAGGGTTGAAAGGCCTGTGCAGATATTCCAGCTGCTGCTCATGGGGGGAGAAAGAGTTTAGAGTTTGACTTCTATCAAGTTAGAGGGATGTAATAACATCTTAGGCTTTCCATTAAAAATTCAAAGAGACCATGAGTTTAGATTCAAGAGTATGTCTTAGGACTAAGGGCAAAACCAAAATACACCTGACCTTAACAAATACAAAACCAAGCCTCCACAAGGTCATAGTGATCAGCCAGTAATTTAATCAGAGGAAGAAAAAATGAATTCAGAGTTTCTGCAATGTACCATTTATAATGTTGGTTATATGATCAAAAATTACTAAAAATGAGAAAAAGGAGATAAATGGGATCCATTGTCAAGAGAAAAATGAACCAAAAACCAACCCTGAGAAGACCTAGTTGTAGAAATTAGCACATATTATAGCTCTAAAGAAGCTATAATAGATATGTTCAAACTTGAACATAGCAATAAAAGATATGATCACAATGAATAAACAGATGAAAAATTCTACCAGAAAATGAAAAACCAAAAATAAACTAAATAGAAATTCTAGAACTGAAAAGTGCATTATCTGAAATGAAAAATTCAGGCTGCGCATGGTGGCTCATGCCTGTAATCCCAGCACTTTGGGAAGCCGAGGCAGGAGGATAGCTTGAGCTCAGGAGTTCAGGACCAGCCTGGGCAACGTAGTGAGATCCTGTCTCTACAAAAAATAGAAAAAATTGGCCAGGCCCAGTGACTTACACCTAGCACTTTGGAGGCCGAGGCGGGCAGATCACCTGAGGTCAGGAGTTTGAGACCAGCCTAGCAAACATGGTGAAACCCCATCTCTACCAAAAATACAAAAATTAGCTGGGCATGGTGGCAAGTGCCTGTAATCCCAGCTACTTGGGAGGCAGAGGGAGGAGAATCGCTTGAACCCGGGAGACGGAGGTTGCAGTAAGCTGAGATTGCACCACTGTTCTCCAGCCTGGGCAACAGATTGAGATTCTGTCTCAAAAAAAAAAAAAAAAAAAAAAAGAGAAAAAAGAAAAATTAGTTGGGTATAGTGGTGCACACCTGTAGTCCCAGCTACTCAGGAGGCTGGGGTGGGCGGTTGCTTGAGCCCAGAAGGTCAAGGCTGCAGTGAGCCATGTTCATGCCACTGCACTTCAGCCTGAGCAACAGAGTGAGACCCTATCTCAAAAAAATCAAAAAATTTACTGGAGAGGCTTAAAAAGCAGACTGGAAGTGACAGAAGAAAAGGTCAATGAAGACAGATAAACCGAAAAAAAAAAAGATAGATAAACTGAAATCATATAAACTGAAGAACAGAGAGAAAAAAAGGAGATTAAGAAAAGAAAAAAAAAAGATCGGTCTTAGTCACTGTGTGGGACAATTCTGGATTATCTAGAATATATGCGTGGCTGGAGTCCAAGGAAGGGAGAAGAGAACGGTACAGCAAAGAAGTTATAAAAATAGTGATCAAATACTTCCCCAAATTTTGTGAAAACTAGCGGCTTTCTGATTTCAGATCAGCAAACCCCAGTCATGTTAAAAATACAAAGAAAACAACACATATAGGCCCATCACAGTCAGAACTGCTGAAAACGAGTGATAAAGATAAAACCTTGAACGGAGCCAAGGAAAAAGGGGATGTTAGGTATCTAGGAGTAACGATATAAATAATGTCAGGCTTTTCATAAAAAAATGAAGGCTAGGAGACAAGCGAATAATATTTTTATTTCACCGCAACCTCCGTCTCCCGGGTTCAAGCAATTCTCCTGCCTCAGCCTCCCAAGTAGCTGGGACTACAGGTGTGCGCCACCATGCCCAGATAATTTTTGTATTTTTAGTAGAGACAGGGTTTCACCATATTGGCCAGGCTGGTCTCGAACTCCTGACCTCAGGTGATCCACCCAACCTTGGCCTCCCAAAGTGCTGGGATTATAGGCATGAGCCACCACGCCCAGCTGGGAACAATATTTTTAAAGTGCTGAAAGGAAAAAAATCTTAAACCAGGTTTCCTATGTTAGGAAAGGGGTGGGGTGGCTCATGCCTATAATCCCAACATTTTGGGAAGCCAATGCAGGAGGATTGCTTGAGCTCTGGAATTCAAGACCAGCCTGGACAACATAGGGAGAGACCCCATCTCTACCAAAAACAAGAAAGAAAGAAGAGAGAGAAGAGAAGAGAAGAGAAGAGAAGAGAAGAGAAGAGAAGAGAAGAGAGGAAAAGAAAAGAAAAGAAAAAGGAAGGAAGGGGAAGGAAGGAAGGAAGGGAGAAAAATGAAATATGGAAAGAAAGAAATCTAGAACAAACCCTGTGGGGTTGAATTAGAATTGGAGTTATCAATGTGAACTAATGGTTTCAAAGTATATAAATATAGATGTAAAAGAAAAGTCAGTGTTTGAATCTTGGTTTTTAAATACCATTCTGCACTAAAGGGAATCATACATTCATGGAAATATGGTTGACTCCAGGACTGACCAGGGAAACTATAAGATGGAAATACTCAGAACGATGAAGATACGTCAAAGGGGGCATGGAAGCCTGCCGAAAGAGGCTTTCAGTAGCCCAATATGAAACAATCACAGTATTAAAATAAAAGATATTAACATATTATAATCTGTTGAATAAACAGGAAACATTTCTTCAAAAACACAAATTACCAAAATTGACACATGAAACAGAAAATCTGAACAGCTCTATACCTCTAAAAGAAATTCAAATTGCTCTAAAACATCTTGCCACATAAATTTAAATAATAAGTTTAAAAAATCTTTCACAAAGAAAACTACAGGCCCAAGTGGTTTGTGAATTCTATGAAATCTGAAGGAAGAAACACCACCAGGATTATACACAAGTGCTTTTAGAAAACAGAGGAGGATGGGAGGAAGATTTCCCAATTCATTTTATAAGACCAGCATAACTCTGATACCAAAACCTGGCAAACACTTAAAAAAGAAAACTGCAAACCAGTACCTCACATGAAACAGACACAAAAACTCTTAACAAAAATCAAGGTAATTTGTCGTATTAACAGAATAACGGGGGCAAAATCCTATATATCTCAGATGAAAAAAAAAGTAGTTATCTATCTGTCTGTCTATTTTTGGAGATAGTTTCTCTTTCTGTTGCCCAGGCTGGAGTGCAGTGGTGTGATCATAACTCACTGTAGCCTCCAACTCAGTGGGCTCCAGCGATCCTCCCACTTCGGCCTCCCAAAGTGTTGGGATTACAGGAGGGAGCCACCACACCCAGCCCCTCACAGACTGCTTTTTAATAGAAAGTGCAAGGTTGATTCTAAAATTTATATAGAAATGTGAACTATCTGGAATAACAAAAAATAAAACAACAAATCTAGAGAACTCACACTACCTGATTTCATGGCCCATTATATAAAATGACAATAATCAAGACACTATGGTATTTGGTGCAAGGATAGACACCTATCATTTTTCTTGTCCGCCTTGTCTACAGGGACATAAAATAGGGATGGGTCAGTACCTTAGGCACTGTCACCCACTGCTCTGGGTCCAGCAGCAACGTTTTCTTCAGGAGGTTTGAGAATATAACTCTTATATAACTAAATGGTTTGGACAAATGAATTCATGTAATTCAATGGGGGAAAAGAAAGTCTTTTCAACAATGGTGCTGAAACAACTGAATGAAATTACGGCAAAAATAATGAAGCCCAAACTCTACTTCATGGCACGTATAAGAATTAATTTGAGATGGATCATAGAATTAAGTATAAATAGTAAACTTATAAAGCTCCCAGAAGAAAACTTAGAAGAATATCTTCACAATCATGGGGTAGACAAAGATTTCTTAGGTAGGACCAAAGGAAGTATCCCTTCTAAAAGAAAAAACCGGCTAGGCGCGGTGGCTCGCGCCTGTAATCCCAGCACTTTGGGAGGCTGAGGCGGTCGGATCACCTGAGGTCTGGAGTTCGAGACCAGCCTAGCCAACATGGTGAAACCCCGTCTCTACTAAAAATACAAAAATTAGCATGTGGTGGCGCATGCCTGTAATCCCATCTACTCAGGAGGCTGAGGCACAAGAATTGCTTGAACCTGGGAGGCAGAGGTTGCAGTGAGCCGAGATTGTGTCACTGCACTCCAGCCTGGGCGACACAGCGAGACTCCGTCTCAAAAAAAAAAAAAAAAAAAAAGAAAGAAAAATTGGTAAACTGGATTTCATCCAACTATTAGAAACTTCTCATCAAAACATACCATAAACAGGCAAACCATAGACTGTGAGATATAATCAGAGTACATATATCTGACAAATGAATGGTATCCAGAATTCAATACAGTTGAGTCTACAACTCAATAATAAAAAGGCAAACAATGCAATTTTTAAAAATGGCTAAAAACTTAAAAGATACTTCACAAAGAAAATGTCTGAATAACCAATAAGCACATGAAAAAGTACTTAACATATGCTCACCAAAAACCTTTATAGAAGAACGTTCATAGTAACTTCACTTATAATGATGGAAATGGCTCAGATATCCACCAAAAGGAGACAGAAAACAAACTGCGATATATTTATTCAACTCAATGAAAGAGAATAAACTACTGATATACACAGCAACATAGAGGAATCTCACAAACATTATGCAAAGTGAATGTCAGACCCCAAAAATATAGCATTCCATTACACAAAATTCTAGAAAAGGCAAAATTACAGTGACAGTAAGCTGATCAGTATTTGATCCATTGGTGGTGCAGAAAATAAGTAGAAAGGAGAACAAGAGACATTCCTAGGTTATGAAAATATTCTATAGTTTAATTAGGGTGGTGGTTACACAGGTGGTTAGATTTATCAAAAATTCAGACTTATACAATTAATATCTGTAAAATTCACTGTATGAAAACTTCCAATAGAAGTATCTTAGGAGTAAATTTTTTACAGAGGTTTGTCCAGTCATCAATAAATGTATCATGCTATTTTTCTGAAAATACTAAGTTATAAAAAGAAAATTTATTTTCCTTCAAAATTACCCTCTTTTCCCTTCATGAATGAATATGTAATAACATATTTAGGGGACCATTAGATAGATTCAGAAACTCTGTGCCAGGCCTGAGGGAGTTTCCAGAGTAGGGCTATATATAGGACTTTATTTTCTAGACATTCCATCTGTAAAATGGGTAAATGACTTTGCTGATCTCCCAAGGAAGTAACACAGATCAATAAACTAAAATTTGTCATAGTTCCTTTACCACTCTGCAATTAAAAGGCTAAAACATTCAATATTTTCCATTCAATATTTTCCTGTAAGACTCTCTCCAGTTTGAAATCCAACTAGTGAATATAATAGCCACAGGCAAGATAGGTTCTGTCCCCATGCAACACTTGAAAAGGTAGCTTCATTGCTGAACCAGAGGCAGAGAGTTTTGCGTTGGAGTACTTTAATACGTTTTTATATCGCATATAAAGCACATAAGCATAAACTAGTAAGATGCCTTGCTGAAAACTACCTTCTTTGTGAAAGCAGGCTGTAATTCTGAACAAGTTTTCAATTTTCACACTGCTGCTAGGGTAAAACATTTTAAAGAGTTTAATTTTTTACAATGGATTCAATGACATAGGATTATCTAACAAAGTAATGGCTAATCAATAGAAGGTTTAGTTGTCAGGTGAAACATATAACACACTAAAAGGGATTGATTGCCAGACTTGCCCTTATTTACTAGAAGGTATATATTTAAAATTACACAAACTTGTTACTGGGCTGCATTGTTTTAACCTTGCAAAAAGCTGCTTAGAAATCTGTTCAGCAGCCCTATAGCATAACAAGATATAGTATAATGAAAATCGTTAGTGACTGGGAGTGGGGGTATAGGAAGACAGGGACTTCCAGATACATGGTAACATCAAATCATGTCCCACACAAGAATATGGTATAGAAAAAGCAAACCAAAAAGCAATATCTAAGGAAGCTGGAAGTGGGTTTTAAAAATGCCACACAGATGCTACTGAATCTTGTTCAATAGATGCAAAGCTGCATCTGCTATCATTCCGTGTTGTTTTTAGGGCAGATTTTTTTTTTAGGGCTCATGCAGATGAGCACAACAGGCTTCCTCCCACCCCACCCCCCGCCTTTTTTAATGGTACATCCAGAGTAAGCACTGAAAACAAAATGAATTGGGCCCATATGGACTTTGACCAGCATATAAACTGTTTCCTTTATAATTTATTCCCAGTATCACAACTCTCTATATGAAAATACACTCTTTATGGTCATTGCAACCCAGGAGTTCAATAATATTTTTCCTACTAAGTCAGTGATTACACAATTTATCAAAGAATGATTACATTAAAATACAAATAAAACAAAGCACCAACCCCCCATACGGTCTTCCTTCCTCAAAGTAATTTTAAGAAAGCCGGTTATTAAATTGCTCCTTTTTGAAGAAGGGTTTTTGTAGCTAGGCACAAATTGCCAAACCGTGTTTTCTTAAAAAAGTTATTAGACTCTAAAGGATTCAACAGAAGTGGGAAGTTATATAAACAAATCACTTCGTCAGATTTGGAAAGATCACTTTTGTCTTACTTAAGAGACCTACATTAATTACCTTTAAGATCTTTTACATGGACTATTTAAAATAAGTACAATTTATTTATTTATTTCAAATGAGGTGCTTCTTCCAAAGTATTAAATAATGTCTACAAATGCAAAGGCATTTTTATAAATAGGTAATTAAAACAGATGACTAAAATTAAGTCAAGCTGCAAAACATTACCCAGAATGCATTGTGATTTTTTTTATTAATAAACATCTCAGGCAATTTTTTTTTTACCCAAAGCCCAAAGCACTTTAGGAGGGCAAAAAGAGGTAGCAAGTTTTATAGAGTAAAAAAAACCAACAACAACCAACCACACATATATAATGAAATAATGCAAACCCCAAACGAAAGTATTTACAAGACAGTCCCTTAAGCATAGTTTGTCATATTGCAATTACACCTTGCCTACTGCCAAGCCAAAGTGCTTACTATTGCCACTAGAGGGAGAAGTGTCTTAACACAAAGCAACGGCAGATAGGGAATGGGTTTTCTCGAGCAATTATCAGAACAAAGCTCCCTTGGCTGTGTGTACCTTCTAATTACTCAATACAATTAAAGTGACTAACCTAAAACAAATAGAGAGAAAAAAAAAAAAAAAACCCTGCCTGCCTGATATCAGGGACTTCATTAAACCTTTTTCCCTCATCAATCAAATCAGAAAGAAGGGAATGCCATCATATATGAACATTACAGAGCTATTAAAGGAAGCAAATTCTGTGTTTTTTTTTTTTTTAAAGGAAGAAAAGGAGCTCTCTTGAAAAAAGAAATGTCTTGGTATTTACCCATCTGGATGCTGCTTGAAAATAAATTGTCCTCCAAAGAACAGAAATACAGTATGTTTTCTCTCAGTTCACTGGCTTATGAATGACTTTTTGTTGTTGTGGTTGTTTTGTTAATACACACTATAATGTCATTTTCTGTGTCAGTGATGTGCTTTTTCCTCCTACTCATCCAACTGTATAAAGGAGCTATGCCCATCAGACTTCCATGCTTATACTGGCTGATTTAAGTTCTTCACTGCTGTTTTTTGTGGATCTACTCCAAGGCAATGTTTAGAACGCAGGAATTTTTTCAGGGGAGGGGAATATGGTAGAAAAGGAAAACAGCTACTTATTCCTTCTAAAAGACTTATGTAGTTCCTTTTATAAGGCCCAGTCATTAACAGAAGATGACAACACAGTCATTTTTCTTTCAGCTGACAATTGTGACATTTTTCCAGCAGCGTGCAAGGTGTTGAAAACCTGGCAGCTGTTACCTCCTGGGATGAAGATACTTTTTTATCCTCCCTTGACAGTCTAACTCAGTGGGTCAGCACCTTTAAAGACTGCAAAGTATCCTTGAAGAGGATGGAAGCTTGAATTACTGCTCCCTCCCTAATCAATGTAAACCCTCACTGCAGGTGAAGTCTCCATCTATAGAGGTGCATGGGGGAGGAAAATGTAATGCCCTGAGCCAGATGGTTTTTATCTTGTTTTTAAAGAATAAAGGAACAAGCTAACAAGGGAGACAGCTACTTTGTTAGCTTCTTGGCCTCTCTCATGGCTTTGCATCCCCAGGGTTCCAGCTACACAAGAGAAAGAATACAGAAAAACCTAAACACTTAAAGAAATATAACTAGAGGGCTGGCATCATGCTGCTTTCAGAGAGTTGAGAGAGCTCTACTCAATGCTTTATTTATCACTGCCCACGTTCTCAGGATGGTAAGTGGACACATACACAAAGGAAATGGGGGATGGGAGAGGGATTAGACAACGGTCACAATTTACTCAATTACAGAGAAAGGCAGGGCTGACAGATCCTATTAGCACCAATGAGAAGCAAAGAGTTGAACGTTGTAATGCCACAATTTTCAAAAAGTAATGAGTACTTTCATGTATCCTCCCAGGCCTTTGCCCTTGATTGCAGATAGGAATAAAAGGTAGGAAAACAGTGGCTATCCTTTCCTTGACTTCACATTTTTAGGAGTAAAACAAAAATTGTAGCTATTTTGTACATCCTTTAAATAAAAGTTCATATTTAATGCCAAGAAATGAGATTATTCTGAAACTAAGAAAATTAACTTTCTTTACAAGGATACACTGCTCTACTTCCTCTCCCTACCCCAAACTCTTCCATCTTCAGATGCTGGAAATGAAACGAAAAAGCAGGTATACAAAATGACTTGGTGACAGACACAGGGAACAGTGTCTCTTAATTTCCACCTTCATTATTTCTTGTTCTGGTAATATCTTTGTCGGGTTTTGGAATTACTGTTATGGTGGATTTTTAAGTCAAGGAGTGTTCTTTCCTTCTCTATTCTGTGAAAGGGTCTGGCATAAAATTCGTATCATTTCTTCCTTAAATATTTGTTGAATTCACCAGTAAAACCACATGTCCCTTCTGATGATTAATTAAATTTATTTAATAGACATCAGGCTATTCAAATTTTGCTTCACCCTGTGTTAAGAGTTTTGGTAAGTTGTATTTTTCAAGGAATTTGTTCAACTTGCCAAATTTTTGGTATAAAGTTGTTTGCTCCTCCAATATTTAAATAGCTCTCCAAATTAACATGCAGTAGTTATGTCCTATCAACAATGGCAAAACGCTATTTTTGAATAATATATGTCAACTATAATATTAGTTAAAAACAATGTTAAATTGCTAGAAGATAACTGAACTTTTTATAATCAATAGTGAGTTTCTGAAATCCCATTAGAAATATCTGCAAAAGAATCTCAAGTTAATGAGATGCAAATCCTACTTGTATCAATACTAGGTATAAGGCGGCCTTGACATCTTTTTGTCTACAGAAGTTGACTACAGGAAAAACAAAACAAAACAAAAACAAAAAAACAAAATAGCAAATGGCACTTCATTATTGTCATATGCAATAGAGAAAAGAGGGAGTTTAAACAGCTTATATACTATGTCCTACCTTAAAAAAAATCAGCAATGGGGTAATCAAGTTCAGGGCAGTCCTGGACAGCTGCCCTGTGACCCGCTTCTATTGACCCCTGCTATTCATCACTCTTCCCTAAGATAGAGAGGGCAAGCTCCTAGGGAGTGACCACCACAATAGACAGACACAAGCCAACAGTAATCTGGTTCGAGCAAAAAACCAGATGGCACTGCAATAAATTTACAAATCTGCATTCATGGGGCTGCTAAAACACCCAGAAGCTAAAAGACTCTGAGGGCCCCAGGAGGATCTCCTACTTCCCTGTTTCTAAAGGCCATTTCTCTTTCCAAGAACATTGAGTTCATGCTCTTCACAAAGAGAATGGAGATAAAACCCTTTACAAAGAAGGGAGGAGAAAAAGCCTCATGACCTAATTAATCTCCAGAGCTTGGATCTCAACACTGAATGACAGATATTAGAAAAATCATTTCAAAGCACCATGGGGGGGGTGGGGGGGAAGGTTGTTAAATTAAAGTGGGCAGGGGGAGTGGGGAAGAGAACCTGCTAAAACGGCAATGAAAAAAACAACATTAAATCTCTTTCGAATATTGCACACAACAGATCTTGCAAGTAGAAAATGATTCAATAATGTATGCATTTATTTTTAAAATGAATCAGATTAGTCCCATGTGTGACCTGCTGGTCCATCTGTATGTGCTGGACTTAATAGGCATGATTCTCTCTCTTGCTTCAGTTTGAAGTATGAGAGAGATAAATTTAGTTTAATTTTCAACAGATCAGCCTATCCATTTTCCAAATGGACCATCTGGATCAGCCTATTAAAATTAATTTATAACTTTGCAGAGAGAAAATTCGTTTGTTAGCTTAAATAAAGTTGCCAAAACTTTTGTTGTGTCATTGTTTTCCGACAGTTGTTTCTGTATAGTGGGCAGAGTGTTCCTACTTCCCAATTTATCTTATTCAGTATTGTCCTATTGGTTTAGATGAACAGATCAGGTGTTGATTCTCCAAACAGTTAAAATTGTAACTGTCTCAACATCAATTACTGATCATTTGTGGATTTTTGTTTGTTTTTTTTTTTAAAGCTTCCTGGATGATTCAATTCTATTTACTAAACAATTATTTTTATAAAAAAAAGAAGTGTTCATCCAAAAAACATTTAACATATAGTAAATTAAAAAATGAATGTGTCACAGTTTCAAGTACTTTCCCTCTAAACACTATATATAAACTGAAGTCAGAAGGCACAAGTAGAAACGCTTTGGAAACACTGAGATCTGAGTATCAAATCACTAATTAGCTAGACAAGTCATCTAACCTCTCTAACCCTCCATTTTCTTCATCTATAAATTGGAAGTCACATCATATCTAAAAACTTTACAGGGTTATTGTGAGGGTTAAATCAAATAAGCATCATGTTCACGGTGGGTGCTCAACAAATATTAGATCTCCTATTTCCTAGAACAATGCTATAAATCCAAGTAAATTAGAATTATTTTTACTGCTGCTCAGGCTCATTGTATCCAATTTTATATTAAAAATGAATACAGGGCCAGGTGTGGTGGCTCATGTCTGTAATCCCAGCACTTTGGGAGGCCAAGCTGGGCAGATCACCTGAGGTCAGGGGTCTGAGAACAGCCTGGCCAACATGGTGAAACCCTGTCTCTACTAAAAATACAAAAATTAGGTCGGGAACAGTGGCTCATGCCTGTAATCCCAGCACTTTGGGAGGCTTAGGTGGGCAGATCACAAGGTCAAGAGTTTGCGACCAGCCTGGCCAACATGGTGAAACCCCGTTTCTACTAAAAATACAAAAATTAGCCCGGTGTGGTAGTGGGCACCTGTAGTCCCAGTTACGCAGGAGGCTGAGGCAGAAGAGTCGCTTGAACCCTGGAGGTGGAGGTTGTGGTGAGCCAAGATCACACCACTGCACTCCAGCCTGGGCGATAGAGCAAGACTGTGTCTCAAAAAAAAAAAAACCCCAAAATACAAAAATTAGCCAGGCATGGTGGCAGGCACCTGTAATTCCAGCTACTCAGGAGGCTGAGGCAGGAGAATCGCTTGAACCCAGAAGGCAGAGGTTGCAGTGAGCCGAGATCACGCCACTGCACTCCAGCCTGGGCGACAGAGTGAGGCTTTGTCTCAAAAATAAAAATAAAATAAAATAATAAAAATAAAAATGAATAGGTGGCACACTTATTCTCTGGCAACATCATAAGAACTTGCGTTTCTTGTTTTTGCCAAGGACATTCTAATTTTTACAAGAACACAATGGTATTGAACTTTCACAAGTAAAATGTGTTACCTTCTATTGGGGCACAGTGGTGAGCTATTTTTTTTTTTTTTTTTTGAGACGGAGTTTTGCTCTTGTTGCCCAGGCTGGAGTGCAATGGCGCAATCTCAGCTCACCGCAACCTCTGCCTCTGGGGTTCAAGTGATTCTCCTGCCTCAGCCTCCTGAGTAGCTGGGATTACAGGCATGCGCCAGCATGCCCAGCAAATTTTTGTATTTTTAGTAGAGACTGGGTTTCTCCATGTTGGTCAGGCTGGTCTCGAACTCCCGACTTCAGGTATTCGCCTGCCTCAGCCTCCCAAAGTGGTGGGATTATAGGCGTTAGCCACCTTGCCCGGCTGCTGTTTTTTTAAGTTATTATTAACAATGGCCTTTTCTTCTAGAAAAAGCAAACAAAATATTGCTCATACTAAAAGGGCTAACTTTATTACAGGCAGATCTGTTTTTATACTTTTTTAAAAATGCCAACCAGCTGTCCTGTACATGTATACCTAGAATGTTTTTTAAATAACTGGGAAAACCATGTCACCTGATTGAAAGTGATGGCTATGGCCAGGCCAACGTCCGAGTACTCTTAATATAAGCTCCAGTGCTTAAAGAATGGCAAATCAAGGGTTTCCTCCTGTCTTTTGTTTTGCTGTTGGTAGCTTTTTATTTTAAGTAAGGCTGAATTTCATACCTGTCTAAGTGAATTCTTCTCTGGTATTATCTTCCTAGGGGGTTCGCCATTATTACAGTCTTCTCTCTCTGAGGAATTCTGTGAAAGAAAGTAAGCTTTAATTCAGTTCTCATTATCTTCAATCTTATCCTTTGGGAGTAAACTGAATTACATTTCTAATTCTGTAAGTTAGAACATACATATATTTATACAATTATTCACTTGAAGATTTGTATACATACAGATATACACATATGTAAAAGAAAACATATGCCCATGTATATAAATAAATTATGTAAGGATTTAGATGGGAAGTATTTCATGTATCTTTAAGCATTGTGTAGGAGATCATATTCATTAGATCTCTAGCTTGCACTTTGACACAGGTTGACACTGGATACAAGAAAGTTCCAGCCCACACTTAGCTGATGACAACTAAAACCATGATTATTACCTTCTCTCGATTATAGTAGATGTTTGGTTGGCACAGATCTCCAAGTCTGGGTCCTAAAAATAGTTATTTCTCTTCCCCCTCTTCTCAGATTTGATTTTATTTTCTTTGATAAAAGTAGCATAGGACTTAAAAAAACATTTACTCAGTAGTTTAGGATTAGAGTCCATTCCTTGGCACTGTCACCTCAAACAGCAGCTAGAGGCCCTAAAATGTCAGTGGGGTTTTTATATACTTAGGAGGGGGAAAAAAACAACAATCCAACTGAAAATGAGTTCATAAGTACTAAAAATCTGCTAGTCAATATATGTAAATCACTATCTACAAGGCAAAATACAGAAAATCCAAATTACATATTATTTGAGTTCCATTTTCAGCAACAACATTAGTAACATTAATAACATTAATATTTAAAACCCTGCAGTTGTGCTAGGTGCGGTGGCTCACACTTGTAATCCCAGCACTTTGGGAGGCCAAGGCGGGCAGATCATCTGAGGTCAGGAGTTTGAGACCAGCCTGGCCAACATGCTGAAACTGTGTCTCTACTAAAAATACAAAATTAGCCAAGTGTGGTGGTGGGTGCCTGTAATCCCAGCTACTCGAGAGTCTGAGGCAGGAGAATCGCCTGAACCCAGGAGGCCGAGGTTGCAGTGAGCCGAGATCACACCACTGCACTCCAGCCTGAGTGACAGAGCAAGGTTCCGTCTCAAAACAACAACAACAAAAAACTTACAGTTAATATATTCCTTACATTACATATAGTCATAACGTTCTAACAGGAGGGTTAGTTTATTTGTAGGTTCAGAAATTATTTTTAACATGAGAGTTTATCTGAAAATTTTCATACAAGCATGAAATTATTAATATACAATCATTACTGTGTTCTAAACCTACATGTAAATTTCACTTTTTTGGTTTCTATTAGATATTACATTTTGAAAGATACTGAGAGATAAAAAACGTACTGTGTCATTCTGAGGCCCTTTCACCTCTGTGGCTGACACCTGTGTGTCACCTTTAGTAAGCCTGACAGGCCAGTACCCTAATGTGTTTCTTTTGGGCAGAAATATCTTATGAGGTTTAACTTGATATTTTACATTTGTGATGATCCCTTGTAAAAGTCCCTAAAATTAAAGAAAAAGCATGCTATATTACAAAGAAAGGGACAGAGACTCAAGAACTTCAGAGTTCTAACTTCTTTTCCTCCCTGTTTGGAAAAAAAGGAATGGAGATCATCTACCAAAAAATGGAGGAAGGATATAATTGAATTAATGACTACAAAGCTTGACAAATGAGGCGACTGGCAATACATGCTATGTAAGAGTATCAAACAAAGAAAGGGAAAGGTCAACATTTATTTACCCCATAACATCAAGTTGTATGTTTAACTTTTTTTTTTTAAATGTAAAGATCAATGTTTTAAATACCAAAATTAAATGCCTTATATAATAGAAGCTTAAGCCAGTATCCAATTATAAACTTAGAATTTGCAAGTAACTCTCTTTCAGGTCATGAAATTCCTCCTTTAAATAAATAAATAAAAAGATCAGATAAACTAAACCTGTTTAATTCAGTGTAAGATCCTGTATTTCAAAATTAATTATGTTTTTTGAAATGTTATCATATAACTTGGAGCCTAATTACTTTTTGCTGGAAGTTTGTCATACCAAAGATACTATAAATCACATTTTTATTATACAGGTACTTGGGCTGATACACAATTGCTGGCAAACTCCTCTATACTGAATTATAAAGTGAAAAATAGTCATCTCAACCTTAACAGCCTGAGTATTGACTAGCCCATACTCACAATTTTCTTTTTACTGACCCTCTATTTTATCAGATTTAGATGGATAACCACTGGGTGGGTATTATGAAAATGTCTAAAGAATGAAAACACAAAGGGAGCTTAAAGGGTGTTACTAACCTAACATAGAACACAGAGCTTCTTAGGAGTTCCTTTCCCCTTTCTATCCCACTAGGGCAAAGAATATTTAAATGGTATTGTTAAAAATAACTCTTAAACAAAAAATGGGGGAAACCCATAAACATTGGTATGTTCTTTTAATACAGATTAACCCAACACTTTTACTCTGGGCCATCCATCATGAGAAATCAAATCAAACAAAAAATCCAACTTATAATGTTGTTACAAAAAAATAGAGGTAGGGACATTAAACAGTCATGATATCAGGAACAAGGATTAGGAACCCTCCTAATACTAAAGAGTAGAAGCAGAATGCCAGTGAATGAGATTACTAGGTCTACAGTCTTGAGGGTAAGGGGTAATGATGAAATAGCCATGTATACCTAAGTAGTCACCTCAACAGTTCTCAAAGCCTGTCCAACATCACCCAGGAAAGCTCAGCAACACAGTTATTCCTTGCATCTTTATCTATGAGGATTCCCAATAAGCTATGTGCATAATTTTCCTAGATCATCAGGCTAAATTATATCCAATAAATTCTATTTAAGGATAAGTGATTAATATAAGGAAGAATCATCATTGGGTGCTAAAATTAGCAAGTGAGCCTAGTACTTTGGCATATGCGTGTAATCCCAGCTGCTCAGGAGGTGGAGGCAGAGGGACTGCCTGAGTCCAGGAGTTTGAGAGCAGTCTGGGCATCACAGCAAGACACCATCTCAAAAACCTAAGTAAAATTTAAAACTACAATAAGTGAGTGAAAGTTTGACAAGTTAACAGGATGGTCACATAATCTCAAAATATTTTTTCTATAAGATACTTGATAGTTACAATGAAAAAAGAGTAACCTCATAGTGGAGAAATCCAGCAGATGCCACCTTAAGATTATGTGCCTTTTAATATGATGTACTGAAAACAGCACATCACTTGTGAGGTATCCTTGTCAAAACCACAAAACTTAAATCTACTTATAAGAAAACATCAGGCTAACCCAAAAATGAGTATTTCATTCCATAAAGTTACTAGTTTGTACCTAAGAAATGTCAAGGCCATGAAATAGACTAAGGAATTGTTTCAGATTAAAGGAAACTAAAGAGGTATAGCACACACTGTTGAGGCAATTGGAAACTTTTTAGTAAGTTCTGTAGGTGAACTAATAACACTGTATCAATATTAATTTCCTGATTGTTTCCCCACCATTAAAATTTACATACAGAAAAATTTACCCTTTTTGGTATACAGCTCTGTAAGTTTTGACAAAAACATACAGTTGTATAACACCGCCATTAAAAAATGAAAAATTCCACCACTCCCAAAATTCTCTTGAAATTCTCCTTAATAGTCAACCCTCTCCCCACTGAAAATCACTGATTTGTTGGCTCAATAATTTGTGCCATTTTCAGAATGTCATATAAATGGAATTATATCGTACGTAACCTTTGAATCTGGCTTTTATCACTTAGCATAAAATATCTGAGATCTACTCATGTTGTTGTAAATACTAGTATTTCTTTTCCTTTTATTGCCAAGTAGTATTATCTACTGTATGGATGTGCCACAGTTTTGTTTATCCATTCAATTTCCTGGTTTTGATAATTTGTACTGTGATTATTTTTATTAAAATGTCTTTGTTTTTCTGGAAACACGCACTGAAACATTTAGGGGGGATGGAACATTACGTCTGTAACTTTCAAATTGTTCAGAAAAAATAATACATAAATGGATGTATGTGCGTGTGTATATGTATTTATAAGCAGATATAATACAAATATGGTAACATGTTAACATTAGGTAAATCTATGTGAAAGGGTGTAAGGAGATTCTTTGTGCTATTCTTTTCACTTGTCTATAAATCTGAAGTTATGTCAAAATAAAAAATTAATTAATTAAATCCATAATAAAATGTTAAGAAATGGGAGAAAAGTTAAGTGAAAAATAAATTTTAGGGGGAAAATTCCATCAAATGTAATTAACGTTATATTCTACTGCTTAACTTTAAACCAACCCTAAGCAAACTTGACTGCTCAGAACAACAGATTCCCAATACTCAGATGGAAAGTTTCATTATAGTAAATAAATTGCAGAATGTGTTTGTAGTCCTTGAGTAATAATAGTCTATGAATAGCATTACAGTAGTCCTCCCTTATCCACAGTTTCACTCACGCAATTTCAGTTACTACAGTCAACTGAGGTCCTAAAATATTGAATGGAAATTTTTAGAAATAGTTTTCAATTGTGCACCTTTCTGGTAGCTCTGTCCTGCCCAGGATGTGAATTATCCCTTGGTCCAGTGTATCCACACTGTACATGCTACTTGACCATGAGTCATTGACATTGTCTGCTCCTGACATCCCACCACCAACATCTTCATGGCTCAATAATCCAGGATCACCTAAAGCAGGTAGCATGCTGTCAAAGGGTCAGTAGTAACCTAATGCTGTGTCACAATGCCTAGGTCATTTACCTCACTTCATCTCATCACATAGACATTTTACTGTCTCACATCATCATAAGAAGGGTGAGTACAGTACAGTAAGATATTTTGAGAGAGCATATTCATGTAACTTTTATTACAGTATAGTTATAACTGTTCTATTTTATTCTTATTGTTGTTAATCTCTTACTATGACTAATTTATAAATTAAACTTTATCATAGGTATGTGTCCATAGGAAAAAACATAGTATACATGGAGTTCAGAACTATCTGTGGTTTAGGCATCCACTGGGGAACATACCCCCTATGAATAAGTGGGGACTATAGTATATTAAAATATTTTTGTAAAAGATTCTACACAACTTGTTACCTTTTATATTAACTCAAATATTTATTTCTTAGCCCAGTGCACAACTTGTTACCTTTTATATTAACTCAAATATTTATTTCTTAGCTCAGTGCTTACTAGCTTAGAATTGAAAGGGCAGAATGAAAGTCTCCCTGTCAACTTTGAATTTAACTCCAAACTAGATGCATTTGGGCTGTAACACCTGCAGATACAGTAACAGAGATTTGGGTAGGAAAAGGTCAATAAAGGAAATACTGCTAAAGCTCCTGCATTAGACCTCAGGGATGCATTTTGGATAAAATGTTTCCACAACCAAACTGGGCGAATAAAAAAGAAAGTAATTATATTAAAAAAGTATTCAGGTGATAAGCTTAAACTGTCTCAAAATCAACACATCTAAATTTAAAGCACTCTTTTACCATCTCCACTCATTTCTAGGTCAGCTCTTTTCCTCCCAACTTTTCTTTTTATCCTAGACTTAAATCCTCAGAGTCAGTTTTTACTCATTCCTTTTTTTTCTTTGAACATATCTAGCTAATTTTCAGTCTATAAACTTTTTCTTTGAATCATCTATTTTAATACATCTGACCCTACTTTTGCATTTCCACTGCTTCTACTCTAGTCCAGACCCACAACACCTCTTACCAGTGCTATTACTATTGAGACAGCCTTCTGACATTGACATCCTTGCCTAAATCCAAATGATATATTCTATACACTAGAGTGGCAATCATCATTCTTTTTTTTTTTTTGAAACAGAGTCTCGTTCTGTCACCCAGGCTGGAGGACAGTGGCGACCTCGGCTCATTACAACTTCTGCCTCCTGGGTTCAAGTGATTCTCCTGCCTCAGCCTCCCGAGTAGCTGGGATTACAGGCATGCGCCACCATGCCCAGCTAATTTTGTGTGTGTGTGTGTGTGTGTGTGTGTGTGTGTGTTTTTAGTAGAGACAGAGTTTCACCATGTTGGCCAGGCTAGCCTCGAACTCCTAACCTCAAGTGATCCACCCACCTCGGCCTCCCAAAGTCCTGGGATTACAGGCGTAAGCCACCATGCCCGGCCATTAGAATCATCATTCTAAAAAGGTTACTTTCCTGTTCAAAAGCCTTTTATAGCTTTTTGGCAATAACAGGATAAACCCAAACTTCTTAGTACAGCATCCATAAGACAGCCAACTTAACACTTCATCAAAGTCTCTGTACCATTTACATGACATTATTTATCATTCACCAAAATAAGGAAACCACTCTTTCATCTCTGTGTTTTTGTTAATTCTAGTCCCTTAACATGTAACAGGCTTCTTTCCCAATCTCTTTATCTACTAAAAATCCTGATTCAAGAGTCAGCTAAAATGATACCTTCTCTGAGAAGCCTTTATCCCCTTACGCCTAACCTGCAGTTAGAATTAATTACTCCGAAGAAAAACTTCACTTCCAATTGGCACTTAATTCTTTATATCTCTTTATATCTCTACATGAACATGCTTCCCACCCCACACTACTGTAAATTCCTTCAAGGCAGGGCCAGTTTCTGTTTCATCTTATATTTCAGAGGTTCAGCACAAAGCTAGAGAATATAATGTGAATTTTAAAATGTTTTCTTGTCGGGAGGTAGAGACAGGAGGATTGCTTGGGGCCAGGAGTTCAAGACCAGCCTGGGTAACATAGCAAGACCCTACCTCTACATAAAAAAAAAAAAAAAAAATTAGCTGGGCATAGTGGCACATGCTTGTCGTCCTAGCTACTCAGGAGGCTAAGGCGGGAGGATCGCTTAAGCCCAGGAGTTTGGGGTGTAATCATGCCATTGTGCTCTAGCCTGGGCGACAGAGTGAGACCCTGTCTCAAAGAAAAAAAAAAAAAAAGTTTCTTGGATTGAATATTATTGCCAGGTTAATCTTTCTTAACACTGCTACTGTCGTAATGGTCTTTCCCTAAAATATTTTTAGTGGCTCTTTATTTCTATGAAATCAAATATGAAGTTCTAGGCCTGGTTTTCAGGACCATCCAGAATTCCCTACTATATTACACCAAGTTATTTCCCACAACACATCTTTTCTGCCCCAGTTAAGCAAGTTTCTTCATAGTCTCACCAACAGGTGATATGATCTTGAAATTTCGGGGTTGAAAGGATTGTTTTTTAAAGACAGGGTCTTGCTCTATCACATCAGGCTGGAGTGTAATGACATGATCATAGCTCCTTGTAACCTCCAACTCCTGGGCTCAAGTAATCCTCCTGCCTCAGGCTCCCTACTAGCTAAGACTACAGGTATACGCCACTACACCAGGCTAATTTTTCTGTTTTTTTGTAGATACAGGGGTTCTCACTATATTACCCAGCTGGTCTCAAACTCACAGCCTCAAGCAATCCTCCCACCTCCGTTTCCCAAAGTGCTGGGATTACAGGCATGAGCCACAGAGTCTGGCCTGGAAGGATTCTTAACTCCAGTCTAGTTCACTCAACAATTATAAACACAAGATTATCTCATCTATTCAAGTCTTACACATTCTTAAAATGAGGTTTAACTGTCATCTTCTCCAAGAAACCATAAAACTACTCCACCTTACTCTACTGGAAATTCCCTAACTAAATTTTAATCTTGATCCACACAACAGGCACTTAATTAGATAAATGTCTGCACTGTTACTTTCGACTAACCAGTAAGATTGAAAGATTACTGGGAAAAGTCTTTGTAGCTCCCTCTACCCACTAACACATTACGTAAGTATACAGATAACAGATGCTCAATGAATAATTGAAACCCTAAACCCAGACTGTCCAGCTAGCTTAAAAAAAAGTTTTGTTTTGTTTTGTTTTTAATAGCAGAGGAACTTCAGTGGCAGCCCAACTGCAGTCCTACTGTCCCACTACTTATAATGCCAGTATGATCAGTTAACAGCACTTACAAGCTCTGGCCTGACACATATTTTTGCAAATAAAGTTTAACTGGCCCATAGCCATGCCCATCCATTTACGATTTGTCTGTGGCTGCTTTCACACTACAACGGAAGAGGTAAGTGGCCACAAGAAAGATCCTATCTCCCACAAAGCCTCAAATGTTTATTATCTGCCCCTTTACAGACAAAGTTTGGCAACCCTTAACCAAAGCATTCCTAACTTTGAGGCTGTTTGTATTTTTGACTGTCCAATTCAAGAAGTAAAGATGTTTTGATGGCAGCACACAGCAGGTTCATAGCTGGGGCAATATTCCCCATGACCTAGTAAGTGGCTTATTTACTATTTTCAGTTATCTATTTGAACACACAACTCCTGATAAAATGGATAATTAAGAGTTGATTATATAATCAAATAAAAAATTAAACTAATTTACACAGTGATGAAAAGTCAAGCCACTCATAATGACTTACAATAATCTTTGAGTAAGCATCTTGCTCAAGGTTGGATGGTGCAACAGAGCCTGAACCTGTTTGAAGAGACATCTGTTATAAATAAAATAACCAGCTCCAAAGCTACAAGCGAACATTTCACACCAATGCCACATACTTCACTAATTTACCATTGGAGGATTTGAAGGACTCTGTAACTGGGATAATTCTATCATTTTAGCAAAGCAGGTAAATTGTGGTGGATTATAACTGATTTTGAACACATTTTAAAAATGAAATCATCTGCTCATCATCGTATAGAATGACAACCCACCTGAAGGAAAAAATCCTGAGACCGATTTCTAGTAACTAATTGCAAACACAGTATAGTGAACTTCAATGGTAAATTAGTAATTGGATTAATACTTTTTCCCATTAACTTATTATGTGACTTGGAGCTAATTTAGCTTCCAAATATAAATTTACAATTTACAAAAACAGAAATTATTATTTTACAAGGTTAACAGATATTTTAGCTACATGGACAAAATCACTCAAACTCTTGTATGAAAGGTGACATTAAAAAAAAACACTGTGTGTGTGTTTAAACAAATTTTAATTAATCCTTTTAGGATACAATGGGGAAAACTTAGGTCATTTAAGTTCAGAAGCTGTTCGGAAAATCCTATTCAAGGACTCATTTTAGGGAGGACCTAAAGTGTCCTCCTAAGATATTCTCTGGCATGTTTTCATGCACATTGCTTCTCCAGCATGTTTATCATTTGACATACTCTATTAAACCACAACCACATCAAGGCCTCCCTATACTGCTAAACTCAACAGATTCACCAGTTAAGGCTTTCAAGGAGTGCTCTTTTCTAGTAATATACCAATTCCAAGCACAGTGCTAACAACTAGATAGAATGGACAACATTCTCTGGGACAACCAAAGAGGACTTCCATTAGCACTGCCTTACTCCCTGTGACAGAAGTCAAAAAACTGCCAAGCAGGCTTTCTCCCCGCCACACTGTCCGACACTAATCATATAACACTACAGATGCATCCTTTCTCAAAATGCAGAGGGATTGTGTATATTTGCAAAGAACAACTATTTTTTATGCTTCCAAATTCTTAATCCTGTTTGGAGCTGTCAGTGGGGGTTAATGGAAGCCTTGGATAGGAGAATTCCAATCTGGTTGGCAGATGGATAGGTTGGTTATAGCTGCATAACTATGTCTTGCCTGCAGGCACAATTCAGAACACTGTTAAAGCAATATAAAGTCTCTGTCAAGCTGAACCATTTGGATCAGTAGCAAAGAGAAATAATAATAAAAAAGAAGTTCATTTCTGGGCCTTGTGCATTTATGCTAGTATGCAGAAACTGATTAATTGTCATAGTGCACTGGTCTTCTACACCTCAGATTTCTACTTCTGGAGTAGATTTTGCATGCTAATATAATCATTCTCCCTCTTGAGACATTAGCAAATAATCAAATGAAAAACAGGATCATAATTTACTGAGATTCGAGCAATTCTCTATGCAAATTTGACTTGTTATTGCTGCTGCCTCGTTAATCTGAATGCCTTTGACAAACTCCTTTGATTTATGAACTCGTGACAACTCCAATGTGTATATATTTTGCTAGATTGACATTATCATTAAGAGTGGGTGGACTGAGCTCACATGAATGGCTGATTTTATTCGCTGGTGTCTGCTGCTCAACAGCTGAGCATCTCCTCCTCACAAAGCCCCTGAGCGGCAGGCTCTTCCCATCTTCCCATCCATTCATCATCTCGATGTTAATTGGCCCAGGCTTTAAGCAAATTTTCAACACGATTTAAAGGCACGATGACACTGATTACTGACCCTCTGCCATACGGTGCCTATTGATTAACCTGACAGAGATGATGAGCTTGAGGGAAACTAGGTGTGTGGGGACCTCAGGGGGGAAAAAATATATTGTCTATGCAGGCAAACACTTGTCATTACCTCACAAGCCAGAATTTGCACAGCACACATTCTTAAAACACACTACTGCTTTAACACCTACAGCTAACACAGAAAGTGCTTTCTGTATTCAGAGATTACAGATATGTTATGTCAAAGCGCATGACACATTCAGTATTTAGAAGAACTCCCTAGATAGATGGCTGCCTTTCAACCAATTATGCTTGTTCTGGCTGATGTATCTAATTTAGGTTAAATTCTAAGAAAGTAACTGGGTGGCCTGGTAATGCTGTAACAGAAAAAAATAAGAATGAGAAAAATCAGATTCTTGAAAATAGAGGAAGGAAGAAAGGAAGGATTAAAATTATTTGCTGCCATTCTACCACTATTAAAAGGAGAAGTGCTCTTAAAGAGGAAGAAAACATCAACCTGATTATACGAATTTTGTTTTCTGTTCTTTTAATACTGCTACCTGATTACAACTGTCAAACTATTCCTGGCACAGAAATTATACCCACAACTGAATTATTTTTAAATAAAGTAATATTTTAAGTCTAACAAACATTCCCTTTAAATTCTTGCTTGCCCATTTTCAAAAACTGCTGTGCAAACTGCTATACTTAGGCAAATTGTGCAGGATCTTTGACATTAAGCTTCATAAAAACTAAATGTTTCATTATCAGAGAAAAAAATGAAAGTTCATAATTAATAGTTACTGAGCACATATATTAATAACAAACAGAAATCTGCCTTAAAATATTGCTAGGTCTGCGAATTTACACAACGTCATGCAGCACCCACTATCAGGGATCAGACAGAAAACATCTTTAGATAGGATCAGTTATTATCTAAAACAAAGCCAACAAATACCCTCCCCTCTGGCCACACATATCACCTTGTTTACTTACGAGTCCTGGGGGGCAGCCAATATACAATTTTATACACGAAGATTTTGGGGCAGCACTAACAGTTATTTCAAAGCTAAAATAATAGAAAACTGAACAACTCGGCTGTACTACCTATTACAGTGACATGGGCTGTTAATGTAAGAGATCAAATGTTTTTCAAGTCAAACAGCATTGGTGCCTGTTATACTGGAACATGTAGCTTATTCCCTAAAAGCCTGCCTCCTGCTCTTTTAAGATAAACAAGCTCAACTAAGCACTGAGATACTCTGATAAGAAGGATAGAAGAGATGAACTGCACCAGGGAGTGACAAGGCAAGGGCATGAATGAGCAGTGCTGCTTTCTCTTAACTTTCAAGTCACCGAAAATATCACAATACAACATTTTAATGTTTCACCATTAATTAAAAGTCTAGCTATAGGAGAAAGACAAATTTGTAGCAATAAATATGGGGACCAAAAAAGGGAGGGGGCTAAAACAGTTATCTGTTTTGTGAATAGGAGCGATATTACACAGCTGTCTGAACACAGTCAGCTTTGTGACTTCTTAATCAAAGGTTTGAACATCAACTTAGCAATGACTATGAGTATATAAAAGAGTTTGTAATTATGCTAATATGCTCCACATCAGAAGTAATAGTCCATTTAAACTTTACAGGTTTTTTTTTTTGGCTCTAAAGCCTTAATTTAAAAACAAACAAAAAAAAACACTTCCTACCTTACCCTTTCAAGTAGTTTTTTTTTTTTACATTTTTATCCTGCTTAATGTACGAATGCAATTACAAAACTACATCTACTTATTAAAATGTGGGTTAATATTTTAAAATCCCAAACAGGCTTGCAAAGCAGGCATCTTATACCACTGTAGGTTGTGTTTTTCGTGATGGAACTAAAAGGACAACCATTCTTTCAGGGAAAAAAAAAAGCAATCCACACATACGTTTACACTGTTCAAAATGCAACAACAATGTACAAAGTAGAGAAATACGCAAGGCAAAATGAATTAAAATTCACCAGGGGGATTTCAGATAGAAAGACATACATAATAAAAAGCCAAGAATACGTATCATGTAAACCAAAATATAACTAGCTTAACTTACCTTTTACCTTTAAATCTATAGGAATCTTTTAAAAAACTGCTTTCCTCTTTAAGACATTACCTTCACGATTATGTGTTTTGGACAGATTTTTTTGTGCCATGATTTTCTTTGCTGCCATATTTACAAAAATATTTCATCCAGAGATCCTCTGCATATAGTTTTGTGTAAATTAAGAGGCAAACATTTGCTTCCACTAATAAGGACATCTGGTTATTTTTGTAACTCGACCTCTGTAGATTTTCTTAAGTAGTTTTTTTATCAAAATAGGACTGAGAACTATAGAACCCTTAGGACGTATGACAAAATTCTTTCTCTCTGATGAATTTTTTTTTTCTGTCATCCTTGTTTCCTGGTTTTTTGTTTCTTTTTGCTAAATGACTTTCATCCCCTTGGATATCTTCCTTGCTTTGGTATTACCATTTTATTACAATTCAACAATATCTTGAAAGAAATTTAAGATTCCTTTAAACTTGATAAAAGCTAATATCCCGAGACGTAAAACCATCCCAAGTAAATAAACTACATTTCTGAAAGCTAGACTGGGCTAGATTAAGATCTGTGTTTAGGTGTATGTCTCTAATATGGACTGGTCTTGTTTAATCATTATTTTTTTTCCTAATTAAGAAATTATTATATAGGCTTATTATTATACTGTGTCCTTCCCAACTAATGATACTGCCTTAATGTCTCTTCGGGTCTTTAAAATTACAAATACCATTCCTCTCACTTATTTCTATAAATTTTTGGTTCCCAAGGCTGAAAAACATGTCTCAGCATAGATATTGAAGGGTATGCCTTAAAGAAAAGTAATATATAGGGAGAAAAAAAAAATTATACACCATACATTATATCCCTTGCTTTCCTCTTAAAATGGTAAGCAGACTAATTATACTCCTTATTTGGGATACTTGAGTTTAATCTGTAACTTCTGCTGTAAATCCTGCTTTCCATTTTCTGTTCATCTCCACCACAGAAATGAAAAAACTAGAATGAGAGAAAATATGTTTTTAAACAGAAAACAGCAAATATAACTCAGATTAACTGCATTCTCATGGGTCTCTAAGTAGCCAGACCCTAAGGTAGTATTGGCTTAAGGATTTAAAATTTGAGTGAGAAGTCTTCTATTTCTGAAGGGTCAAAGGTTATACACACCAATTCATGTCTTCAATTTTTCATTTGTTAACATCACCAAACAACAAAATGAAAATAAAACCAAAACAGATTAGCTTGGAGTTCTACCAGGGGTAATTTAATAAATTTATTGGGAAGGATGGCTAATTTTACTGCTCCAGGGATAAACAACCTTGTTGAGTTTTTGTTGTTGTTGTTGTTTTAAAGCAATGCTCTTTGATGTGTAAGTAACAAATTTTTAAAAGATGTTTTTTCTCCAATAGAAGGAACTGCCTTTTTCTATAGCAATGCAAATAGTTTCTACTTAAAGAATACCAAAATTATTTCTCTTAAGCCTAAGGTCTTAAGTTACTGGAATGCTAGAGAATGGCTGTATACCTCTAATCTACCACTTTGCTAACTATGCAGAATTTTGTGCATTTCTGACAAATCCTACAATTAATTTGATTATGCTGCCATTGCTTTCCACACCGTAACTATCTTCGATTTAAAGAATCACAAGAAATGTACATTTTCTGTTCTCAAAATTACCCCACAAGTCACTGAATTATAGAAAATTTTACTATCATTTAGCAGAAATTGGTTTTTTTTGGAAATATTAATAATACTTGGTTGATTAAAGAAAAAAAGTGATAAACAATCAAGATGTTTCCAACTTATTCTGTCTTTGACCAGAACCTAATTTTAAAGTGGCCTTTTAATTTAATAATCGTTGTAGCACTGAAATTCAAATTAGGCTAATTTTAATGAATGATATTTTAAAATCTGTTATTAGCTATCATCAATGGCATTTTGTTATTATTACTAATCTGTTACTATAATTACTATTAGTAATTAATAATATACTAATATCTGTTATTAGCTATCATCAATAGCACTTGTTGCGTTATGGAATGGAAAATACCACTACAGAGTTTGGTAATAGATAATTGGTTTGACAGATATCAAACATTAATTTTAATATCATAGTAGTTGTTCTTACAGTACAGAATTAGTGAATACCATAATAGCTAATTGTGGTATTAAAGTATCTCCTGCCAAAATACCCTCTTGTGGAAACCAATGTATAATGCATCTTTTGCTCCTATATACAATGAAGGAATAGTTGACTTCAAAACCAGTTGCCTATCACTGCTGTACAAAGGACATTCTGGGTAGTGGTCAGTAAAGAAAACATGGCCATTTCTAAATGCCAGTGGTTCCCAACATCTCCTTTCTTTCTGAGTGGAATCAAGTCTGAGAGCACTGACTTGTGGGTCACTTGACCCACGAGGGCCTGGATAGGTTTCAAGAATAACAGAGGTCATGTAATTGCCAAAAGAGCATTAGCCACTCAATCATAATGGATAATTAAATGACCTACATGATTCCTGAAATAGCTGCTCTATATTTGGTCTATTACTTGCGTCCCTCAAGATAAGCTACTCGTCTGGTCTGCCTTGACCCGCAAAAAGTCCAACCTGCACGCGAACACTAGCTGCATGCTTCTATTGCTTTGTAACCGGCCCCCCCACCACCCCCCACAGTATTCATGCCCCAGACTCTGCTTTCAAGAGGACACACATAAAAAAATCAATCTTGTATCCTTCTCCCTATTGTGCTCTCTGGAATACAAATGACTAAAGCAAAGAAAAAAATTAGTAAATTCCTGGTTTAGATCTTTGGGGGATAGAGGGAAGAAACATAAGAACTACAGAGAAGGAAAGTCATGGTTAATTTTTTTTAAAGTTTTGCTCATATGCCTTCAATGAGTTTTTACATTCCATTATAAAGCTAGTCAGGGATATTTTGTGGGCAGCAAGTCATTAAAACTCCAGTTGCCTAGACTTCATTTTTGATGGTGTTGAATATTGCAATCTTTCCTGGCCTAATTTTTTAGTCCATATAGAAAGCAAAGTGCCTCTCAACAAAATGAAATATACACAGCATCAACTGTTTTTACAATAGCAGTAGCCAAAAAAGCAAGAATTTGTAATGCCTCAAATTTTCATCTCTCTGAATAGTTCAACAGTCTCATTATAATTCTTAGTCACAATTACAACCAAATAGAAGCCAGGTATATCAAATAGCAAAAAATGTACTGGATAATTTGCTTCTTTGGGAGGAAAAGGTCTGCCTTTGGCCCTAGAGGTAGCTGCACATCTAGCAAACACTACAGAAAAAGGCAAGAGACAAGTAACCAAAGACAACCTCACAATAATGGCAAGGGACACAGGATGTGAGGGACAAAAGAGCTCACATTTAGAATACCTTAGAGGCTAGTAGGATTTTTCCGTTTCCACAGGAAATTATGTAGCTTGAGGCTACTGGCTATCCTGATCTCTTACTAGTACATGGATGGCTTAATAAACCTAGAACATATCTGTTTTAGTTAACTTCTGAGCACGGAGGGGGTTGGGGGGGTGGGGGGGGAAGAGAACAAAATGTACTTAAATGCTGAATTTTTTCTCCAGGCTGAATGCCTTTCATCCAATAAGACATTCAAAGCAGTGACCCAGCAAATGGATTGAAAAAGCAATCTTCCGTCCCAGTGCCACATTATCATTCCTATTCAGTATTCTCCATGAGATATCTCAATCAGCTGTGTGTAAGTGACAACGCAGCCCATTGCTGGGTTAATTAAACATTTGACTTTAACACCCTCCCCGTCATTAAGCAAATAAAAGCAGATAATTCAAACTGCACTTCATCCTCAGGGTACACAACACACATGTCAAAATTAAGAGAGTCCAAGGCCTCTGGGGAATTCTGCTGGGGCTATAATCAGTTTAAATCTTATCTGGTTTATCAATTATTCTATTGATTAAACCAAAGCGATTATACACAACTCCTCTGCCACATGGGATTGATGTCAGTAGAGCAAGAAAATAACTCCAGGAGGTTCCAAACTGATTTAAAAAGAGACCAATAGACAGACCGATAATAGTCGATTATTACATACCAGTGATCCATACACTGAAGAGTTGATTCTTAGTTTCAGGCGGGTGAAGTGAACTGTCTCCAATCACTATGTCCCTGCGCTATACCTTACAGTTGGCTTGAGTAAATTTATGTCTTGAAAGATCAACATATTTTCTACTGATTTAAACAGAAGCTAGCATGCTCAGCAGTTGAAATATATTTTATAGATACTGACCCTAAGCTCTAACAGAGAGAATCTCAAATAGGGAAAACAAAATTTTTTTTCTAATCTTCTTACCTGTATGCATGTGACCAGTAAGATGCAGGAATGAAAAGGGACATATTTGAGAGCTGATACTCCTACAAATATACAATCAGCTATTCCAATGTCCTAAAACACCATTATTCTTGAAAAACAGAATCTAAGAAATCAGAAAGATCTTACCAGAGAGTCATGACTCCTTTTATTAATTCCAAGGGCACCATCTTCAATGCCATTAATAACACTGAAAATATATAGTCGTATCTTCAAATGAAATGTCGATAACTAAACCCTAACATATCGAGTTTCTACCAGAAATTTGTAACCACAATTTAGTTACCCTCCTGCCCCATTCATTGTGTAATATCTTTCAAATGTCTAGAGCCCCTATAACCTCAAGGCCATGCCCTACTATATATGAGAAAACCACTAATAAAACCTAACAAAATGAGGGAGGGTGGTTAGACTACTCCACACCTGAAATCTGTGCACTTACAGCCATGCTCTTGAGAAAGGAAATTTGTTCACTGCTATGCTGGCACCGCATGTGCATTCAACCATAATTTATCTCCTTCAGATTTTTTGTTTTCAGGCGGACTAGTAAGAAACTTGCATTAGCATGCTGTATTCTACACTCACCACTAGAAATACTGAGGGTGCTATTTGTAATTGTATTCTTTTTAAGAGGTTTATTCTCTGCAGCTGTTTTCTGCTTGCAGTGTATTTTGTGTAATCAGCACATCATCATAAATACATTGGCTGTTCCCCTGAGGGTAGCTGTCAGTGTTTAATTTACAGAACAACCTGGCCAATGTGAATTTTAACACTACAGCACTATGGCAAGGAGTTACCACACTCTGTGAAAAACAGGTTTCTATGAATTTTTATATCAAGAGCTGGTCCCAGGACAATTTAGGTTCTAGAAACAGACTGTTTAAAGAAGCACTTTATACCTTGTATGCAATAGACTCTTTCTCAGTTATAGCCTCAGTAGAAGCCCCAAACTATCAAATCACCAGTGGGAACTACCAGTTCTGAAGACAACAAGGATTGAAAATCTATGATCAACCAGTAGGAGGCATTGTAACAAATATTATCATCTCTTTTTAAGCTACATGTACAGCTATCACAAACATCACTGTTCCCTTAGAAGGTATGTAAAGGCAAGAGAAAACCATTTAAGACACAGACTAGTCTGAAATATACATTATCACTTTTTTGCTGAGATGAGATATATCTGATATGAACATAAGTATACCATTTCCTTAGGACTGCTACTAAGCCAGACCTCTAGCTCAATAAATCAGAAAAAAATACATATGACTAATGGTTAACACTAGTAATTATATGCACAGTGACTGGTATATAAGTACTTAATACATGTATAACAAATAACTATAAGCTCCTTGAGGATAGGTTCTGAATCTTAATTTATGCCTAAGACTTTGTACAGTAATTGGCAAATAAAAGGTACTCTGTGAATCGAATCGGAGTTGTGGCTAGTTGTGAATGGCCATGTTATTTGTAAAGCCTTACATCTACTTGATGTCAAAAGGATTTTCTAAATCAGTAAAATGTCCCTAAGGACAATATAAAAAGTACAAATTATAGTCATTTTAGTGAGAGCTATTCATACAAGAAATCTAAGTACCTCAATCTCACAATGAAGAACAAATTAGCCTACAAAATAATGGCATATTCAAACATATTTTAATAATGAAGATTACATAGAAGAAATTAAAACTTTTCTATGCTATATACTTGTTTCTATATCTTTAATATGATCAAATGGAAAGTGATCGTTTTAAATGCTCAGAATGGTAACCAACAGCACTTTTACTGAAGTGGTTTTGTATGCACACATACACATTCTATAAATCAAGTGATTATACATATGTATTTTTCTGTTAAGGGCCATTTTTACAAGTTAGAATGCCTAGAGTTAAACTGAATCAAAATATATTTCATGTTGAGTTGTCCTCAGTGTATTTATTTGCTTTTAATGTTGCGCAGGACTACATTTGCATGTTTTACAAAAATCAGTAAATTGTGACTAAGATTCTTTTTTTCTTTTAAAGGAACAAAATAACTGACTTCACTTAGGAGGGTTTAAAACTTGCCCAAATTTGTGGTAAACTTAATTTTTAAACTATTAAGTAGAACAACAGAGGCCAGGCACGGTGGCTCATGCTCGTAATCCCAGCACTTTGGGAGGCCGAGGCAGGCGGATCACGAGGTCAGGAGATCCAGACCATCCTGGCTAACATGGTGAAACCCCGTCTCTACTAAAAATACAAAAAAATTAGCCGGGCATGGTGGCGGGTGCCTGTAGTCCCAGCTACTCGAGAGGCTGAGGCAGGGGAATGGTGTGAACCCGAGAGGCAGAGCTTGCAGTGAGCCGAGATGGCACCACCCTGGGTGACAGAGCGAGACTCCGTCTCAAAAAAAAAAAAAAAAAAAAGAGCAAGTGAGATCTGTACAACTTACTTTGATACTGCTATAATTAATATAAGCATAATCACATACAAGCAAAATCTGGTAACACCTTATTTCTAACAACCAGGAAAAAAATTGTATTTAAAAATATGAACAAGCCCTGTATCATTTATCCTTTCTATGATGCTAAGACATTTCAAAAACGTTAATTCCTTTTTACGTTTATGTCACTGAAGGACAAAATGAGAAAAAAGATGACCCACCAACTCGATTTTTTTTCACCAGTTAAAGGAAATTTTTAATTCAGTTGAATATTTGTAACTTAGTACTTAAAAACTTTATGCCTAATAAAATATATCTTAATTTTTAATACAGAAATTTATCACATTCTTTCCTTTTCAATTTAGAATTACAAAATTACATCCTGGGACCTTCTGAACTAAACTGGATGGGGTTAGACTGAGGTCACGCTGTATTTTCTCTTCCCTGGAGACCACGTAGTAGTTCCATAGGCTGCCATTAGATAGCAGCACAGTACACACCATCAGTCATGTCTCTCATAGTCTCTCCCGTTAAGGTTGGAATTATCTCATTTACACACACACACACACACACACATACACACAGAGACAGAGAGAGAGAGAGAGAGAGATTCTAATTCAATTAGTGCAGTCGCAACTCCAGAAAAGAGTAATTCAATTAGTGCATTGTGGAGCTCTACAGTACCTCTAAGCAGATGTTCACCATCTTCAGGAACTGGAGCTAGGTTTAAAATACCTGTGCCACTCTGATATGCCGCTACATTATGTCATTTGTCAAAGTGCTTACATATGCTTTTCTATGCTTTTCTGGCTTCAAAGAAAAGATGAGGAAACAAACCCAGGCTAAGTTCCTAGAAATTTTTCCATCATTCAAATCAAAGAAGTATATGCAATCTTAGGCAGTAATTAAATTACATTATTTAAATTGTGTTCAAAACAAGACGTGTCTACATTGTATTCTGACTTATTACACTTTTTTTTTTTTTTTTTTTTTGAGACAGTCTCACTCTGTCACCCAGGCTGCAGTGCAGTGGGTGTGATCTCGGCTGACTGCTATCTCCGCCTCCCAGGTTCAAGCGATTCGCGTGCCTTAGCCTCCCAAGCAGCTGGGATCACAGGCATGTACTACCACGCCTGGCTAATTTTTTGGATTTTTAGTAGTGACTGGGTTTCACCATGCTACCCAGGCTGGTCTCAAATTCGTGAGCTCAGGCAATCCGCCCGCCTCAGCCTCCCACAGTGCTGGGATTATAGGCATGAGCCACCACGCCCGGCCAAGAAAAAACTTTCTAGTAGAACCAACAAAGTAAAAGCAAGATGCTTCAAGAAGTTTGATTCACCAATAATGGTAGTGATCAGGGAGAGATTAGATGACTCCCTTCCAAACACATTTCATAAAGGATTTCTACATTATGAGACGTATGTGACTAGATGGCCTCTGATGTCTGGTCCAATGCTGAAATTCTATGGTTCTATGAATACACTGATGTTTGCTCATGAGGCAAGCCTGGAGTTTAAATAATAAAGCTAATCATTAATTGTGAAGGTGTGGTTGTAAAAAGCCCATAAGCTGTGAGGCATTTTCACTGTATTGATGCATAATACATAAGAAGAAATTTTGTAGTTTCTTTGTACCAGATTTAGAAAACTCCATAAAGCATATTTCAGTCTCATTTCTTAAACACTTGCATTCCTCTTATTCTTCTAAGACTGCAAAAAATGGTTTGTTTTCATTCATCCTGTAGAAATCAGCCAATGAGAAATCAATTTCTACAAGAATGATTTTTGAAAACTCCCCCACTGAGTCAAGACAGTGGGTTCTCATAGCTTAAATGCAAATCTACATCAATGTTTATGCTTTAAAAATTCAGAGCAATACTTAAAAACAACAATAACTAGTTCTTAATATCCCTCCTTTTGGTATTACTTTCTGAGCACAATATTTTTAAGTAAGGACAAAAATCTGGCTACAAAGGAGCAGGACTTATATTTTACAAGTATTATCTTCTCTCTTTCTAGCATGACCTCAAAGCAGGAATTACCAACACCATTTTTCCAGTGCATTTCACTAGACTGATGCAGAACAGCTCTTGCCTTTCACATTTTCAGAGGAGAGGGCTAAGCTAAATAGTTGCCTTTTTTTTTCTTTTTTAGATGGAGTCTCACTCTGTCAACCCAGGCTGGAGTGTAGTGATATGATTTCGGCTCACTGCAACCACCACCTCCAAGGCTTAAGCGATCCTCCCACCTCAGCCTCCCGAGTAGCTGGGACCACAGACTGGCACCACCATGACTGGCTAATTTTTTGTATTTTTGGTAAAGATGGGGTTTCACCATGTTTCCCAGGCTGGTCTCGAATTTCTGAGCTCAAGTGATCCACCCACCTCAGCTTCCCAAAGTATTGAGATTATAGGTATGAGCCACAGTGCCCAGCCATTGAGGAACTTTCAATACAAACTCTTTTCCATACTCCAGAAGAACTGCAAAAGGCCATTCATTCTCAGTTAAAACTTTACTTGTAAATTCAATGCCCCAAAAGGGATGAAAATGAAAGCATACATCAATAGTGCTTCCTTAGAAGAAAAAATATATATGTTGTTTTAAGATGTATTGTAATTTATAAACTCCTACTCATAGCTTGAAAAAAAAGATGTAATTTAAAACATAATAGAAAACTCATTTTATTACTACAAAATATTTTCCAAGAAATATATGGTGGTTTTATAAGGAAGATTTTCTATTCATTTGGCATAAGCTGGACTAATATAAGCATAATGTTTCTTCCATATTACCTAATGAGCTTTCTTACTATAAATACACATTTTCCACATTAAAAAAATATTTTTCTTCCCCAAATTTTAAAGTCTTCTATAATTTCACCACTTGTTAAAGACACTGGATAATAAGAGCAATAAATAAAATAGCTGGGTGAATTCTGATTGGCCTGGCAATACTGCCATATAGTAGGCTATCAGTTTAACAAACTATGTCACTGCATCTCTTTACCCAATACCACCTTCCCAACTTCCTGCCTCCACAAAAACAGAAATGGGACCTAACCTGATTCTTCCTTACAATAGGGTGTTCCATAAATTCCACTATTAATAATACACTAACCCAACTTTATCTCCTTTGCCCCACAGCCTGCATTTATTTTCTAGTGTTAAGTTTGTTTGGCTCCATCAGCACCACTTCTCTTTAACACTGTCCCTTTTCATGCATTTAAGGCAACTACTTCCAACCCTATCAATGAAAGCAGACAAATGGGGGAGAAAGGAATGAACTGCAAACACCTCAAACAAGAAAGGTTGCTTAAAAAACCAAGTGTCACATTCTGACAGTTCAATATTTCATAGCCAATACAAGGAATGTGCAACGATACTGCAACTTTAAATCTTTTCTTCATAGTATGTCAGTCTCTCTTTCTCTCATTGTAATGCCAAAGGGAACAGCAATCAGAGTGGAGATGTTCAACGTGATAGAGGTCAGGACACCATCGGATCAACGTACCAGAAACACGACCTTGTTTATTTTTTTTCCACAGTATTATTGTTTACAGGGTGCTTTGCTCGTGTACCTTGTGGTTCTTAGCTAAAAGATGAAATTACAGCCCAGGATGAAGCGCTCAGGCACACATCCAATTTGTGTTTCCATCTCAGAAAACAAAAAGCTTCTAAGGCCCTCAGGCTGCCATTCAAACTTGGAGGCTGACATTTTTAACAGCATGAACCAGAGACTGGCAGAGAGAATGATCTAATGCATTTCTGACTTGTCAATCAAATATCTCACCTCTGCTGTCTTGTAAACAGTTGGGGACCATCTAACTACATTCATAAACCTAGGGAGAGCTTACTGCCAGCTGGGGTGCTGTAGCCACATGCTCTGGCTTCTATTCACCAAAATCATGATTCAGTTTTATAATCTCACTGTAAATAGTCCATAGGCACATTTCCAGGACTACTGGAATTGAACCAGAGTAGGGAATACAAAAGAGATTTTGGTCAAATATTGTGTTATTTTCAAGCTGCTGGAATCCTGTACTAATTTTATCCTCATTTTACCAATTCTCCCCAAAAGATTGCACTGTGCTGCAGTTGAAGTGCTTAAAAAAATAATGACCTGCTTTTTAAAAATCTAGGGGAAATATACTAATATTATATTACAAATTTCCCTTGTAGTTTATTACCAGTAACAAAACAAGTACTCCCCCAAACAATGGCTCATATAAAGGGTAGAAACTACAATGAACAGTAGCAACTATATTTTGGTAAAACTAATTATGTACTTTCTTTTAAATAGAAAACTGAAATTCATACACAAAAGTTTTGTACTTACTAATTTGACACAATGTAGTATATATGTATGTGTATGTGTGAGACATAAAAACATAAAATTAGATTACTTATATTGCTAATGAGAAGACTTTTTTTTTTTTTTTTTTTTTTTTTTTTGAGGCAGTCTCGCTCTGTCGCCCAGGCTGGAGTGTAGTGGCGCGATCTCGGCTCACTGCAAGCTCTGCCTCCCGGGTTCATGCCATTCTCCTGCCTCAGCCTCCCGAGGAGCTGGGACTACAGGCGCCCACCACCACGCCCGGCTAATTTTTGTATTTTTAGTAAAGACGGGGTTTCACCGCATTAGCCAGGATGGTCTCAATCTCCTGACTTTGTGATCTGCCCTCCTTGGCCTCCCAAAGTGCTGGGATTACAGACGTGAGAAGACTTATATTGCTATTCTTTCCCTTCTGTATATGACCATCTAATCCAACACACGTAAAAAGTTAGACCCAATCAGGAATTTTTTGTTAAAGAATCAAGTACGAAAATGAATACTCCTTTTCTTCATGTCAATTTTACAGGGCACAGAATTCCATGCATGCTCTGGGTACAGATCCTCTGACTAGTTTAAGAGAGCAAAGATAAAGATCAGGGAAGACTTTAATTCTAGCTCAGCTTGAGCTGAATCTTGAAGATTAGGTAGACAAAGGCAGAGAGTGGGTAAGGGACAATAGGTGTTTGTGGAGGGGTTTTTTCAGGTAAGCAGAACGGTATATGCAAAGACACAGATATATAAAAGAACACACTGCACCTTTGGGGAACTGCAAAATTTGAAATGACTAACAATTACATGAGAGGGAGGTGGTGGTCAGATATAAGCCAAATTCAAACTTTGTTCAATTCAAAAACATGTGAGCAGCTATCTATGAGATAAACAGTGACCAAAATCAGTATTACCAGATGATGAATGTAGAATTTGAGCAATATGATATAGGTGAAATTCAGAAATTACTAGTATCACTGAAACGGTAATCTCTGGGAGGACATTTAAAATCCTTCCTTCTTTCTACTTCTATTTTCTACAATGAATATTAAATGTTTTAACTGTATATCTCATAATTTAATTAAATGTAATAAAATACTTAAAAATGAAACCATTATTTGGGCGTGTGTGTGTGTGCACGCACAGGCACACATGGATGGATAAGTCATTTCAGATCAAAGGACACTAACATGTTAATCTAGCAATAATTATCTTAAAGTGGAAGGCATATGGGTGATACTCTTGTTTATATATTTACCAAATAATGTACATATTCCATAATAAACAATAATTCATTTTATTAGGAGAACAAAACATTTCTGCACAAACAAACAAAAACATGTTTGATTTGTCATTCCCTGCAAACCCCTAAGGTGAAGGGTGTAGCTGGGATAAATACAAGTCAAATGTTAACATATACATAAAAAATAACTACATTTATTATACAGAAATTGTGCTACACAGAAATTATTCATATACAATAGAGAGGGTATCAGCTACAGAATGAGAAGCATTTCTGTCACAGGATAATTTTCCTTATGGTATTGTTTTGTAATAGAATTTGAATGTTAATGTATATTCAATTCGATAATCCATATTCCTCTAAAATCTCAAATGTAAAATTAAGTTTTCCATATATATAATGAATAATGCCTAATTTTCCTGTATTGTTCCATTTTAACATTTCACTTTGTACATGGTAAAATTCAGTAGACTTGTAAGCATTCTTAAGGAATAAAATACAACATCTCTCCTGAATTCAATACAATTTCAACCTTTGACATGGAACCCTAGCTAATGTTAAAATATCACGTTTCACTTAGCTCAAGATTTTCCTAAAATTACTGGTTACACTTGATAGCTAAAGTATTCTAGGGCCATATAAATCTATCTATCTATCTATCTATCTATCTATCTATCTATCTATCTATTTTTTTTAATTGAAACAGGGTCTCACTCTGTCACCCAGGCTAGAATGCAGTGTCGCAATCATGGCTCACTGCAGCCTTGACCTCCCACCTTGGCCTTCCAGATAGCTGGGACAGGTGAGTACCACCACACCCAGCTAATTTTTTGTAGAGACAGGGTCTCACTATGTTGCCCAGGCTGGTCTCGAACTCCTGGGCTCATGTGATCCGCCAGCCCTGGCCTTCCAAAGTGCTGAGATTATAAGCGTGCATCACCGTGCCCGGCCCCTTACTTATATTCTTACAGTCAGAATTTCATTTCTCTTCTCTTTCAATATCTAAAGCAAAATAAAGAATCTTAATTACTCAGCTATTTTTAATTACTTTAACTCTATTGCTCATTCTCATTTAATATTATAGATTATAGGATCACCATTTGCTGGGAATGAGCAAATGATTCCATCAAATATATCTACTGGTAATCAACAGAAATCTTCTAATCACTCATACACTTTCCAGGATAAATCAATGGAATGATGAAAATAAAAATATCCTCAAACTAAACATATCCCCATAGAATTTATTCTAACAACTTTTTTCAGCATCTTCCCTGTCACTAGTTTTCAAACCATCTCAATGCTGTGGTTTCAATTTGAGCTACTGGGAATAATCCAACAAATTCAGCAATGACTCCATAGCTTCTCCTTCTTTATTGCCATAAGAATTTTGACTTAAGATGCTTCAAACTTACTAAAAGAATCCAATGATCAAAAAAAAAAAGTCATGAAGCCATTACATTAAATGAGACATTTCATTAACATATTTGTCAATATTAGTAAAAATGGGTATTCCTGTGACAACCACTTTGAAGAATTGCTTCACTGTCTCTTTTAAAGTTAAAAATACACTTACTCTATGACCCAACAAATTCCATTCTTAGACATGTACCTAAGAGAAATAAAAATACATGCCAAAAAAAAGACTTATACAAAACTGTTTATAGTAGCTTTATTAATAATAGGCCAAAATTGGAAACAATCCAAATACCTATCAATAAATGAATGGATAAACAAATTGTGGTGTACTAATATAATGAAATATATTTAACAATAAAAGAGAACTACTGATATACGTAACATGGATAAATCTTAAAAACATCATACTGATTGAAAGAAAACAGACACAAAGAATGTACACTATATGATGGCATTTATATGAAGTAAGTTCAAGAATAGGCAACACAAATTCTTGGTGACAAATCAGAACAGTAATTGCATATGGGGGATGGGTACAGACTGGAAAGGAGTATGAGGAAACTCAGATTATGAAACTGTTGTGTATCTTGAAATTGAAGGTTACACAAAAGTATGCATTTGTCAAAACTCACCTAAGAGTACACTTATGATCCATGTATCTCACTGTATGTAAATTTTACCTAAATAAAAATCTAAGTAAATAATTTACCTAAATAAAAATCTAGGTAAATAAAATAAAACCTAAACCAGAAGGATGCAAATGCACTAAGACTGCTGTAATTCCAGTAGGTGGGCAGAGAAGATACTAGATTCAAATCCAGTTTCTGCCTATTAGTCAACCAGTATTATCAAGCACCTGTGTGTGCTGAACCTGACATAGAACAAATTATTGAATTGATAGGGTAAAACCAGTACATAAGCCCATTTTTGCTACATAAGACATAATAATAATCTTGTTGAGGCCAGGTGCAGTGGCTCATGCCAGTAATCCCAGGACTTTAGGAGGCCGAGGTGGGCAGATCACCTGAAGACAGGAGTTTAAGAACAGCCTGGCCAACATGGCTGAAACCCCGTCTCTACTAAATTTGCGTTTTTAGTAGAGACGGGGTTTCAGCCATGTTGGTCAGGCTGTTCTTAAGCAGTGGTTTTTCACAGGCACTATAGCCCTGAACTCCTGGGCTTAAGCAATCCTCCCGCCTCAGCTTCCTGAGTAGCTGGGACTACAGGCATGCACTGCTGTACCTGGTTCCTGCTCATTTTTTTAAAGTGTCTTTTGAAAAGCAGAATTTTTAAACAGTGATGAAGTCCAATTTATCAGTTATTTCTTTTATGGTTCATATTTTTTGTATCTTAGCTAAGAAATCTCTGCCTAACCCAAAGTCACAATGATTATTTTTGCCACATTTTCTATTAGTTTTATACATGTTAACTCCGATTTAGGTCTATGATCCATTTCAAATTAATTTATGTATATAGTGCAGTATAACCGTTGAGGTTCATTGTTTTGCACAAGGATATCCAATTGTTCCAGCATAATTTATTGAAAAAAACTGAGACCAATGGATTTTAATACAATAACAGAGGAAGTTCATTGATAAGGCTTCAGATACCATACTGCAACTAATCTTCAAGAAACTGCAACTACCTGAAAATGGTATTAAAATATCTTTCCCTTTCAAACTATATACCTATGCCAGGTCAGATATTACTCACATATGTCAACCAAAATAACAAACCACAATAGATTGAGTGCAGAAGCAGACATGAGAATCCAGCTGTCTTTTCTTAATCCAGACATTAAAGAGATTCATAAAAATGTAATACACTAGTCTTAATTTTTTTTGAAAAATATATTTTTCATAAAAATGTTATTTGCATTATATGCCACAGGTTTATTATAGTCTTTAGGTGAATTAAAGAATATTTAATTTTTTTTTCTTAATTCCTATTACAAATATAGTGAATATCAATAGATATAAGCCATATAAACAAAAGCACTTTGGGGTCCTCAATAATTTTTTAAGAATTTAAAGATCCTGGGTCCAAAACCAAGCTGCCATCATCTCTCTCTTCAACTACTGAAATTATCCTTTTTATAGCCAGAGTAACATATCTAAATGCATCTTCTTATAGCCAGAGTAATGCAAATCAGATCAGGTAAAACTTGTGCTTAAATCCTTTCAGTGACTTACTATTCTTAGAATCAAGACTAAACTACACACTTTGAATGGCCCATAAGACCTCAGTGATCAAGCTTCCCCAGTCTTTTCTCACTCTATTCTCCCCTTTCTCTTTATTCTCTGAAACAACAGTCTTGTTTTCAGTAGGGTCCTTAAATGCACCAAGCCTCACTGGCTCTTGGGGCCTTTGCACTGACTCTTCCTTAGGCCTGAAATGTCCTCCTTCTCCTCCATTCCTCCCTGTTATCGAGTTAATTCCTATTCATCCTTCAGCTCTTAAACATTGATTACCTGATCTTCTTTACCTCAAACTTCAGGTTAGATTGGGTCCCCCTTTTATATATTCTTACAGCTCCTTGAACATTCCCTTCCTAGAATTTATCAGCTTGGGAGATTACACTTTCAGAATTATGTGATTTAATAGCTCTCAATCATTTCACAAAATAGAAATATAATAAACATCTATATATGTATGTAAAGTATTCAACACAATGTTGCCAAATACCCAAGATCAATAGTTCTCATCAGATTCCCAAAGAGATCCATGACCCCTGTGTAGTGAAGAATTACTCTTCACCAAAGAAAGGAATGGCCTTTCCTCTTGGCTACTGGAAAGCGGTCTCTGGGCCCCTGGAACTTCTTGTCTGGTGAGAGTATCTCTGCTTGCCTGAGAGATTTAGCGACTGGACAAATGTGATTCATGTTGGGGGCACTAAACCATACCTATAAGTTTCAACACCAGGAGGAAATAAGAGACTAGAAGTCAGCCATGTGAGCAGTATGTGATAGAGCCCCAGTGAATACCTGGACACCAAAGGCTCAGGTCAATTTCATGGTTGGTAATACTCTGTGAGTATTGTCACACACTGCGGCTGGGAGGCAGTAATGCCATCCATGACTCCATGGGGAGAGGATGACAGGAAGTTCTACAATTGGATCCTTCCGAGATTCTGCCCTATGTGTCTCTTCTTTTGGCTAATTTTAACCTGTGTCCTTTTCCTGTAATAAACTGTGAGTATAATTGTTTTCAGTGAATTCTAAGTCCTTTCTAGCAAGTTATCAAACCTAAGAGTGGTTGTGGGGGCCTCTAAACATGAAACTAGTTTCTGAAGTAGGAGCAGCCTTTTAGGCACTACAATTCCCTCAGACTTTGCAGATCGCCTAAACTAACTGCAACCCCGAAAAGGTTAAAAAACAAAACAAAACAAAAAAACCAACAAACTAGACTATGGATTCTTCAATGGCAGAACCTTGTCAGTATGATATGTAGTTAAAAATATAGGATATAGCCAAGTGCAGTGGCTCACATCTGTAATCCCAGCACTTTGGGAGGCTGAGGCAGGCAGATCACTTGAGCTGGGGAGTTCGATACCAGCCTGGACAACATGGTGAAACCCTATCTCCACAAAAAAAATAGAAAAATGAGCCAAGTGTGGTCGTGTGCCTGTAGTCTCAGCTACCCGGAAGTTTGAGGTAGGAGGGCAACTAGAGCCCAGTAGGCAGAGGTTGCTGTGAGTCGAGATTGTGCCACTGCACTCTAGCCTGGACAACAGAGCAAGACTGTCTCAAAAAAAAAAAAAGGAAAAAAAAGATATTTCACTTTGAAATAAATAAGCAGTCTCAGGATATCAATTACTCTCCAATAATAGCAATAATGTTTATAACGATCATGATAAAAGCAGCTACCATCACTGCATGCCCTTACTATAGTATCCATTTACAGATAAGGAAATAAGTTCAGGATCATACCACTAGTGACAAAGACAATATTCAAGACTTGATTTAGCTAATTTTAGAACCTGCATGCTTTACTATATTGTATCTCATAGTATAAGCCAAGGAAGTTTAATATTAAATTTTGTAAAGGAAAACTGAAAATCTTAAGATATTAAATTTTGTAAAGGAAAAATGAAAATATCCAGCTTTATGATCACTAAATAGTATCATTAAAAATTAACAACTCTTAGCATAGGTTAGGAATGTGGAAAACCTAAGTTCCCCTCTTTTAGCTAAAATTTAGTCACAAGCCTTCTGACACTTACAGCCTATCTTTGAAATTCTTCTAAATAGATATGAACAACAGGTTAAAAGCAGGCAAATATTAATATAAAAACTAATTTGTTGTGTATTACTATAAAATGCTAAACACAAATTCCAAATACCTGAGGTACGCAGATAAGACTCAGTCAAGAAAACAATCATGTATGGTACCCTAATCTGTAAGCAATGAGCACCAAACTCTTTCCTACGTTTTTGTCTACAATTTTCCACATTATTTCTCTATAAGTTTCTCGCACATCCTGGAACTGACATCCTGGCCTCTAAGAAAGGCTGAGGGGTCTGTGTGCGGTGGTTCTTGCCTGTAATTCCAGCACTTTGGGAAGCCGAGATGGGTGGATTACCTGAGGTCAGGAGTTCGAGACCAGCCTGGCCAACATGGTGAAACCCAGTCTCTACTAAAAATACAAAAATTAGCCAGGCGTGGTGGCGCGTAACTGTAATCCCAACTACTCAGGAGGCTGAGGCAGGAGAATTGCTTGAACCCAGGAGGCGCAGGATGCAGTGAGCTGAGATCACGCCACTGCACTCCAGCTTGCGCCATGAAGCAAGACTCCGTCTCAAAAAAAAAAAAAAAAAAAAAAAAGAAAGGCTGAGGGGAACTGGAATCTGTTAATTCATGAAACACTAGCTAGAGTGTCTCAAGGTGAATACTGTACCTAAAGGTCTCAAAGGTTTTTCCACCTAGAAATTAGAAATGTTAATCAAGATATAAATAAAACAGTTATAAAAAATATATACTTAGTAGTATAATTACCAGGAGATACTCTGAAGAGGGCACTTTATACTTTGAGTAATCATTTAAAAAAAATAAGAAAATGTTCAGGAAACTGATTGTAATTAATTGATTGATTATACTAATTGGCTTTATGTAGGTCCAGAGCAAATATTACGTATTGAACTGCTATTTATTGAGATTACTTTAAAATCTACTATCATACTTCTACTTGATCTGAAAGCCAACAGTCAAGCTGTACTATGTCAATTTTTGTAACCAATCATGATGACATTGTCTTAAGAGTGGATCAGTCTGGGTCTACATTATAAACTAATCATTAAAGGAGTACTGAGTGATGTGAGATACAGGCAATATGAAGGAGAAAAGATGAATATAAGTAAAGTATGGGAAAGGAGGAGGCACATACTAATGAATTAGACACATACACTAATGCCCGCAAATAACCCACAGAGACAGAGAAAGTACCTGGAAAGCTGTGAGTGCGCCAGTCCCTGGGTTATACAGGCATCGCAGCGAAGGCATGCTGTCCGCCAGGCTGGAGCAGCCCAGCCACAGAGACCTGGGCATAGAGCACTGCAGAGAGAGGACAACTATGAGATGGGACAGTATGAGACAGGATGGCACAGATTACAGGAATTTTTAAGGCTTGGCTGAACGCAATATTCCAGTTGCAGCTGACCTTTATGATAGAAACATCTTTAAGAAACACACTACTTACTGGCTTTAACCCCAGAGAGAATCCCAAAAGGGGCAGTAGTGGCCAAAAGGAAAGGAGGTAAAAAAAGAAGTTATCGTTCAAAAAACCAAACATTTAGTCAAAAACATTTTGTCCCTATTCTTCTATGTATCAGTCTAAAGGAAATCTACTTCTTAATCCAGTTGATCAATTATTTTCCTCTATGCACCTCAACTCAGCTCCCATAAACTCACCACAGGGTGTAATACTGTGCAGACTAAGCAGAAAGAGGAGGAGTTCACAGAAACATTACAATATTAGGAATGGTAAATTAGAAAACAAAACACCACAGTTAAGAGAGTTTTTTTTTTTTTTAGAAGGAAAAGAAAAAGTATTGTATCCCTACGGCTTTGACAGCAACAAACTCTGCACAGTTTGCGTATGTTTTATGTATCTTGTTAGTCTGCTATTCATTAACCAAAATGCACAGTTACCATAGCAGCTGCCTCTTCATCTTTCCAGATGGATTGGGGTCTGTGGGGGGTGGGGGGTATAAGGCGAGGGGAAGAAACAACCCAAACAGAAGGGAAAACAACAACAAAGAGAGACAGGGACACAGAGAGAGAGAAAGGAGAGACAGAGAAAAAGGAGAGAGAAAAGAGAGAGAAAGGAGAGAGAGAGAAGAAGAAGAAAAAGGAGGAGGAGGAGGAGGAGGAAGGGAGGGAGGGGAGGGGGGGAGGGGAGAGGAAGAGGAAGAAGACGACACCTAGAAAGCTGTTGGTATTAAAACCTTCTAAACAAACAAACAAAAATACCTAAGAATGTACATATATATAATACATATGGTATATTCAGTAGTCAAAAAAGGTAGAAATTACACATTTCTAGTAGCTCTAAGTAACTGACATTAGTATTATTGCAGCTACAGCTTTGTAAGAAAGAAACCATACTTTTCAAAACTATTTTTATATTCTTCATGTTTCTCTAAAAGTATCCCAGGATGAAATTTTATCCATCAACTTGAGTGCTATTACAGTCTAATAATAACTAAAAAACTAAATACCTAATCATGGCACATATAAAAACAGGGATACATATTTTAAAATATAGTAGTCAATATAGGTAACATTAAACCTTAAAATTACAGACTTTGAAATATTTTATATTGTCATAGACTTTTTTCTCCTTAAAACAATATAGTTGTAGAAAGTAATATTGGGAAACAAAATATGGTATTCACTGTTTACACCATCTAAAATTGATAAATGGACAATGAGAGCCATGCAAGAGGTTTGTGCCTGTGGTCCAAGCTACTCAGAAGACTGAGATGGGTGGATCGCTTGAGCCCAGGAGTTCAAATCCAGCCTGGGCAGCACAGCAAGATCCCGTCTCTTATCTAAATAAAGATAGATAGATAATGGGCTGCAAATAAATCCAAAGGAGATCTATGTATATCCCCTGATTTTAGATTATTATCCTCATTTTATTTACCACCCATAGGACTACGCTTAATACATTATCCTCATTTTATAGGTAAGGTGACTGATGCCCAGGAAAAATTAAGTATTTATCCATGATTATGAATTTACAAAGTAGGGAAGTAGGGACTAGAATCTTGGCCTGTTGCTTTCTAGTGCAGAATTCTTCCTCCTGCCTCCATCCATCCCTCAGTCATAAAGTGGACACTGGGCTTCAAAAGAAGGGTATCTGCTAAAGGCATCACCAGATAACATACCAAGCAAAACAGCTAAACTGCTTTGAATTACTCCAACAATCTCTGAACTTTGTTCACTGTTTTCAACGTTTCCTCACCTCAAGCTACGATCCATTTTATAAACAGCAGCTAAATAGAAAAATAATTGTCTTCACTTTGTTATCATGTCACTCTCATCAATAATTCATGATGAGATATCTACTGTATGAAATCCAAGCACTCTGTCAATCTGACATTTCCCCCACTGCCAACATCAACTCACCTTCTCTAATCTTCTAATTGGCCCTGGCACTCTAGCTAACTACCTACCTTGATATTTTGTTCAAATACTCATCTTACCCCTGTCTTTAAACTTATAATTTCCTTCTCCCTGTCATCCTGCCAATCCATATCGACCATTTACATCAATATCTCCTTAGAATTATGTATACTAATTTCAGTCTCTGCCAGCGGTTCTTAATAGCAGAGATTCTCACATTGGAAGGAGAAGGCAACAGAAAGAGAATGGAGAAAATAGGGTAAAAAAAGCTTCCTTGCTGTTGAGAATCACATTCTACTCATATTACTTCTTTATACGTATTAAGAATGCTTTGCTAATTTTTTAAGTAAATGATACTAAAATTTTCTTAAGGCTAATATTTTAATCATTTATTCAATAAATACTTATTAAATGCTGTTCTGGTAGTAGACACTGTCCTGGAGCCAGATGTGGTGGCTCAATCCTATAATCCCAGCACTTTGGGAGGGCGAGGCAGGTGGATCCCTTGAGCCTAGAAGTTCAAGACCAGCCTCAGTAATGTGGGAGACCCCATCTCTACAAAAAATTTAAAAAATAGCTGGGCATGGTGGCACATGCCTGTGGTCCTAGCTACTTGGGGAGGCTGAGATGGGAGGACTGCTTGAGCCAGGGATATCAGGGCAGCAATGAGCGGTGATCATGCCACTGCACACCAGCCTGGGCAACAAAGCAAGACCCTGTGGAAAGAAAGAAGAAAGAAAAGAAAGTAAGAGAAGAAAGAGAAGAAGGAAGGAAGGAAGGGACCCGTCTCAAAAAAAAAAAAAAAAATCCTTAACATAAAAGTAACTCATTGTTATAAGAAATGCTGTACACAGGCTGGGCACGGTGGCTCACGCCTGTAATCCCAGCACTTTGGGAGGCCAAGGTGGGTGGAACACAAGGTCAAGAGATCAAGACCATCCTGGCCAACACGGTGAAACCCCATCTCTACTAAAAATACAAAAATAAGCTGGGTATGGTGGTGCACGCCTATAGTCCCAGCTACTCAGGAGGCTGAGGCAGGAGAATCGCTTGAACCCGGAAGGCGGAGGTTGCAGTGAGCTGAGATTGTGCCACTGCACTCCAGCCTGGCGACAGAACAAGACTCCGTCTCAAAAAAAAAAAAAAAAAAAAAAAGAAAGAAAAAAGAAATGGAAATGCTGTACATACGCAATTGGTTAAGTTTCTGTGTGTGCTGGGTAGAAAAAAATCTCACAGTCATTCGGAAGGAAAGATTGAATCTGAGAAAAAAGAGAAGTCAGAAGTGGGTGTAAATAAATAGAGCATGAAAACACAGGAAAAGGACAAAGGAAATAGTGGAAGAAAATCGAGGAGGCACTGGAAGGTAGCTTGTCGCTTCTCCTGCTTCCCTTCACAAGAGGGCAGGCGACACTTTTAACCATACTAAAGCCACCTGCATGGCATACAGCAAGCACAGCTGGGTCTAGAAACCAACCAGAACCCTTTCATTCACAGACTTGGGGCTCTTTTTAAAATTAAAATATACATATTTATTTTTGTGAATGCTCCTTGGTAAGTTTTTAAGGCTTTCCTCTTGTGAATGATTTGTCTCCTCCGTTTTACATAAAAATCTGCGTTATTTTTGTAGTATGTACTTGATAAATTATCTGAGTTTACTTACTCGTTCTAACACACTTCCTCATTCATTTATCCCTATCCTCCATCAAAACTACTAACAACAAAGAATTTGAAAGTGCTTACCCCATCCCCTTAAACTAAAATTCCCAAAGAAAATTATAATCAGTAATGAGCCACATACACCCAGGAAAGCCACTAGATATACCGGTGTGATTTCCAAAATAGCATTAATTTGCAAACACCACACAGAGGATGCATTCCCGATTATTACAAGACAATTGGTATGGGTATGAAAACTATACTTGAATATAGTCAGATCTGCACATTACCATAAGATTTTATATATTATGGCTCAATTTAAAAACTAATCTTCAAATTGGTTTGTTTTGTAACAATTAATCTTATCTATACTGGTAAATGCCACTTAACACTGAGAAAAAATATTATTACAAAATAAATGGAGTGGGCTATAACTTTTACTCTACCTGTTTCCCTTCTATCTTCACATTTAGAAGCATTTCGTAAAAGAAGGAGAAAATAGCAAATTTGGGCAATGAGGAACAAAGTGGAAAGGACTGTCATTTTGGTTACTATCCTTATTAAGTCTATACATTTCAGGGCCATTCTGATTGGTCAGTTTCTGACAAATATGTAAGATGTTTTCTGTCCTTCAACATTTAATAAATAATGCCCTTTAAAATTTACCTTTAAAATACCTGAAAAGCACATAGTTTTCTACTTAAAGTTTGGACTGTTTTTGTTGTTTTTCCTTGCAAATTATATTTAAATTCCTAAAATTTTCTTTCTATACTTAATTTTTTTTCCCTTTCTTTCCTTTTATTGAGACAGAGTCTCACTCTCTTGCCCAGGCTGGAGTGCAGTGGCACGATCACAGCTCACTGCACCCTTGACCTCCTGGACTTAAGCAATCCTTCTGCCTCAGCCTGCCCAGTAGCTGGGACTACAGGCGTGCACCACCACGCCTGGCTAAAAAACATTTTTTTTAATTAAAAAAAAAAAAAAAAGCAGGTTTTAAACTAAGCAGCAACTACGCATTCTCCTGTTTAAATATTTACCTTCTGTTAACTGTTAAATAACTTGCAAATCACCTACTCCTTACATGCAGTCTCAAAAGCTATGACAAAGTTAACAGATAATGACTGCATCCTACACAAATCCAGCCCTGCACAGCACATATTAGTTTCTTCAGCTCAGTTCCCACCTAACGTCACCCCAATTGACTCTCCTTTGCAAAATCAAAGAAAGTTGAAGAGTATAACAATGTATTATAATTGTTGTTATCCAACTGAATGACTTCACTAGCCTTTAAAAAGCATACACAGCACAGAAAAAAATAAGACTGAACATGTTTTCTACTACCTGAATCAGAAAAAAAATTGAAATGCTGCAATGCGATAGTAAAGACACAGAATCAACCCAGGTACCCATCAACGGAAGACTGGATAAAGAAAATGCAGTACACATATACCATGGAATACTAAGTAGCCATAAAAAATAATGAAATCATGTCCTCTGCAGAACATGGATGCAGCTAGAAGCCATTATCCTAAGCGAACTAATGCAGAAACAGAAAACCAAATGCCACATTTTCTCACTTATACATAGGAACAAAACCTTGAGTACACATGGACATAAAGAAGGGAACAGACACTGAGGAATACAAAAGGTGGGAGGACAAAGGGGGTAAAGCTTGAAAAAACTACCTATGGGTACTTTGCACTCTCTACCTGGGTGAGATTCACTCAGACTCCAAACCTCAGCATCGTGCAGTATATCTCTGTAACAAACCTGCACATATACCCCAATTTTAAAATAAAAGTTGAAAAAACAAGATTGCAATGAAGGGCCTCCAGTGCTTCAAGAAGAATATAGTATCTAGTGCCCATCAGGTTCAATGGCACAATTCATTTACACAGAGAACACTGAAAATCTCAACTCTTCCCCCTACACTTGGCTGTCTGGAGTAATGTCACAGATCCTCTTCACTGATAGCCCTGCAGGCAAAGGGCTAGCCTCAGCATTTACTATACGAAAGCTGAATGACAAAATCTCCTAAATTAAGGTCCCTGTTGGTCAACTTCTAGGAGTAACAGAAGCTATAATAATCAACAATAAAAAGATTGCTGTACTGAGAGTTTACGTATCCTTAAGCCATGGAATAGAAGAATTCCCTTTTCACTACTATATCAACTAAGAAATTCAGAGAAATGCAGTATACCATAATCATGTAATACATTCAGACTTTACCTACAAATCCAATGATTGCCTCTTAAGAATCCCAATTTAGTTCACTCCAAAAACAAAACTCCCACCTGTCAGATAGGATAATCATATCTGCCCAGCCTTATTGCACAAGGTTGTGGTAAAACTAAAACAAGGATTCTTTTTTTTTCTTTGAGACAGAGTTTTACTTTTGTTGCCCAGGTTGGAGTGCAATGCCATGATCTCGGCTCACTGCAACCTCCGCCTCCCAGGTTCAAGTGATTTTCCTGACTAAGCCTCCTGAGTAGCTGGGACTGCCGGCATGCACCACCACGCCTGACTAATTTTTGTATTTTTGGTAGAGACAGGCAGGGTTTCTCCATGTTAGCCAGGCTGGTCTCGAACTCCTGAACTCAGGTGATCCACCTGCCTTGGCCTCCCAAAGTGCTGGGATTACAGGCACGAGCCACCTCACCCGGCTAAAATAAGGATTCTAAAAGCTGCAAAGTGCAAAAGAAAAAAATATAAATGGCATCATCACCAGGAATAGGCTTCTGTGAATGCCACTTGCATTTCAAACTGTTCTGGGAAGCCATTTATTTTTTCATTACCAAAGTGGGCACAGGTGGAGTACAAAAAGAGGATAAGTAAAGTTTACCGGGAATAAACTGTCTGCCAGGCATTGTACTAGATCCCTTAAGTACATTATTTCATTTAAGCATTACCTTCTTGTCAAAGAATTATTAGTACTTTTGCCTTAACAAGAGAGTACACTCAAGTTCAGTGAAGTTATAGTGCCTAAATGACAATGGCAGAAATAATACTCAAATGTGTTTGTCTCCACAAATCCACAGACTCAAGTAGTTTACACTCTATTTCAAGGAGATAAACTACTAACAAATAGTAACTACAAGAAAAAATTTAACAATGTACTAAATTGCATTAGACAACAGCTACTATAAGTTTAGGTAAATTTTCAAATATTTAGAAAAGCTCAGTCACAGACTTTAATTTTATTGTAGCACTTGTTACTATATGTATAACAAACTAACAAGCTGCATCTGTATAACATTCTCTGTATAACAAACTAACAAGCTTTGTTAGTTAGCTTTGTCAGTCTAACAATTCATTGTTTGGCAATGAATTGCGGAACAAGCTCTTCCCCAATTCATTCACCTGTATAATAAACTAGTAAGGTAAATAAGACCCAGAGAGGGTCAGGCAAGGTGGCTCATGTGTATAATCCCACCACTTTGGGAGGCCAAGGTGGGAGGACTGCTTGAGACCAGGAGTTCAAGACCAGCCTGGTCAACATAACTAGACCCCATCTCTATTTTTATGAAAAACTGGAAAATAAAAAAAATTTAACTTAATTAAAAAAAACTCATGGATAGGAAGAATCAATATCAATACCAATGACTTTCTTCACAGAATTGGAAAAAACTACTTTAAAGTTCATATGGAACCAAAAAAGAGCCCGCATTGCCAAGTCAATCCTAAGCCAAAAGAACAAAGCTGGAGGCATCATGCTACCTGACTTCAAACTATACTACAAGGCAACAGTAACCAAAACGGCATGGTACTGGTACCAAAACAGAGATATAGACCAATGGAACAGAACAGAGCCCTCAGAAATAATAACACACATCTACAACTATCTGATCTTTGACAAACCTGACAAAAACAAGAAATGGGGAAAGGATTCCCTATTTAATAAATGGTGCTGGGAAAACTGGCTAGCCATATATAGAAAGCTGAAACTGGATCTCTTCCTTACACCTTACACAAAAATTAATTCAAGGTGGAGTAAAGACTTAAATGTTAGACCTAAAACCATAAAAACCCTAGAAGAAAACCTAGGCAATACCATTCAGGACATAGGCATGGGCAAGGACTTCATGTCTAAAACACCAAAAGCCATAGCAACAAAAGCCAAAATTGACAAATGGGATCTAATTAAACTAAAGAGCTGCACAGCAAAAGAAACTACCATCAGAGTGAACAGGCAACCTACAGAATGGAAGAAAATTTTTGCAATCTACTCCTCTGACAAAGGGCTAATATCCAGAATCTACAAAGAACTCAAACAAATTTACAAGAAAAAAACAAACAACCCCATCAACAAGTGGGTGAAGGATATGAACAGACACTTCTCAGAAGAAGACATTTATGCAGCCAACAGACACATGAAAAAATGCTCATCATCACTGGCCATCAGAGAAATGCAAATCAAAACCACAATGAGATACCATCTCACGCCAGTTAGAATGGTGATCATTAAAAAGTCAGGAAACAACAGGTGCTGGAGAGGATGTGGAGAAGAGGAACACTTTTACACTGTTGGTGGGACTGTAAACTAGTTCAACCATTGTGGAAGACAGTGTGGCAATTCCTCAGGGATCTAGAACTAGAAATACCATTTGACCCAGCCATCCCATTACTGGGTATATACCCAGAGGATTATAAATCATGCTGCTCTAAAGACACATGCACACGTATGTTTACTGTGGCACTATTCACAATAGCAAAGACTTGGAACCAACCCAAATGTCCAACAATGATAGACTGGATTAAGAAAATGTGGCACATATACACCATGGAATAGTAGCCAGCCATAAAAAAGGATAAGTTCATGCCCTTTGTAGGGACATGGATGAAGCTGGAAACCATCATTCTCAGCAAACTATCACAAGGACAAAAAACCAAACACTGCACGTTCTCACTCTTGGTGGGAATTGAACAATGAAAACACTTGGACACAGAAGAGGAACATCACACATCAGGGCCTGTTGTGGGGTGGGGGGAGGGGGGAGGGGGGAGGGATAGCATTAGGAGATATACCTAATGTAAATGACGAGTTAATGGGTGCAGCACACCAACATGGCACATGTATACATATGTAACAAACCTGCACGTTGTGCACATGTACCCTAGAACTTAAAGTATAATAAAATAAAAATAAACAGACCCAGGGAGGTTAAATAAATTACACGTTGATGAGTAGTTAGTAAGCAACAAAGATGGGAGTCAAAACTAGATATTCTGACTATCTAGAATAGTGTTACATTAAAATGGCACTTTAAAAGTTAAACATGGAGTTACTTCACTCATTAAGAAATGGGAAGCCAAAATGGTTTAGGGGCACAGGAATGACTACACAAACTAAATAAAGAAATCGCACCCAAGAGGTTATTATATTCATTAAAGTAATGGCCATGGAGAAGATAACGTACATCAAAAGAAGGATCAACAGGACTGGATAACTGATCATAAGGAAAAATGAATTAACTTCAACATTTCAAACTTGAATGACTAGAAGAACAGTAGTGGTAGTGACAGACACTGGTAAACTGAAACTCGTTTGGAGGGTGCAGGGAGTAACCAAGTTCAGAAATCATGAATCTGATGTGATAGTAAACCTCTATCTAGTATGTAAGAAAAATATGGCATGAAAATATGAGTATAAACCTGTAGCGATTACAGAGATGTGGGAGTAACTGACTTCTATGTAAGTAATAACAAACTAAGTTAAAAGCATTTGTTGTAAAAATACCAGTGAGTTTTTCAAAAATAAAATTTAACTGATACCTCTCCCTCTTCTCCTTTCCTACCTGAACAGTTCAATAGGTGAGTACAGGCAAAGGAGGCATCAAGCTAAGTGGCAGAGAGTTGACTACAGTGGCCCAAAACAGGCTTTTGGAGTCCAAGTAGTAGGAAAAGGGTATTCCCGAGAGGGAAAAGGACAGGGCACAGAGTTTCAGGGACTAAGCAGAGTGATAGGAAAAAATCTGCTGGGAGGGGGACCCAGCATGAGGTGACAGAGCCCTAATGGAACAAGGAAGGCTACCACGTAGGAACTGTAACAGCAGTGAGCAGAATGATGAGGATGTCCACATCCACACAGGGCAGTGGAGGGTGGGGGGATGGCAGTGAGGGTTGCCCATGTCGGCAGAAGAAGGCATGCATTAAGAGAGGGAGAGGCAGTGGTCCAGCAGTGAGTTTCAGACCCAGTGGAGTGAGGAGGGTGGAAGGGGCAGCCAAGTGCAAGCTGTCGGATCCCAAAAGGGTGAGGGAGGCATGCATATGAAGTATGGGGTGAGAAATGGAGCGAGAGATATGTCAGCAACAGGAGATGGATTATACAGGAAGATTGATCAAATAAAGGTGGCAGATCAAATACAAAGGATAATAAGAGCTAGGTTTCTCATAATCAGAAAAACAAGTTACAAGTATAGAAAGAAAGAAAACTAGAATGAATATTACATTGCTGAACTAGAATTGAGGATGTTGTTGTAAGCTGAAATCTTACAATGTATTACACCGAGAAATTCCTAGGTAAATAATATATTCATGATATATATATATATATGTACACATATACCCACAGACACACACAGACTGACTACCAACTGAGAGGGCCTAGGAGCAACCTAATAGCAACAAACACATTTAATGATTCAAAATATCACTCTCCACTAAAAGGAACCAGAGCTCCTTAGAACAATGCGAGGGCTTGGACAGGAAAGTTTAAGAGGAGCTTGGAATATCTTCTTGAGGTGCTCAATGAATGACAGAGACATGTCAAAATAATACAGGGGCCAGAGTGAAAGACTGAGGCAGGCTACATTTGAGAAAATTAGAATATCAAACTAAATAATGATAATAATGGATAACGGTAGCAGGCAAACTCTAACATGCCCCCCGATGTTTCCCACCGCTTGGTATGCATGCCCTTGGTAAAGGTGATGTGATGCCATTTTCCTAATTAGGTTAAGACTGCAACTTCCATCTTGCTAACAGACTCTATTGCCTTCTTGGTTTGCACGCTTTGATGAAACAAGCAGTCATACTGTAGATGTCCCCATGGCACAGACCTGGCGGTGACCCAGTCAACAAACAACTAAGAATTGAGGCTCAGTCCAACAGCCCTTGAAGAAAAGAATTCCACCACCACCAACAACAATAAGCTTGGAAGTGGCTTTTTCTCGAAATAAAACCTTCAAATGAGACCTCAGCCCTAGACACCACCTTGATTATGGCCTTGTGAGAGAGATTCTAAAGCAGAAGGCCCAGGTCAGCTGTGCCCAGACTCCTGATTGAAAGAAACTGTGAGGTACTGGCCAGACGAAGTGGTTCACACCTGTAATCCCAGCACTTTGGGAGGCCGACGTGGGTGGATCGCCTGAGGTCAGGAGTTCGAGACCAGCCTGGTCAACATGGTGAAACCCTGTCTCTACTAAAAATATAAAAATTAGCCAGGCATGGTGGTGTGTGCCTATAATTCCAGCTACTCCAGAGGCTGAGGCAGGAGAATTGCCAGAACCTGGGAGGCAGAGGTTGCAGTGAGCCAAGATCGTGCCACTGCACTCCAGCCTGGGTGACAGAGCGAGACTCTGTATCAAAAAAAAAAAAAAGAAAGAAAGAAAGAAAAGAAACTGTGAGATGTTACATGTATGCTAGGTTACAGATATGTTAATTAGCTTGATTGAGACAAGCATTTTACAATGAATATGTATATGAAAACAACATGTTGTACACCTTAAATGTAATTTTTGTTTGCCAGGAGGGCGGGTCAGGGGAGAGCATTAGGGAAAAGAGCTGATGCATGCTGGGCTTGATACCTAGGTGATGGGTTGATAGGTGCAACAAAACACCATGGCATGTTTACCTACGTACCAAACCTGCACATCCTGCACATGTACCCCAGAATAAAAAAATAATAATAATAATAATTTTTGTTTGCCAATTATACAGCAATACAGCCAGGGAGAAAAAATATAAACATATATATGTTTGGCAAAAAAAAAGCAGATGTGAGAAAATTCTAGAAGAGGTCTAAACTATTGCCAAGGTATATCATGCTGTCATTTTGGGAGGTGGCACTCTGAAATACTGGAGCTCATAAAAATTTATTGAAAATAAGTATTAAGTATTCATTTTTCTATATATTTTTGAAAAATTTAATATTGTAATAACTATTCGCCATTTAAAGTTTAAATACAACTCACTTGTAAATCACCCCCCCAAAAAAATATAAATGTCTGTGTTTTTGTTTTTTTTTGAGACAGAGTCTTGCTCTGTCACCCAGGCTGGAGTGCAGTGGCACAATATTGGCTCACTGCAACCTCCGCCTCTCAGGTTCAAGCGATTCTCCTGCCTCAGCCTCCTGAGTAGCTGGGACTACAGGCACCCGCCACCACACCCAGCTAATTTTTTGTATTTTTAGTAGAGATGGAGTTTCACCATATTGGCCAGGCTGGTCTTGAACTCCTGGCCTCAAATGACCCACCTGCCTCGGCCTCTCAAAGTGCTGGGATTACTGGTGTGAGCCACTGTGCCCAGCCTAAATGTATGTGTTATTATAAGCCACTCAATTTGAGGTAATTTGTTATGTAATAATAGATAACTAATAAAATAAGCCACTGAATAAAGTTGAAATCTATGACTCCATTAATGACATAAAAAATAAACTGGGGACAAGTGTGGTGGGTCACACCTGTAACCCAGCAGATTGCCTGAGGCCAAGAATTAGAGACCAGTCAGAGCAACATTTTGAGATCCTGCCTCTACAAAAAGAATTAACAGGAAAAAAAGAAGCCATGGTGACACGCATCTGTAGTTCCAGCTACTTGGGAGACTGAGCAGGAAGATCACTTGAGCCCAGGAGTTACAATGAGGATCACGCCACTGCACTCCACCCTGAGTGAAAGAACAAGACCCTATCTCTAAAATGAAATAAAATAAAATGAAACAAAATATAAACTGTAAGTTTGATAAGGAGGAGGATACTTAAATAGTCTCAAAATACCTCCCCACAAAATACTACTTCGTTTTAATTGGAAAAATATAAAGTTAATTCTATAGTGGGAAAAAAACCCTGATATCTTAATCAAGTAATCAACATTAATATCACTAATATTGGAAGAAATTCACATTATGTGTCACCTGATACTATTCAATAAAAACACAACATCACCTCTGTGATATTCCTGTCGAAGATACCTAATTTGGATCTAATCATGAGAATACATCAGAAAAACCCAATTTGAAAAATGTTCTGCAAGATACTGGCGTGTAATCCTCAAAAATGTCAATGTTATGAAAGCCAAGGAAAGACTGAAGAACTGTTCCAGAGTAAACGAGACTAAAGAGGTATGACTACTAAATGTATCATGTGATCCTGAACTAGATATTTATTCTATTATATAAAGGACATTGACTGAGATTACTAGAGAAACTTGAATGGGATCTGTGGATTAGATGACAAAATAATATGCCAATAATAATTTCCTTAATTCTGATGGTTGTTATTGGGTTATATGGGAGAATGTTCTGGTTTGCAGGAAATACACAGAGAATTCAGAGGTGATGGGACATCATGTCAGAACCTTATTCTCAAGTGGTTTATGAAAAAAAAACAATTTGCATTTTACTTACAACTCTTCTGTAGTTTGAGAATGTTTAAAAATAAAACATGGAATATAAATTAATAAAAATACATACTGGGATTTTGCTTTTGGTCATAATGTAGTAATTATTATCAGACTAAATTTCATGCAGAAAATTATAGAAGCTAAATAAAATATAGAAAATGGAAGCCATGAGAGAGAGAACAACTAATACAGCCAAAACTTTAGGGGCAAAGATCCTAGGCAGAAGGGAAATGCATTACGGTTAACCTGATATTCTGGGTATAATTTTTCCCCTACGGCATTTCCTGACTCCTAAATTTTACACGCAGAGAGTAAGATGCTGAAAAACTAAGTCTGAAGTGTATTTCAGCAGTCTCATGATGCTGTGGAGCCAAAGACTGGAGTATAGGGTGCATATAGGACAAGGTACCCTGGTAAAAAACAACAACAACAATAACAACAACAACAACTCAGGCTTTCAATTGACACCATGGAAGAGTCACATGAACCAGAACAATGAAGGGCACCAAAAACAGAGATGCCTCAACTGAACCAAAGGGATATGTCTGTGAAAAGAATATTCAACACCCTGTGAAGAATGATTTCAGAGTCTCTAACATTTTCATTAAAAAATATCTAGCTCTCAATGAATAATTACGAAGCATTCAAAGCAAAGGGATCAAATGGCCAAATTAAAAAACAAACAAAAACCAGGGGAAAAGGCAAACAATAAAGTAGACAGATTCAAATGGCCATCAACAGATGGGTAGATAACTAAAATCTAGTATATGCATACAATGGAATATTATTCAGCCTAATAAAGGATGGAAAATCTGACACATGCTGCAACATGGATGAACCTTGAGGACATTATGCTGAGTGAAATAAGCCAGTCACAAAAAGACAAATACAGTCATGTGACACTTAACAAAGGGGATACATTCTGAGAAATGCATCACTAGGTGATTTCTCGGCTGTGTGATCACAGTGTACTTACACAAATCTAGAAGGTACTACCACACGCCTAGACTATAGGTAGAGCATATTGCTCCTGTGCTACAAGCAGGGACAGCATGTTACTGTACCGAATACTGTAGGCAACTGCAATATAGTGGAAAGTATTTGTGTATCTAAACAGAAAAAGTACAGTAAAAATACAGTATAAAAGATTAAAAGGGCCAGGCGCAGTGGCTCATGCCTGTAATCCCAGCACTTTGGGAGGCTGAGGCGGGCAGATCGCCTGAGGTCAGGAGTCCCAGACCAGCCTGGCCAACATGATGAAACCCTGTCTCTACTAAAAATACAAAATTAGCCAGGCATGGTGGCGCATGCCTGTAATCCCAGCTACTCAGAAGGTTGAGGCAGGAGAATCGCTTGAACTCAGGAGGCAGAGGTTGCAGTGAGCCGAGATCACGCCATTGCACTCCAGCATGGGCAACAAGAGTGAAACTCTGTCTCAAAATAACATAACATAACATAACATAACATAACATAACATAACATAACATAACATAACATAACATAACATAAAATAAAATAAAATAAAATAAAATAAAAGTGGTGGCTGGGTGTGGTGGCTTTGGGAGGCTGAGGTGGGCAGATCCCTTGAGTCCAGGAGTTCAAGACCAGCCTGGGCAACATGGTGAAACCCCATCTCTACAAAAAATACTTAAATTAGCCAGGCATGGTGGCACATGCCTGTAGTCCCAGCTACTCGGGAGACTGCAGCAGGAGGATCATTTCAGCCTGGAATGTGGAGGCTGAAGTAAGCCGAGATCTCACCACTGCACTCCAGCCCAGGCAACAGAAGACCTTGTCTCAAAAAAAAAGACAAAAAGATAAAAAATGGTACACCTATATAGGGCACTTAACCATGAATGGAGGTTGCAGGATTGCAAGTTGCTCTGGGTGAGTTACTGAATGAGTGGTCAATAAACGTGAAGGTCTAGGACATTATTGTACACTACTATAGACTTTATAATGGTTAAGATGGCCAATAAACTCTGTGCACTTAGGCTAGACTAAATTTATTAAAACATACTTTTGTCTCTTTAGTAATAAACTTAGCTTACTGTGACTTTTTCACTTTATAAATTTTTTTAGTTTTTAAAAACTTTTTGACTCTTTTGTAATAACATTTAGCTCAAAACACAAACATATTGTACAGCAGTACAAAAATATTTTTCCTTACATCTTTATAAGTTGTTTCCTATTTAAAAAATATATATTATATATATTATTTAAACATCTTTGTTGAAAACCAACACATGAACACACACATTACATTAGCCTAGGCCCACAGAGAGCAAGGATCATCAATATCACTGTCTTCTACCTTCATAGCTTATGGCACTGGAAGGTCTTTGGGAGCAATTAACATCTATGGACCTGTCATCTCCTATGACATCAATGCCTTTTTCTGGAATACCTCCTGAAGGACCTGCCTAACGCTGTTTTACAGTTAATTTTTTTTAATAAGTAGAAGTAGCCCACTCTAAAATAACAATAAAAAATACTGTACAGTAAGTACATAAACCAGTAACATAGTTGTTTATTATCAAGTATTATGTACTGTACATAATAGTATGTACTACACTTTTTTATGACTAGCAGTGCAGCAGGTTCATTTACACCAGTATCAACACAAACACCTGAATAATGCCTTGCATTATATGACGTTACATTGGCTACAATGTCACTAGGTGATAGGAATTTTTCAGCTCCATTATAATCTCAAGGGACCACCATCGTGTACACAGTCCATCACTGACTGAAATGTCATTATACAGTGCATGCCTGTACTGTATAAATCCACTTATATGAGTTACCTAGAGTAGTCAAATTCAGAAAGTAGGATGGTGGTTGCCAGGAGCTGAGAGGTGATGGGTAATGGGGAGTTGTTATTTAATGAGTATAGAATTTCAGTTTTGCAAGAGGAAAAAGTTCTGAAGACTGGTTGCACAATGATGTGAATGTGCTAAAACTACTGAATTGTACACTTAAAAATGGTTAAGATGGTCAATTTTATGGTATGTACATATTAACACAGTTAAAAACAACAGCCCCCAATGTGATAAGTAATCACAGACTTTAAAATAACCATATTTAAGATATTCAACAAAACAGATTAAAAAGTTACACCAGAAAATTGGAATCTAAAATTTAAAATATATAACATGAAAATCCTGTATATAAAAAAACACGAAAGTTGAAATTAAGAATTCATTAGATTGGTTTAAGAGAAGATTAGAAACAAAGCAAGGTCACAATCTAACATTTTATCCTTTGTACTTTCAATTTTGTGAAATATCTCAAGGTCTTTTAATATAAAGTTTTTTTTTCCTTTAATGTAAAGATTTCCTCTGGGACATCTTCATCTTTTGCATCAAAACCACTTCCCTCAGGCTGGGTGCAGTGGCTCACACCTGTAATCCCAGTACTTTGGGAGGCCAAGGCGGGTGGATCACCTGAGGCCAGGTGTTTGAGACCAGCCTGGCCAAGATGGTGAAACCCCATCTCTACTAAAAATACAAAAATTAGCCAGGCGTGGTGGCAGGTGCCTGTAGTCCCAGCTACTCGGGAGGCTGAGCCAGGAGAATGGTGTAAACCCTGGAGGCGGAGCCTGCAGTGAGCCGAGATTGCACCACTGCACTCCAGCCTGGGCAACAGAGCGAGACTCTGTCAAAAAAACAAAACAAAACAAAAATTAGCCAGGCGTGGTGGTGGGCACCTATAATCCCAGCTACTCAGGAGGCTGAGGCAGGAGAATTGCCTGAACACAGGAGGCAGAGGTTGCAGTGAGAGGCAGAGGTTGCAGTGAGCCGAGATTGCACCACTGCACTCTAGCCTGGGCGACAGAGCAAGACTCCATCTCAAAAACAAACCCAAAACAAACAAACAAAAAAACCACTTCCCTCATTTATGTTAATAAGTTCACCTTCAATAAGTTCCTCTGGCTGCATATCTAGAGTCTATCAAATGGTGACAGTGTCAATTTTCCTATGGTCAACTATTTCTTCTATAACTTCATTTACATTTCTCTCAAATTTCAATGAAAGGGTTATCATTTTTTGTTACTTTGTTTCATATCTGTTGGCCAATTTCCACTTTTGATTATCTATTTCTATAAAATATCATGTGGGCTTAACATTGGGAAAGACAATACAACTAGACACTTTATTGTCTGTATATAAACTTAATCGCCAACAGACCTTGAAGTAAATAGACTAGTGTGTATCTGTTTTTCACATAGTCATGTGTGGACTGGAGTACTAGCAATGAAGTTTGTACTTTACATAGTTACTCATAGTTAATATACTATGGTAACTGAAATTGGAACCATGGTATTGGGTGACTAGTGTCACTTAACTAAATTGTGCTAACTGAAATTTATGCACATTAGAAATATGTAATATGAGGACTTCTAGTACATTAAGTTTAAATAAAATTAAACTCTAAAGTAAAAACAAGCACTAGACTTTAGATTCTACCATAAGGCAATAATTGGTATCAAACTTATCTTCCTACCATCAAGAAACTGAACAAAATATGTGAAACATATATTTCAAGACACTGAACAACAAACAATGCCAGAATGTAATCCCTGAATGACGGGAAACAAATAAGGTGACCCTTAAAATTATCCTAGTCTTCTACCCGAAGGTACTGTCCAGGCTGCTGCACAAGAAAGGGGAACTCAAACAGAGTACAATGGGACCACTTACTTGAGGAAACAAAATACATGAAGGCTAAAAAGAATTAGTGAGGCAGAATACTGAAGAATGAATTATGTAGAAAAAGGTTCCAAATACCTGAATAGGACACCCCTGACTCAGTTCCTGAATACTAAGTCCTGTATACATACAGTGAAATTCCACAACACTAGGCAAAAAACTACAACAGAACTATAAGCTCAGCAACTAGAAACTACACAGACCTGGGGCACATTTCTGTTCTGACTGGTCAGATTTCAGAAGCCTAATGAATACTTATGACATTCACTAGGAGCCTTAGAAAGCTCACATCTCAGTTGCTGGGATGAACTACACTAGAATAAAAGCTACACTAAAACTATCAGAATAAAGCTTAAAATCAGCCACAAGAGCATCAAGTTGATCTGCAAAAAACTTAAGAGCACCAAAATAAACTCAACATCCTTTTAAAAAGATTTTTAAAATACAAATATTCAAAAATGTAATATCACAATGTCTACAACTAAATCTAAAATTACAAGACAAGAGGCACAAAATATGATTCATAACTAGGAGGACTATCAGTCAATGGAAGCAGACCCAGAAAAAAACTGACAATGAAATTAGCAGACCTAAAAATTAAAACAGCTATAATAACATGAACATAGTGATGTAGGGTATAAAAAAAGAATGAAATAAAAAGTTCCAGAATGAAAAATACAATGTTTGAAATGATAATTTCATGAAATAGGACTAGCAGCACATTTAAACTCTGTAGAAGATCAGTGAACCCGAGGAAGCAAAAATAAAGCACTAAGAGAAAAAAGACTAAGGAAACAAACTGAACAAAGCTTCAGTGACCTATAGGAAATTGTAAGTGGTCTAACACATGCATATCTGGTGTCTCAAAAGAAAATTAGAGAACAGGGATGGGCAGAAGCAGAAAATATATTTGGAAAATGCATATTTCCAAATATATCTGAAGAATGATAATAGACCAACCCATACAAAACTATAAAAAGTGCCAGAAATGGCCAGGTGCAGTGGCTCATGCCTGTAATCCCAGCACTTTGGGAGGCCGAGGCAGGTAGATTTCTTGAGGTCAGGAGTTCGAGACCAGCCTGGCCAACATGGTGAAATCCCATCTCTACTGAAAAAACAAAATAGCCAGGCGTAGGGGCCTGCACCTGTAATGCCAGCTACTCAGGAGGCTGAAGCAGGAGAACTGCTTGAACCCAGGAGGCAGAGGTTGCAGTGAGCTGAGATTGCCCCAGTGCACTTTAGCCTGGGCGACAGAGTGACACTGTCTCAAAAAAAAAAAAAAAAAAAGTGCCAGAAATACAAATGTCAATATTTTTAAAATTGTTTCATTTAAAATTTTTTTAAAAAGTAAGCAATTTAAGCAAAAATAATAAGTTACAGTGTTCATAATATACATGAAAACAAAACGTATGACAATAATAACACAAAGGATAGGAATGTAGAAAACTGAAAATACAGTATATGTGAAGTGAAATATTTCCAGGCTGTGTTAAGTTAAAGATGCATATTGTTTTGTAAATCATATCTCTAAGAACAGTTGACTATCCAGAATATACTTTTACAACTCAAAAAAATAAAAAAAGACAACTCAATTAAAAAATGGGCAAAATAACTGAAAAGATATTACTCTCAACAGCACATTAAAAGGGTACTCTTCCTTTTTTTTGTCCAAGACAGAGTCTTGCTCTGTCACCCAGGTTGGAGTGCAGTGGCATGATCTCGGCTCACTGCAATCTCCGACTCCCAGATTCAAGCAATTCTCCTGCCTCAGCCTCCAAGCAGCTGGGATTACAGGCACGCATCATCGTGCCTGGCTAATATTTGTATTTTTAGTAGAGACGGGGTTTCACCATGTTGGCCAGGCTGGTCTCCAACTCCTGACCTCATGATCCGCCCACCTTGGCCTCCAAAAGTGCTGGAATTACAGGTGTGAGCCACCCTGCGCAGCCAGGGTACTCTTCTTGACATCAGCGGTCATTGGGAAAATGAAAATCAAAACCACGATAATGTACCCTTCACACCCACTAGTATGGTAAGTTTAAAAAAAGAACTAAAGAAAGCTAAAAAGCAGCCATCCAGATATATTAGGAGAGAAGCATACCAGGAAATCCAGATGTACTAGAAGAAGCTTTATCAGTAAACTCCTGTCCAGTCTCAAAAGCTTTTGACGTTACAATTAAAACAAGAAAACCCACAACAGAAAATAACAAGTGCTGACAAGGATGTGGAGAAACTGGAACCTTCATACATTGCTGGTGGGAATATAAAATAGTTCAGTAACCACGGGAAACAATTTGGCAGTGTCTCAAAAAATAAAACACAGAACTACCATAGCAATTTTGGTATATACCTACTTCTAGGTATATATCCAAAGAATTAAAAACAGGTAAACAAATACATGTATACACATGTTCATAGTAGCATTATTCAAAATTGGCAAAAGGTTGAAAACAGCCCAAAAATACTTATCAACGAATAAACAGATAAACAAATTCTGGTAACTCACGCACTGCACAATGACATTTTTAGTCAACAATGAACTGCATATACCATGGTGGTCCCACAGATGATAATACCAACATTTTAACTACATCTTTTCTATGTCTAAGTATGTTTAGATACACAAATACTCCCTATTGTGTAACAACTGCCTACAATATTCAGTACAGTAACATGCTGTCCAGGTAGCCTGGGAGCAACAAGCTATAACATATAGCCCAGGTATATAGTAGGCTATACTACCTAGGTTTGTGTAAGTACACTAGATGACGTTCACACAATGTTGAACTCACCTAATGGCACATTTCTCAGAATGTATCCCCATCAAGTGACACATGACTGTATGTACATACAATGGAATATTATTCAGCCATAAAAATAAACTACTAATAAATGCTATAACATGACTAAACCTCAAAAATATGGTAAGTGAAAGAAGTCATACACAAAAAGTCACATATTGTATGCTTCCATTTATATGAAATGTCCAGAATAGATAAATTCATATGGGCAGAATGCAGATTGGTGATTGCCAAGGGCTGAAGGAAGGGAATAGAAAGAAACTGCTTACTGGATAAAAGCTTTTACTTGGAATGATGTAAATGTCTTTCAACTACATAGAGGTAGTAGTTGCTAAACTACACAGAATTGTTCACTTTAAAATGGTTAATTTTATATTATGTGAACTTTACCTCAATGTTTTGTGTGGCTTTTTTTGTTTTTTGTTTTTGTTTTGAGATGGAGTTTTGCTCTTGTCGCCCAGGCTGGAGTGCAGTGGCACAATCTTGGTTCACTGCAACCTCCGTCTCCCCGGTTCAAGCGATTGCCCTGCCTCAGCCTCCCAAATAGCTGGGCTTTCATGCGCCCACCACCACGCCCAGCTAATTTTTTTGTATTTTTAGTAGAGTCAGGGTTTCACCGTGTTGGCTAGGCTGGTCTTGAACTCCTGACCTCAGATGATCCACCTGCCTCAGCCTCCCAAATGCTGGGATTACAGGGGTGGGCCACTGTGCCCGGCCAACCTCAATATTTTACCATGCAAATTGTCACCTCTAAAGCAATCATTAAAACAAAACAAAGGTACCTAGTAAGCCAATAGAAGGCATAAAATGGAATACTTAAATAGTAACAAAAAATAAATCCAAAAGAAAGCAGGAAAATTTTTTTAAAGGCAAAAAGGGCCAGGCCCAGTGACTCATAACTGTAATTCTAACACTTTGGGAGGCCCAGGTGGCAGATCGCTTGCGTCCATGAGTTGGAGACCAGCCTGGGCAACATGGCAAAACTCTGTCTCTGTAAAAAATACAAAAATTAGCCAGGCATAGTGGTGCATGCCTATAGTCCCAGCTACTCAGGAGGCTGAGATGAGAGGATCACTTGAGGCTGGGAGGGCAAGGCTGCAGTGAACAGAGATCACTCCACTGCATTTCAGCCTGGGTGACAGAGTGAGACCCTGTCTCAGAAAAAGAAAATAAATTTAAAAAAAAAGAAGAAAAAGAACAGATGGGAAAAAACAAATAAATAGCAAAATGATCAATTTAAATTTAACCATACTGATCACTACACTAAATGTATGGTCTAAACATACTCTCCAATACAATAACCACTAGTCACATACGGCTACTGAGCACTTGAATGGTGGCTAGTCCAAATTGAAATATGTTACAACTTTAAAATACCCATTGATTTTTAAAAACTTAATACAAAAAAGTGAAATATCTAATTCATAATTCTATATTAATTATATTTTGAAATAATGTTTAGGCCAGGCGCAGTGGCTCACGCCTGTAATCCCAGCACTTTGGGAGGCCGAGGTGGGCAGATCATGAGGTCAAGAGATCGAGGCCATCCTGGCCAACATGGTAAAACCCTGTCTCTACTAAAAATACAAAAAATTAGCTGGGCATGGTGGTACGCACCTGTAGTCCCAGCTTCTTGGGAGGCTGAGGCAGGAAAATTGCTTGAACCTGGGAGGTGGAGGTTGCAATGAGCCGAGATTGCGCCACTGCACTCCAGCCTGGCGACAGAACGAGACTGTCTCACAAAAAAAAAAAAAGAAAAAGAAAAAAATTAATGTTTAAACTACACTGTGTTAGGCTGGGCACAGTGGCTCAGGCCTGTCATCTTGCACTTTGGGAGGCCAAGGTGGGCGGATTGCCTGAGCTCGGGAGTTCAAGACCAGCTTGGGCAACATGGCAAAACCCCATCTCTACTAAAAATACAGAAATTAGCTGGGTGTAGTGGCGCATACCTGTAGTCCACGAGAATCACTTGAAGCCAGAGGCGGAGTTTGCAGTGAGCCAAGATCACGCCACTTCACTCCAGCCTGGGCAACAAAGCGAGACTGTTTCCAAAGAAATAAAAACAAAAATAAAAAATTACGGTGTGTTAAATAAAATACATTATGAAAATTTCAACTTTCTTTTCACTTTTTTGTAAGAGACATGGTCTCATTGTCAACCAGGATGGAGTGCAGTGGTATGATCACAGCTCCCTAGAACCTCAAACTCCTGAGCTCAAGAGATCCTCCTGCCTCAGCCTTCCAAGTAGATGGGACTACAGGTGTATACCACTACGCCTAATTTTTTTGGTACAGACAAGTTCTTGCTATATTACCCAGGCAGGTCTCATACTCCTGGCCTCAACTGATCCTCCCACCTCGGCCTCCTAAAACGCTGGGATTACAAGCATGAGCCACCTTGCCCAGCTTCATTTCACATTTTCAATGTGGCTACAAGAAAATTTAAAAGTATATACTTGGTTGGCATCTGTGGTAAATGTTTCTATTGGACAGTGCAAGTATAAACAAAGAAGGACAGATGATCAGGACAGATGATCAGGACAGATGATTAATTTAAAAACCGACACAATTATCTATTAATGTATACCAATAAATTAAAAGTAAAAAGCTTAAAGAAGCTGTATCATAAAAACAGTCATAAGAAAGCTGAGGCCGGGCACGGTGGCTCACGCCTGTAATCCCAGCACTTTGCGAGGCTGAGGTGGGTGGATCACCTGAGGTCAGGAGTTCAAGACCAGCCTGGCCAACATGGCAAAACCCTGTCTATATTAAAAACACAAAAATTAGCTAGCTGTGATGGCACGTGCCTGTAACTCCAGCTACTTGGGAGGCTGAGGCAGGAGAATCACTTGAACCCAGGAGGTGGAGGTGCAGTGAGCCAAGATCACACCACTGCACTCCAGCCTGGGTGAAAGAGTGAGACTCCGTCTCAAAAAAAAAAAAAAAAAAAAAAAAAAAAGAAACCTGAGATGGCTATGTTAACATGAAAGTTTACCTCGGAACAAAGAGTATAAGCAGTAGGCCGGGTGCAGTGGCTCACGCCTGTAATCCCAGCACTTTGGGAGGCTGAGGCGGGCGGATCACGAGGTCAGGAGATCAAGACCACGGTGAAACCCCGTCTCTACTAAAAATACAAAATGTTAGCCGGGCGTAGTGGCGGGCGCCTGTAGTCCCAGCTACTCGGGAGGCTGAGGCAGGAGAATGGCATGAACCCGGGAGGCGGAGCTTGCAGTGAGCTGAGATAGCGCCACTGCACTCCAGCCTGGGAGACAGAGCGAGACTCCATCTCAAAAAAAAAAAAAAGTATAAGCAGTAATAAAGAGGACTATTTCATAATTATAAAAAGGTTAATTCATCGAGAATAATCCTAAAAGTATATGTACCACTACTAACAATTTCAAAATAAGCAAAAAACTCAGAACTAAAGGGAAAATACACAAATCTACATAGTTTGAGAGCCTAACATAACTCTCTCAGCTATTGATAGAATAAGCAACAAAGAAGTGACAAGCACAGTAATAATAAACTTGATGTAATGATTTATCTAGAACACTTCACCCAACAACTGCAGTATACACACACATTCTTTTCAAGCACACTTGCTACACTTTACCAAAACAGACCTTAAGATGGGCCATGAAGGAAGTTCAAAGGACTGAACTTGCAGTGTATGTTGTTGACTAGCATAAATCAATATCAAAAGGATAATTAACTAGAAGGGGTTCTAGTTCCATGTAAGATGGAGTAAGTGCACTCCATCCTGTATTTCCCACTGAAGGCAACCACTAAGAAATGGACAGAACATATAGAACAACTATTTGAAGACTCAAAAAATTAAATACTAGCAGGTAATTGGAGAAGACTTTTACATAACACTGAACCAATAATGAATTTATCTTTTTATTATTCCTCCAGTATCCACCAGCCTGGACTGCTGCCTGAAACCCACAAGTGGGTATTGGTGTCAGTAAAGAGAGCTCCAGGAAAAGCCCTCTAGTTCTAGCTTAAGGAGTGCAGAAGGAGTATCGTAACACTCAGAGAGAATGGCAAAAATCTCCCATTTTTCTTTAAAGTTCTTGCTATTCTCTCAAAGCAATTCCATGAGGAAAGCCACAGCAGAAGCAGAGACCCAAAGAAGGCTAAAACTCTGAAGTAAGGAAACCTTCCTCTCTGATCAGAGGAGTTGTGATCCTAAAAGGGTGAGACAAAACCTCATTGCTTTTTTTTTTTCCTCTAGCCTCCCATTGCGTAGCCCCATATGCAGTAACAGATGCAGGATTAAATAAAGTCCTAGCTTTCTGGCTGGAGGACTGAAAAAGGCGGCCCCAGGGAACCAGATAGTACTGGGGAGATTGTACAGAGGGAGGAACTCAAGAAAATGGCCCCATAAAGTGGTTAATGAACTCCTATGTTCACCCCCAAGCTGCACATGGGTGGATATAACCCAAAACAGTAAGGCATAGACTTTTTTTTTTTTTTTTTTTTTAAGATGGATTCTAGCTCTGTTACCCAGGCTGGAGTGCAGTGGCACCATCTAGGCTCACTGCAAGCTCTGTCTCCTGGGTTCATCCCATTCTCCTGCCTCAGCCTCCTGAGTAGCTGGGACTACAGGCACCCGCCACCACGCCCGGCTAATTTTTTGTATTTTTAGTAGAGATGGAGTTTCACCATATTAGCCAGGATGGTCTCGATCTCCTGACCTCGTGATCCGCCCACCTCGGCCTCCCAAAGTGCTGGGATTACAGGCGTGAGCCACTGCACTCGGCCAGGCATAGACTTTGAGAACTGAACTACAAGATGGACTATCATCCAGATTCCACAATGGCCATCAAGTGGCACACGCATGGAATATATCTCAATAGAACTGCAAAGGCTTTCAAAATGTAACAGACATTGAAACCACAATCCTACAGAAATCTCAACTTGTAGACTGAAGCCAACTGGGTTGAATGCCTGACAAAAATATCAACATTTTCAATACAATTTAAACAAAACTGAGTTGCATAATATTAAAAAAGCCAAGGATATAACGCAAAAATTACTTGGTATACTAAAAAGGGGAAAACTTCAACTGGTATCAACAGATGCCAATACCAAGATGGCACAGACGGTGAAATTAACTTTAAAGGCAAAGACTGTAATATAGCTAGGATTGGCTGGGCGCGGTGGCTCACACCTGTAATCCCAGCACTTTGGGAGGCCGAGGAGGGCGGATCATAAGGTCAGGAGATTGAGACCCTCCTGGCTAACACGGTGAAACCCCGTCTCTACCAAAAATACAAAAAATTAGTCAGGCATGATGGCGGGCACCTGTAGTCCCAGCTACTCGAGAGGCTGAGGCAGGAGAATGGCGTGAACCCGGTAGGCGGAGCTTGCAGTGAGCTGAGATGCGCCACTGCACTCCAGCCTGGGTGACAGAGCGAGACTCTGTCTCAAAAAAAAAAAAAAAAAAATATATATATATATATATATATATATATACACACACACACATACACATAGATAGGATTAAAATGTTCCAATAACTAAAAACACTCTTGAAAGAAAGAGAGTACCAGCAAAGAAACAACAGATATAAAGAACTAAATGGGCCAGGTGCAGTAGCTCACACCTATAATCCCAGCACTTTGGGAAGCCAAGGCAGGAGGATTGCTTCAGCCCAGGAGTTCCAGACAAGCCTGAAAAACAGGGTAAGACCCTGTCTCTACAGAAAATTTCTTACAAAATTAGCCAAGCCTGGTGGCACATTCCTGTAGTCCCAGCTACTTGAGGGGCTGAGGTGGGAAGATCTCTTGAGCCTGAGAGGTCGAGGCTGCAGTGAGCCATGATCATGCTACTGCACTCTGGTTTGGGCAACAGAGCTAGACCTGTCTCAAAGTGGGGAAGTAAAAAAAGGGGGTCAGGGGAAGAACTAAATGGGAATGAGAAAACTGAAAATAAAATTTTTAAACTCACTGGATGGTCTCAACAGCAGAATGGAGATTACAGACCAATATCCCTTATGGCCATATAGGCAAAAATCCTCAACAAAATAATGGCAAATAAAATCCAGCAACACAGAAAAAGGAATATACACCATGACTAAGTAGGATTTATCTTAGGAATGCAAGGGCGGCTGCCTTGTGTCCTAAAGGTATTCCAATGCCTGGTTCCAAGTCCTTATGGGGCCTTACTGGCCATCTTTTTCCCTTTAGTTCCATGAGCTATCTCTGTACCCTTAAAATACTCTCCCTTCTTGCTTAAAGGGGGAATGAAGCAATCTGTTACTTGAAATGGAAAGTACTTGATGAAAACAGAAATACAATTTTAAAATGTGTATCGTCCCCAGAGAAGACACCTCAGGAAGCTACATTTATTCCAACAATGCCATCAATGCTTAGAAATTTTAATTTAAGTCTTTAAAAATGAAACTGGATTGACTTTACAAAAGCTAAATGAGTCCCTGCTTTTAAAGAGGTTATAATCTAGTAGAGAAAAAGAGATTTAAAGGTTTAGCCACCACACATTAACATTTATAAACATTAGAAAACACCAGATAAAACTGAGATTCAAATGTAAAATATTACTAGTCTGATATCATTATTGTTAGACCATATAAACTCACACTATTGTTATAACCTCTGGATGCTTAGCCCACTGTTGTACACACAGCAGTGTTCAAGGAATCCCTGGTGAAATGAACTGCTGAATTATCATGACAACTGAGAAGGCATGACATATCAGGTTGTGGAACAGACTTGTCCTCAAACCAATTGTATGACTTTGAGAAGTTCACTTAATTTCTATACACTTCACCTTCTTTGCTGGTAAAATGGATAGAATAAGATATTTCTAACTACCTTACAGCAATAAAATTCCACAATTCTGTAATTTAAGTCCATCTATAATACTTCTAATATAGAATTTTTAAGATAGGAATTATTTTCTCCACGAAACTTGGACTAAAGGGATGAGAATCCCTTTAAACAAGAAAGCGAAGAGGGGGAGCAGCTCCTAATGTTTATTTACAATTGTTAAAATTTGGGTGCCTTCTAAAATAAATTATATTCATTATTTATTAAGTAGGCAATTAGTCAAATACAACACTGATAAACTAGAATTTTGAACAAACAAATGCTTTAAAATTCTAATAACTATGCATAAGCAGTAAATTATTCTTACTTGAATTTCTACTGCTTTGTAGAGCAGGGTTACTAAGTATATAATTACATAAGAGAGTCACCCAACTTCCAAAGGAGCCATTCCAGTGAATTGTGTAAATAATATGCTTTAAAAAAACATAACCTCCTCACATATGAATTTAGATTTATCAGATATGAAGTAGCTGTGTACCTGTGAGACTAGCATACAGCCTTAAAAAGGCCTTCCTAATTATGAATTTACCAGAGAGACTAGAATGACCCAAAGCAAATTAATATAGACTTTTTTTCATAACTTCCTATAAAAACATTTTCACTATTCTGCTTCAGTACAGAAAACAACAGATCTTAAAAGTCACTGGCTTGAGGTAAGAACTCCAGAGCATAAGACAATAACCAAATTTTTCTAACATCAACATTCTGTTTTTCTTTTTTCCTTCTTTTTTTGCCCTGCTAAGCACTCTAGAAAGAAACATTGTTTTTCTTTTTCTTTTTTTTTTTTTTTTTGAGATGAGGTCTCGCTCTGTCACCCAGGCTGGAGTGCAGTGGCATAATCATAGCTCACTGCAGCCTCAAACTCCTGGCCTCAAGAGATCCTCCCGACTCAGCCTCAGAAAGTGCCAGGATTACACGTGTGAGCCACTGCAAGCAGCCTCTTTTTCTTAATTCACTCAATATTTGTATTTTATGTTTCTTTCATTTGTATCAGCATAATAAATTCTAAATATTTAGTCTATGGCTGCTTTTACTATAAGATTGTTGAATCTGAAAGAGTAAGATAAAAACAATTGTTTTTAATCCCATAAAATATTCAACATCAGAAGACAGCAGGGCATCACAACACTGCTTTGATGCTACATGTTTTCTATACCAAAAAAGCCACTTTTAATACCCACCTAAAAGAAATCAATCAACCATCTTAGTAAGCAAATTTATACATACAGCCAGGTGGTATCTTTATTCTCCCCTTGACAGAACAAAAAGTTAAGGATGTTCACTTACACTCTTTGCCACACTGTTAAAAATCACCTTATGCTAAGTAAAGAATTTCTGTATTTTTGAATGCTCATTCACGTGATAAGAGTAAAACTGCAATTTACCTCTGATTAGGTTTTACAAACTCAATCACCTATACCTGTACTTAAATACCCTTTAAATCATGCCACAACAAAATTACTTGGCTATTCTGAAACTTCATTGTATTAAATTCAAGTCAAATCTCATTGCAATAAGTTCGAAGGGACTGTCCAAATTCTTTTATTGCCATAGAATTTATTGTATTAAATATTATTTGAAATAACTACACTACCAGCTGAGGCCTGGGAATCATGGGGTTACACAATTTCTGATGATGTGAAGCTGGCCTATACACAAATTTCAAATGATTGCAGTGTTCGGTGGGAAGATTCAGCTTTTGATATTTCTGAAAGATGGAGGATAGTGGGGACGGAAAAAAGGAGGGAAAGAAAGGCAGAGGAAAATGAAAAAAGAAAAAGCTTGGTTATAACAAGAAGAGCAAATAGAAGTTGAAGTAGTCTTCCATTTTGATGAAAGGCATTTGCAACACTCTTTTCTTCCCCTAGATGGATTTACATGTTTGTTCATAGCAGTTGCTATGACTCAACAGAGGCTGGTATCATGTTAATAATCTACATATTAAGGCCAGGCTGGCCGTCATAGGAAAGATCAGAGCTCTTGCCCCTCACTTCCCAGGCAAAAACAGCCAAATAAGCCAGAGTAAAATCCTTTGACAGGGAGAGGAGGCAAACCCTTCTCATTGATAGGGAGAGGAGGCAAATCCTTAGCATTAGACTTATGGATCATCTTCCTCTACAGATGTGTTTGCTCTAACAATGAGTTCAAAAGGGAGCTATCTGGAGCTTTCTTCTTAAGGAGAGGGAAACTCCACTCATGAAAGGATCCCGATACTCAGCAGTATTTCAATGACTGCAAACCAAGTTTCCCAGCCCTCTTGGGTACTCCTTAATTTAACTTTTGTGTAGAAGTAGAGAAAAGAAAATTACTTGCTCATTAAGAAAGAGAATAGATGCCTACATAAATAAATGCAACCATATTACATCTGATTTCCCGCACATCACAGATCAGCACAAAGAAGAAACTCATTTTCAGCAGTGTATTTACTTTGCTATTTGCAAATCACTGACTGATTGGCAGCTACAATATATGAAATAAATAACAATTTCAAAGACCAAGTGTCATGTTCCCTGGTAAGTAACAAAAATGAACATTATCTACCCTCCCCATCCAGTTTATGGAATTTAGCAGGAGAATAGGTTATTGGCTATTTGATTGCCTGATACATTGTGAGGCCTTCTTTTGTGATGGTATGGTTATTACTGAGGTTAGACAAGAAATTCTCCTTTCTCTCAGGACATTAGTATTAAGAGTTACATATTCACAAGAAGGATCCAAAATGAGTATTTCTGAAGCAAGTGAGATATGACAAGAAATTGTGAAATGGGAATGATGAATATACCTAATTTTTTTTTCTTCCAGGAAAATAAAGTACCTGATCTTCCAATCCAATTTATCATAAGCCAAGATGTAAACTGGTAAATCTCAAATGCACAACCTGATGATATTGCCTACTTTAGACACCAATCTAAAAATCAGTGCATCAAATTTTAATGTAAAACATTTTAACAGATTTACAAACTTCTGCTTGCAAACTTCTGTTTGCAAATCTATTAAAATCTGTTAGCTTTAAAAACTTCTGTTAGGAGAAAGGGAGATTCACATCCTTGCATTGTGACATTCCAGTGGGGCAACAACAGCTAGGCACACGGAATATAGGTACTGACAGTCTTTCATTTTGAACTCCTTTACAAAATGTTAGCTAGCTTGTTAATGCAATCTTTGAACTGTTTGCTGGGTATCTGAACCATTTAATATCCTAAGTTGTATGACCTAAGTCATGAGTCATACATGACCTGCTACCATTAAATAACAGCAAAAGGGAATGAGCTTTTTAAAAATTCTAAAAAAAAAAAAAAAAAAAAAAAGGTGATTCTAGTTATAGTTCTCCCTTCTCCTCCTCCATCTTTTTCTTCTTTTTAAAAATAGGTTTCTGGATAGGCATGATGGCTCACGCCTGTAATCCCAGCACTTTGGGAGGCCGAGGTGGGTGGATCATTTGAGGTCAGGAATTCAAGACCAGCTTGGCCAACATGGTGAAACCCCATCTCTACTAAAAATACAAAAAAATTAGCCGGGGATGGTGGCGCATGCCTGTAGTCCCAGTTACTCAGGAGGCTGATGCAGGAGAATCGCTTGAGCCCAGGAGGCGGACGTTGCAGTGAGCCAAGATGGCACCACTGCATTCCAGTCTGGGCAACAGAGTGAGACTCTATCTCAAAAGAAAAAAAACAAAAAAGGTTTCTTCTCTATACCTACATGAAAGGCCAGATTTCGGTTAGCCAGGCAAAACCAGGCAATGTATACAGTGAAGAGGTTATTGATGAAGACCAACTTATGCTCAGGCAAAATCAACCTGGATTTTCATGAAAATATTCAACGGATTACTTTAAAACACTGTTCCTATGGTCAATATTATTTCTTATAACTGACGAGTTTACAACACAGTTTTCAACCACAACACAGGAACATCAAATATAAAATCCTCCACTAAAGGGCAAAGGATGATGGTATTAGTGTACGCAACTCACACTCAGATAATGTTCAACTATGTGCAATTAAATATGAATTAAAATAAGAAAATTTCAGCTGGGCGCAGTTGCTCATGCCTATAATCCCAGCACTTTGGGAGGTCAAGGCAGGCAGATCACGAGGTCAGGAGATTGAGAACATCCTGGCTAACACGATGAAACCCAGTCTCTACTAAAAAATACAAAACATTATCTGGGCACAGTGTCGGGCACCTGTAGTCCCAGCTACTCGGGAGGCTGAGGCAGGAGAATGGTGTGAACCCGGAAGGCAGAGCTTGCAGCGAGCTGAGATCGCGCCACTGTACTCCAGCGACAGAGCAAGAGTCCGTCTCAAAAAAACAAAAAAAGAAAAAAAGAAAAAAAGAAATTTTCAACACACATTTTTAGATAAAATACTTAATTTTATGGATATTTATAGCATGTGTCCGGTCTTACAGAACTCCACCTTCTTCCACCTTATTTGTAATATAAACTGCTCTTAAACCACTTAATACATCTTTACTAGAAGACTTATTTTACACAGTACCTACCAAGCAGCAGATCAATACTCTAATACAGAGATGCCAATGCCATTACCACAAAAACCTGTGCAAGCAGCCAGCTGCTGAACAAAGACCACGGTTTTCATCAGGTTTATTCCTAACATGTCTCCACTCCACTAGGATGAAATATCTTGCTGTGATGAGCAAGTGGAATTTGGGAAGGAAATAATGGCATTTTTAAAAACACTTAAGAAGCTTTGATTACAGAGAAAGTTTGAAAGATAGAGCTAAAATAAATTTATTCACACTTACAGGATGTTTATCATTTATCATCAAATCCATCTGTTCATAGGCAATCATAATGCTGCATGTGATGCCTTACCAATTGCCATGGTATTAGATATTTACATTACAATTCAACACTTAAGACTAAAATGATACAGTAACAGGGTATGAAAAAAATGAAAATTAAGCACTGGGTGAGAAATGGGGGAAAGAGGAAAGGAAAACACCCTATTTTTTAAAAGTCATTTTCAATAAATAAATTTCCTAACTTTGCTTTCTAAATTTGCTACCAAAAAAATCATTATTCACAAGCTTTTCATAGTTATTACATTTCTTTCCTCCATAGCACAATTATGATCTGAGGCAATAAAATTGAGTTGAAACACAATTAGAAAGGACAGAGATCTGTCTACACATGGTGGTACTAGCAACTTGTGGCACCAGAGGGATTTAACTTTTGTCAAAAACCAATTCTCCCTGTCTTTTCTTACACTATTTACTTTCAGTGGACTAAAGCTGCAATACATCCTTTCTAGGCTAGCTTTAATCATTTCCACAACTGTGGTTGCCATGACAACAGGATGCAGCTTATCTGGGCTGTTTTCATTTTCCCCATTTGAGTTGCCATAACAACACAATCACTCTGCCTTTCTGCAATATGTAACAACTTTATTTTAGGATTGTATTCTTAAGGATACTGGATTTCCCCACTAACAAAGTAAATAAGAGAATTTATATAAGAATTTTATTTCAATAACATAACACCCAACTTTAAAATCTTTTGGACAGGCTGGGCGCAGTGGCTCATGCCTGTAATCTCAGCACTTTGGGAGGCCGAGGCGAGTGGATCACCTGTGGTCAGGACTTTGAGACCAACCTGGCCAACATGGTGAAACCTCGTCTCTACTAAAAATACCAAAAATTAGCCAGGCGAGGTGGCAGATGCCTGTAATCCCAGTTACTTTGGAGGCTGAGGCAGGAGAATTGCTTGAATCCGGGAGGCGGAGGTTCCGGTGAGCCAAGATCATGCCACTGCACTCTAGCCTGGGTGACAGAGTGAGACTCTGTCTCAAAAAAAAAAAAAAAATCTTTTGGAGATAGAATTACTTTGATAGGGACTTTCATCATGTAAAAACAAACATCAACAAACCCTGACGAATATCTGCTGAAATCTAAAGACTGTCTACCGTTAGTAGTGACTGATGTTTCCACAGACTTTCACAAACAAGAGACAGCAATACCAACATGATTATGAGCTATGAGAAAGTGTCCATTAATACCTGTCCTAAGTAGATCAAAAATGAAAATAGTTCTATACCACATATTTTGCTGTCGTAATCCAACATTATTTGTTAAGAGTACCACAGAACAAGTGAGTAGTGGGCTTAATACTAGCTGAACTCCATTTAAAATCTTTACCTCGCTCGAGACCAGCCTGGGCAACACAGTGAGACCATGTCTCTACCAAAAAAAAAAAAAAAAAAATCTTCACCTCCCATTCAAGTTTTCGCATAGTGGCAGAATCTTGCAGAAATTCATAAAGTTCAACTACTTTTACAGTATAAAATGAGCATTTATAAAAACTCACATTCATTGACAAAAATTAAAGAAAAGCATTATTCTAATTGGCAGTATAAAAATTTTAAAATATTCTGGCTACTAGATCACCATATCCATTACTAGGTCCATCATGTTGGGAAATGAGAGCAAAGACAGTGTGTTTTTTTAAAGAACTCTATTGTTATGACTCTTTGTTGTACCAGTATTCGCTATAACAGAACTTTGTGTATGCAAAGGTTATCTTTAATAGCTTAAATCAATAAGTTCAGATCCCTTATAACTTTGATCAACTACAAAGATATATTAAAAACCTCTCCCTAGAGCTGGGAAAAGCTGAGGCAAAAAACAAAAATACAAAACCTTCTCCCATCATATAAAAAATACCTATGAATATATATATACATATTTGTCGCTTACAAACAAAACATGGAAATATTACTACTATTTAAGGAAAAAATATGCAAATATTACTAAATTTCCCATTAGTCCCCTACAGGCATGTAAAAGATTATTCATAATATGGTAGTATTTTTACAGGATAGAACTAATTTTCACATACTAATGTAACAAGATACATTTTAATTTTAATCACAGCTGAGATAATTTAATAAATTTTGTAGTATGCAATGAACTGAAAAATATAATTTATTAATCAAACCTGAGAACCAAAAATAAATCTAAGATCTTTCATAGCATGATCATTTTAAGTTCATTTTTTAAAGAAAAAAATCCACTGTTATTTCAAATTCTGAAATAACAATTTAACAATTTGTATTTTAGCCATTTTTATTAAGGAGAGGAAGGGTCTGTAAATGTTAAGAGCAAAATTAATTACTGGATCAAGGTCTTTTCTTTAGAATCTTTTCCACACTCAGGAAAATGAGGAACTCCTAGACAATAATAATGAAAATAAAGCAGCTGGAGCAAAAGGGAGGGTTACACTACTTACAGTCAAGGGAGGAAGAACAGCAGCACAGAGGGTGTTGGGAAAAAAGGGGGGCAAAGAGTCAGACAAAATAATTTCCTATCCTAGCCTGCCTGGCTAGACTCTCACACGAAAATTAAACCAACGGAATGGGTTGAAATAATATACAAAACCCCATCTCTCTCCAACCCTACCTTCTTCTTTCCTTAGAGTTTGCTGTATTGGTAGGAAACCTCAGGAAAATCCCTCTGTGTGAGGCCTCAACTCCCCAAGCAAATGCCACCTAGTGATAATGACTTCTACATTAGCTGAAGCCAGTAGATCCTAGGCTATACACAAGATGATACAATTTTGTTACAGTGCAATAACGTGAATTTAGGCGCTACTGCTGTTGGAATCATGTGAGACTGGATTTTTGTGATGCATGTTGACAGGATTGGTGAATTATCTGTGCATGCATGTCCTAGCATTCTTGGTAACTGCTATGACTCATTCAGAACACCTCAGACCTCATCTCAAGGGCTGTCCGCTATAAGCAGACATGCATTACATGTATGTGTAAGAAATCTGTGCTTTTGCTGCTACACCTGCTGGAACTCACTGGTCAAATTGCTATTCTTGCCCTAATCTGACAAGTCTAGCCATGTACTACTCTACAGGGAACTGCAGGCTACTGGGAAAGCCCTTATCACTCTTCTCAAGAGTGTTATACCCTGCCCCGACTGCTAAGAATTTTAACCCTTACTCTCTCTGAAATAGGGACTTCTTTATTTCTTCTCTGTTCCTAGATTAAGAGGCAGTTTGCTTTTGTTTTACTCATTACTAGTCAGTCTGTGACTATGTATTTTGTGGAGTAGGGAAGCGGAAGAAGGACCTGCTTTAAGCTTTACCTTTGAAACTAGACAACTGAGTCTTTAAATAGACAAAAATCCTTATTTAAGAAACAAACTAATATCCCCAGCAGAAACAAGGTGAAATCCACAAGCCAGGCAAGCAGGATGCTGCAAAAAGAATACTTTTTCAATGATTTTAAGCAACATCTACATGTCCCCCAACCTCCAAGATACAAAATAGTATTTTTATAAAGATTCATTATATTAGTCATCGGCAATTAGATCTAAAAATATCCCATTTCCAAAATTTATATTTGAAAATAATTGAGTTCGTACTCGAACCATTTCCAAATTGAAAGAATACATTATCATAAAAAATTAATTACCAGAGTCCCCTTCTTTCATAAAAAAATTCAACATGCCCTTAGTCATAGATCTCCACCTCTAGCTCCATAATATCTTCTAAATAGAATTGAGATGGAAATATCTCTTTTTAGCTAAACAATGTCTGCGTTCTATAAAATCTATCATTTAATTACTAAAAGCCCTGGAAGTCCTAGGTACAGACTCAATTATACACTCAGTTTTAGAGGGACATGCTCTACAGTCTACGAAGTCTGCATTACACTGGCTATGCTTGTTTGAAAGATTAGTTTTCTCATTCAACTGCTTTTCCACAATATATGAAATCTGGAGAGAAAATGAGAAAAGACAAAGAACTCAATTCTGCCACAATGCATTTTCATCCCTTGTGTGAGGCAAGGTGGTTTCCAAAGCAGGGTGTGCACATGCCAGGAGGTAGGCAAGATGATCCTCCAGGGTGGGGGAGTGTGTAGGGAAAGACTCTTTCCAACCTCGTGTTTTTCCACTACTCTCATACTACAATAATCATCAACACAGAAGACTTCTCTGTGACCAAATGTGGGTTGTTTTTGTTTTTGTTTTGTCTAACTTCAACCCTAACCCCAAGACTGAAATGCTGTTGGAATCATGATACTGGATTTTTGTGATGTACTTTGACAGGACTGATGAATTATGTGTCCCTGTATGTCCTAGCATTCTTGTTAACTGCTATGACTTATCCAGAACACCCCTTAAAAGAGAGCCTCGGGCCTCATCTTGAGAGCTCCAAGATTGTCCCCCATATCCCTAGATATCAGTCACAACTCTGGGCCTCTGGAGCTTCTGACTGACTGGCTTCAAGTTGGGGTTACCATGATCCCCTCTGTGGGTTCAATTAATTTGCTGAAGTGGCTCACAGAACTGAGGGAAACACTTACTTATATCTGCTGGTTTATTATGAAGGATATTGCAAAGAATACAAATGAAGAGACCCATAGAACAAGGTATGGGCGAAGGGGCTCAGAGCTGCCATGACTCCCTGGGCACACCACCCTCCAGGGATCTCCATGTGTTCAGCTATCCAGAAGCTTTCCAAACCCAGTCCTCTTGAGTTTTTATGGAAGCATTCCTTCCTCCCACGAGGGTATGAGGTGGGACCCTCTCAGTGGAGGGTCTTAAGATCCACAATCAGAAAGGAGGTGGTGGGAGATTAGAGTCCTGCCCTGGGGCAGGTGAAAGAAGGGCAGGAGACAGACTATTTCCTGAGGTCTGCGGCTGAGGCCTAACACACCCAACATTATTAACAAAAGACCATAAAAAGGGATATGGGAGTTATGAACCAGGACCATGGATGAAAACCTATGTATACATATATAGCACCACAGGGGGAATATTAAAACTTTTAATTGGTCGGGTGCGGAAGCTTACACCTATAATTCCAGCACTTTGGGAGGCCGAGGCAGGTGGATCGCCTGAGGTCAGGAGTTCGAGACCAGTCTGGCCAACATGGTGAAACCCTGTCTCTACTATGGTGAAACCCTGTCTCTACTAAAACTACAAAAAAATTAGCCAGGTGTGGTGGTGGGCACCCGTAATCCCAACTATTTGGGAGGCTGAGGTAAGAGAATCGCTTGAACCTGGGAGGCGGAGGTTGCAGTGAGCCAAGACCATGCCGCCACTGCACTCTAGCCTGGGCAACAAGAACGAAACTCTGTCTCAAAAAGAAAACAACAACAACAACAAAAAACTTTCAATTAATTTTTAGTTTAAAAAATAATCTTTAAAATTTTTTTTGATACGTGTTCCCTTAATCTGATGTTAAATGGTTAAATGTCACTTACTGAAGATTGGGAATTCCACAACACAAAGGGGTTGCCAATGGTTTCTTCCCTCATTCATTCTCTTTGGGCATATTGCAAAAAACTTAAGTGTGCTCAGAATTTAAGAATGTTTTCACTGGGTGCAGTGGCTCATGCCTGTAATCCCAGCAGTTTGGGAGGCCAAGGCGGGCAGATCACGAGGTCAAGAGTTTGAGACCACCCTGACCAACATGGTGAAACCCAGTCGCTATCAAAAATACAAAAATTAGCTGGGCGTGGTGGCGCACGCCAGTAATCCCAGCTACATGGGAGGCTTAGGCAAGAGAAACACTTGAACCCGGGAGGCAGAAGTTGCAGTGAGCTGAGATAGCGGCACTGCACTCCAGCCTGGGCGACAGAGCAAGCCTCCGTCTCAAAAAAAAAAAGAATATTAGTTAGTTTTAAGTAAACTGTCAATTGACTCTTCTCTAATTCTTTGCACAAGCCCTTCATTAGTCACTTTACAAGGTAAAAATAATATTGAACTAACCATATGTGAATAAACCAAAGACATTATCATTACAACTATCTGGACACAATTTACACATATATATTTACTTATTTATATTTATTTACCCTAAGTGTATATATTGTGCCTTAATATAGTAGCTAATGATGGCAGGGCATGAGTACAATTTGCAATTTGCAAATTAAGAAGTAAAAATATTTAGGATAAATCCTTAAAATGTTTCTGATGGGTTAGGAGGCTACTGTTCTAGAGAGCAAATTTCCCAAATTTATTTTTAAAAGAACATAGCAAATTAAGGTACATGTCAACATTGCCATTTTTATAAAGAGTCTCTCCAACATACATCAGATGAACAAAGAGCATTTTGGGAAGGCTGAACTACGAAGGTTGTGCCTATGCTAAGAAATGAAAGCAATTTTTCCATTTGGTATTTGTTGTAACAATTGACTCAGAGACAATTTATTAACCTAAGACACAAAAACAAAGAATTTTATTTGCAAACAATACTATATTTTAGTATTATAAACTCCATTTGCTGGTAAATTAGATCTCTACTTCCAAAGATGACCAAACTTTATATATTCCAAAGTAATAAATTTCAAAAAAGTAGTTCTCCCAGTTGAATATATTTATTTAGAGAATTCCTTTTCTAATTCAAAAAGATGTTCCAAGGGCTTCAAATTACACTATTCCCCAAGCCTAATATAACTGCTTAAGGGCTGAAATATTTGAATCACAGCAGGAGCGGTAGTTACCACACAGGATAAATAGTAACCTGTACAAGTTGTTTTAAAAGACAAATCAGATTGTATTCCATATCAAGAAATCCTGATTATATACAGGCTAGTTTCAAGAAAAGTTCTTTAGGCAAAATTCTTATAAAAACTTTAATTATCAAGAGTAAAATTTCTAAATTTGATAAAGAACCATTTGTATTTACTTCTTTCCACGCAAGTTTCAAAATACATAAATGAATTCCCTACAAGTCTTAAAAAGTATAAAATTAATCTATCTTAACTGATGCACCTCCTTAAAGTGTTTGGAAGCTGCTTGGGACAGGAAAATTAGAAAGAAGAGAGTGCTGGACAGTACATTCACCCTTAAAAGTTGTTGTTTTTCTTTCTTTCTTTCTTTCTTTTTTAAGACAAACAAAATTAAATAAAAGTGGTTGTGTGGGATGGCAGGCTGCTTTTTTTTTATTTTGTACTTTCTCAAATTTGCTCTAATGTCTTTTAAAAAACTAAAGCTCATTTATTGAAAATTATCATACCAGGCCAGGCATGGTGGCTCACGCCTGTAATCCTAGCGCTTTGGGAGACCGAGGCGGGAGGATCACGAGGTCAGGAGGTTGAGACCATCCTGGCTAACATGGTGAAACCCCGTCTCTACTAAAATACAAAAAATTAGGCGTGGTGGCGGGCACCTGTAATCCCAGCTACTCAGGAGACTGAGGCAGGAGAATGGCGTGAACCCGGGAGGCGAAGCTTGCAGTGAGCAGAGATTGCACCACTGCACTCCAGCCTGGGGAACAAAGCGAGACTCCGTCTCGGAAAAAAAAAAAAAAAAAAATCATACCAGGACATCAAAACTGATAAACATTGTTTGATTTATTCCCATAAACATTGTTTGATTTATTCCCTACAATGACTCCAGGAAGCAGGATGGGCAGTTTATCATCAGCTTCTATTTTACAAAATGAAAAAAAAGAAAGTGAGTGACTTCACAAGTATTTATTGTCTACCACATGTCATGCACTGGGATATACTCAAGAGTAAAACACAAAATTTTACTATCATGGGCTTTATTTTCTTTTCTAGTAGAAATAATAGACAAATAAGGAAAGGGGCATTTACTTTAGATAGGGTAGGCTCTAAGTAGGTGATTAGAACTGAGATATAAAGGATAAACGAAGGACTCAACCAAAAAGTCAGAGTTGGAGAAAACAGCCAATGCAAAGGCCTTATAGTGGTCTTGCAAGAGTTTGGCAAATTTAGCTCATACCTATAATCTCAACACTTTGGAAGGCTGAGGTAGACAGATCGCTTGAACCCAAGAGGTCAAGACCAGGCTGGGCAACATAGTGAGACCCTGTCTGTACAAAAAATTTAAAAATTAGCCAGGCATGGTGGCGTGCACCTGTGGTCTCAGATACTCCAGAGGCTGAGGCAGAAGGATCACTTGAGCCCAGGAGGTCAAGACTGCAGTGAGCTGTGCTGTGTTTATTCCATGGCACTCCAGCCTGGGCAACAGAGAAAGACCCTGTCTCAAAAAAAAAAAAAAAAAAAAAAAAAAAGGTGTTTGGCAAAAGGCCAGTGTAACTTGACTGTAACTGAAGACTGGGAGTAATGACCTAACAGGGTCAAAGACATAGGTGGGAAAGGACCAGCTCTGCCAGGCAAAACAACAAAGTTTACCATGCATAGCTTTAGTCCAAAAGGAAGATATTAGAACATTTTAGATCTCTGAAAGATCACTCTGGCTATTGTGTGGAGACAGACTAGATTTAAAGGGGAGAGTAGCTAGAAAACTGTTAAACTTTTCCATAAAAGAAATGATAATAACCCAAAGTAAGTTGATAGCAGTGTAGGCAGAGAGGGGTAGACGAATTTGAGATGTATTTTGGAAGTAGAACAGATAAAATCTTGTGAATTGCATATCGGCATAAGAAAAAGTGAGGAGCCAATGATGATTCCAGGTTTCAGGCTTCAGTAACTGGATAAATGGTGGCACCATTTATTAGTATGGGAAGATCAGCAAAAAAAAAAAAAAAAAAAAAAAAAAAAACACACACAAAAAATCACAATTATGCAACATTCAAGTGGATAATCAGTTGAATACATAAAGGTAGAAGTCACAGTAAAAGGATGGGTTAGAGACTATTAGCCCATTAGAAATCATCAGCCCACAGATGGTATTTCAAAGCAAAAGGAATAGATGATCATCTAGGAACAAAGTGTAGACAGGAAAGAGAAGAGGGCCAAGGCCCAAGGGCTAAGAAACTCTAACATAAATAAAAGACTTGTCTAAAGGTCAAATGCTTAAGTGATCTGGCTCAATAAAGTGCTCTTTCATCATATCCAACTATCTCTTAACATTAAGAATAAAACAGGCTGGGCTGGGTGCAGTCGCTCATGCCTGTAATCCCAGCACTTTGAGAGGCTGAGGTGGGCAGATTGCTTGAGGCCAGGAGTTCAAGACTAGCCTAGGCAACATGGCAAAACCCCACCTCTACAAAAATGCAAAAAAATTAGCCAAGCGTGGTGGTGGGCACCCGTAGTCCCAGCTACTTGGGAAGCTGAGGTGGGAGGATCACTTGAACCCAGGAGGTCGAGGCAGCAGTGAGCTGAGATCATGCCACTGCCCTCCAGCCTGGGCAACAGAATGAGACCCTGTCTCAATCAATCAATAAACACAGGTGGGGCGGTGGCACCTGCCTGTAATCCCAGCACTTTCGGAGGCCACAGCAGGAAGATTGTTTCAGGCCAAGAGTTCGAGAACAGCTGGGCAACAGAGAGAGACCCTGTCTCTACAAAAATAAATAAATAAAATAAAATAAAATAAAATAAAATAAAAATTAGCTGGGTGTGGTGTGGTGTTACCTGTAGTCCTAGCTACTTGGAAGGCTGAGGCAGGAGGATCACTTGAGCCCAGGAGGTTGATGTTACAATGAGCTATGATTGTACCACTACCCTCTAGCCTGGGCAACAGAGCAAGATTCTCCTCTAAACAAAACAAAAGAAAGCCATCTTTCCTAGCTAAAAGTTCTCAAATTTTAGTTTTTAATTTTGAAGTAACTCCATACTTTGGTTTCTATCAAGAATCAACTAACCTGAATCCCAATAGGTTTAGTATATTTTTGCCTTTAGATATTTGTTGCTTTTGAACTTGACAAGCTATCTATAAAAATTTCCAAAGGCCGGGCATGGTGGCTCACACCTGAAATCCCAGCACTTTGGGAGGCCGAGGCAGGCAGATCACCTGAGGTCAGGAGTTCAAGACCAGCCTGACCAACATGGCAAAGCCCCGTCTCTCCTAAAAATACAAAAATTAGCTGGGCATGGTGGCACACACCTGTAATCCCAGCTACTCAGGAGGCTGAGGCAGGAGAATCGCTTGAACCTGGGAGGCAGAGTTTGCAGTAAGCAGAGATCGCGCCACCGCACTTCAGCCTGGGCGACAGAGCAAGACTCCGTCTCAAGAAAAAAAAAAATCAGCCGGGTGTGGTGGTGGGCACCTGTAATCCCAACAACTCGGGAAGGTGAGGCAGGAGAATCGCTTGAACCCAGGAGGCAGAGGTTGCAGTGAGCCAAGATCGCACCATTGCACTCCAGCCTGGGCAACAGAGTGAGGCTATCTCAAAAAAAAAAAAAAAAAAGTCCCATGAAGGTATAAAAAGCCACAAATAGCCAAGAAGAAAATAAGGTATGAGACCTTAACTACCATAAAAAAGGTGTATTATAAAGCAGTGTGAGCTATATAGGAGGAATAAGTCCTAGTGTTCTACAGCACTGTAGAATGACAATAATTAACAATAAAATACTATATAGTTCAAATAGCTAGGAGAATATTGAATGTTCCCAATACAAAAAAAAATAAATGACTGAGATACATACACTAATTACTAATCTGATCACTATATGTATCACAATATCAGTATATACCCCATAAATATGTACACTTATTATGTTAAATTTTTAATATGAATTTTTTAAAATAGAAAAGATTTGCCCAAAAAAAAGCTATATGAATAAGATAGTATGGCACTGATATAAATAAATGAACAATAGAACAGAATGAGTCCAAAAACTGATCAATGCATGTAATGACATGATTTATGAGGGAGATAACACTGCAGATTGATGGAGAATGCATGTTCTTCCAATAAATGATGCTGGGGGCCATTGTAAATCCATATGGAAAAAAGTGAAACGGAATCCCTTCGTCACATCAAACCCAAAAATCAATTCTAGAAAGACTAAAATTCTAAACGTAAAAACCAAAACTCAAAAAGTCTCTAGTAGAAAATATGAGGCTATTTTCATGATCTTAAATTAGGGGAGGCTTTCTTAAACAAATCACAAAAGTACTAATTAAAAACACCCCCCACCAATTCACCTATCAGTAGAAGAAACACAAGCTAAACCACAAACAAAACAAAGACTCGGAAAAGCACCAACTAGACTTGGACTTAGGAAATGTGGGCTCTAATTCAGGCTGTCATCAATTGTGACACTGGCAAGTCAAACAAGTCCTTGGTTCTTCATGTGCTCATTTTTAAAAAGAAGAAGTATTCCACAATACTTTTTATCGATATCTCATAAAAACTCTTTTTCTAAGTAGCATGTGGGATAACATAAGATAAAATCCAAACCAGGTTTTCTGGCCAAAGTGTACTGCTGATCTAAAATTATCACAAAAAAGTCTTTCTTGAATGAGCTAATTAGATAGATAGCATTGTCAGTGTTGATACCTTAAGAGGATGAAGAAAAAGAAAAGAAGATAAATGTTTCCCAGGCCTCCCCAGAACTGCAGAGCATAAATAAGTGAACATGTTGACAATGTTTAAGGCTGACCTTGACAGAACAGAGTTTATTCCACATGCTTCTAGATGCAGAGTGTACTTACTAGAGTAAACTGACCTTGCTGGGCATTTGCTTGGTTATACCACATCTTTAATAAAACTTATAAAAATAGAAAGGTCCTGGAAATATCAGTAGAATAATAATCAAAGGATTTAAGTGTATCTGTCCATATATCCTGAAAAGTAAAATTACATCATCATAGACAGGGATTAATTGTGGCCCCTTGCCTGAATAGCTAGGGGAATGAGAACAGGATGTTCTGGGAGGATTTTTGATAACTACCAGCCAAGTCATCTCTGTACCATTTTTCCTGACACTACTAGGCAACATACTCAACATTTCATTAGCTTCTCAAAATGGCACTTTATGATGAAGCTCAAGTTTTACAGTCAGACCCTTATTAAAACAGGTCACAACTTAGTTATATTAAAATAATAATTATCAGCAAAACCTTTTAAATAAAAATATACTATGCAAGAATCAAAAAAAAAACAAGCTAGATCAGGGTTCTTAACCCAGGGTCCATAGATAGGATTCAGGGATCTCTGAACCTCCTGAAATTTTGTACAAAACATATGTGTGTGTGTGTGTCTGGGAAGAGGAAGGATCCTGTGATACCAGATTTTCAGTGAAGTCCATAACCAAAAAAAGGTTAAGAAGCCTTGAATTATCAAGTAGAAGAACACACAAAAAAAAAAAAAAAGAAGAAGAAGAAAGAAAGAACAAAGAAAATAGAAAAACTAAATTAAAAAAAAAAGCCTTGAATTAGATGGTCCTTCTAGACTCTTAAATCCTATGACTCCATGCAAATTTAGTGACATTTTAGATAAGACAAATGATACATTTATTAAGGAAACAGTATTTTTCTTCCTTCTAATTCATCTCATCTATCCTTCATCCAAGTTCAAAAAAAGTCAGTTTCACTTTTTTTCTTTTCTTTTTTTTTTTTTTTTTTGAGACAGAGTCTCGTTCTGTCACCTAGGCTGGAGTGCAGTGGCGCGATTTCGGCTCACTGCAAGCTCCACCTCCCGGGTTCACGCCATTCTCCTGCCTCAGCCTCCTGAGTAGCTGGGACTACAGGTGCCCGCCACCACGCCCGGCTAATTTTTTTTTTCTTTTTTTTAGAGACAGGATCTCACTCTGTGTCCCAGGCTGGAATGCAGCGGAGGAATCATAGCCCACTGCAGCCTCAAAGCAAGTAGCTGGGACTACAGGTGTGCACCACCATGCCACGCTAATTTTGTTCTGTTTTGTTCTGTTTGTAGAGACATGGGTCTTGCTAAGTTGACCAGGCTGGTCTCAAACTCCTGGCCTCAAGCAATCCTCCCACCTCAGCCTCCCAAAGTGCTGGGATTACAGGTGACAGCCACCAAACCTGGCCCCAGTTCATCTTAAAAGTTTTTAAAACTCCATAGTTTCAATTAAGCAATTAAAAATTCAGTTAAGTAGTGTCCCACGATTTCAAAACCTTCTATGTCTTGTCCTCAGTTGATCTTCCTATCTTTTAAGCCTCTCAAAGGTCTCAATTTTTAACTACAATGTATTTTACTTCTCAATAAGAAAAATAATCTCTCCTTAGGTCTTTTCCATCAGAAACCACTCTTTCTAGGTCCTGTGTATATTTTCAAATCAACTGAAAATAAGATCTCACTCTTTCCTACTGCTAATTGGCTGGACTGTTAGTCCAAACCTGAGCCTTTGAAAAAAGCTGTTAGTCAACTGCTAGTCTGGCCAAAATTTAGTGACTGATTCCTACTCGTATCTAATAAATACACACTTTAAAAAAACACACAGAACTTACTAACTAGAACTATAATTTACCATAAACTACTCATAAGAAACTATAGTTCTGCTGACTGGCAAGTAATTTGCAAAGGCACATCAGTTTAGCTACATAACATAAGTATCTACCTGCACGTACTGGCACTAATCAGGGCGTGAAATTAAACTTTTTATTCGGAAAGAAATAGCTGCTTCAAGGCTGTGATTTAGCCTGGGAAGCAAATATTAAGGTCATCCTCTTCTCTCTGATGTTTATAGTATTTCTAATAGGAGACTCAAAGAAGGAGGGCTGATGGCCAACTTCTGTAAAAGTGAAAATAATCTCTATGACGTAACAAATTTGCCACTTGCTTTACTAATTGCACAGACTTAACAAAACCAGTTGCTAAAGTATAACAGAGATTACTTAAATACTGAAAGCACAAACTGATCACTATGGATACCTAATTTGGTTACTTCATTGAGCAAAGTAAAGAAAATTCGACAAATATAAATGCTACAAATATGTTTTACAATAACCTAGACAGGGCATGGTGATACAAGCCTGTGGTACCGGCAACTATTTGGGAGGCTGAGACGGAAGAATCACTTTTGAGCCCAGGAGTTTGAGTCCAGCCTGGGCAACATAGCAAGACTCCATCTCTAAAAAATAAATAAATAAATAGATAAAATACCCTATAACCATTTTCATTACAACATAGATAATTTTGAATTAGCTAGGTTAATGAGATCCTATTCAGTAATTTAGCCAATTGCCAAAATTTTCCCAACATTCATCAAAATCCCCTAATACAAACTTCAATTTACTCTGCTATACTATATCCATATTATTCTCATATCTATTAAAGAAAGCAAACAAGTAGAAAAGTATCCCAAGGTCAGCACAGTGGCTCATGCCTGTAACCCCAGCACTTTAGAAGGCTGAGGCGAGAGGGTTCCCTAGGCCTAGGCATTCAAAGTTGCAATAAGCTAGGATCGAACCACTGCACTCCAGCCTGGAAAGAAGGAAAGAAAGGAAGAAAGAAAAGAAGAAAGGAAGAAAACGGTCCAAATAATCATGAGCAAAATATCTGCTCGAATGGCAAGTGCAGGTGTTCACAACCAATTGCTTCAGAACTTGACTAGCCTTTTTTTTTTTTTTTAAAAAGGAAGACTTATAGAAGCCACAGCAGTCCTCAAAGTGTAGTCCCAGAACCAGCAGCATCACCTATAAACTAGTTAGAAATGCAAATTCTCAGACCCCAACCCAGGCCTAAAGAATGGCAAACTCAGCATGGGCAAAACCCTATCTCTGTGAAAAATAAAAAAATTAGCTGGGCGTGGTGGTGCACGCCTGTAGTCCCAGCTACTAAGGAGGCTGAGGTGGGAGGATCACTTGAGCCTGGGAGGTCAAGGCTGCAATGAGCTGTGATAGCACCACAGCACTCCAACCTGGGAGAAAGAGTGAGACCCTGTCTCAGAAAAAAAAAAAAAAAAAAAAAATCTCCAGGGAAGGCCCAACAAGTCCTCCAGGGAATTCAGACATACTTTTTGTTACAAAAAGCCCTTAAAAACTTAACTCAATTCTCTAAGCAGCTTTAGTAGTGTGTTGCACTAAAGATAAAAGTTATCTTTATCTTTTTTACAATGTAAAAAGTACACTTTAATTGGTCTAAGTTCAAAAATGAAATAAAGAGGATAAAGCCCATGTAATGTCTTTCCAAAATAGGAAACACTCACCATTTCAAAATTGAGAAAGAAAAAAATTATTTAGAACTACCTAAAAATAAATAGGTTGATTTTACAACTACCACAGAAGAATCACCAATGGATGGTAAAACTACTGCGTGAAACAATGTTGTGAAATAAGATATTTACACAGTCTCCAAGTTTGCTCCTCTGAATACTTACAAATATACCTTTACAACAGAGAAATCTAGTGAATACAACCTTAATAAATGATCAAACAATATCTCCAATAATGGAACAAACTGACATTATATGCCTTCTGATGTAGTAGTGCACTAAGAAAAAAAAAACACAGCATATATTATACTCCTGCCAAATTTTTTACCCTGATCTAATCATGGAAAAACAATCAGACAAAAACAAATGAGGGACATTCTGTAAAACTACCTCAAACTCTTCAAAAATGTCAATTTCATGAATAAAAACCATTAGGGAACTACTGTAAATTAAAGGAAACTAAAGAGATATTATATATAACATGATTGGATCCTGGATTTTTTTTTAAAGAGCTGTAAAAGACATTCTTAGGGGCCGGACGCGGTGGCTCATGCCTGTAATCCCAGCACTTTGGGAGGCTGAGGCAGGTGGATCACCTGAGGTCGGGAGTTCGAGACCAGCCTGGCCAGCATGGTGAAACCCCATCTCTACTAAAAATACAAAAATTAACCGGGCGTGGTGGCAGGTGCCTGTAATAACAGCTACTCAGGAAGCTGAGGCAGAAGAATCACTTGAACCTGGGAGGCGAAGGTTGCAGTGAGCTGAGATCACGCCACTGCACTCCAGCCTAGGCAACAGAGCAAGACGCCATCTCAAAAAAAAAAAAAAAAAAAAAAAAAAAAAAAAAAAAAAGACATTCTTAGGATAACTAGGGGTTCTGGATATGAACTGTATATTAAATAATAAAAGGTTATCAGTGATCAGTGTTAAATTTCCTGAGTGGGATCTTGTATTGAGGTTAGGAATAAGGATGCTCTTGTTCTTAGAAAATACATGCAGAAGGTAAAATATCATGTCTGCAACTCTCAAATAATTTAGAAAGAAAGTATATACTAGGAAAAGTCAAATGTGGCAAAATGTTAACAATTAGATAATTCAGGTGAGGGATATATGAGTTATCATCGTGTGTTTCTCATAATTTTTCTGAGGAGTTGAAAAAAGAATGACACCATCAACACCTCTCTTCAAAATTATATTTCTCAAAAATAAGTCAAAAGATAACATCCCTCACCCACCAAAAAACTATAAAATACCTACTCTAAGGTGCATGCTAATTCTACAGTTCACATATAACTTCTATTTATGGTACACTGTGATGTCAAAGTGCTTTTATGTGTACTCTCTTACTGGATCTTCAACCCAGTAGATAGAACAGTTATTGTTATTCTCATTTTAGAGAAGAGGAAATTAAGGAACATGGTTAGTATAGCACAATGATTAACCACACTCACTCTGGAGCTAGAATGTCTGAGCTGGAATACCAGCTGTGCCATTCACAAACTGTTTGATCTGGAAAAAGTAACAACCTGTCTGTGCCTCAGTTTCCACATTTGTAAATCAGGATGATAATAATAATACACACCTAATAAGATGAGAGGATCAAATGAGTTAATATATATAGTGTCTAGAATCCTGCACGGTATATACTGAGCTACAAGTGTTGGCTGCCATTATTATTGTTATTATTATCACCACCCAAGAATAAGGTCAGAGAATAAGTAAAAATACAGTCATGCACCCCCTGACACTTCAGTCAAGTATGGTCAGATATGCAACAGTGGTCTCATAAAATTATAACACTGTATTTTTACCGTACCCTTTCTATGTTTAGATATACAAATACCATTGTGTTACAATGGCTTACAGGATTCAGTGTACAGTAACAAACTGCACAAGCAACAGGTTATATCACATGGCATTTGTGTATAGTAAGGTATACTATCTAGATTTGTCTATGTACACTCTGTGAAGCTCACACAACCACTTAATCACCTAACAATGTATTTCTCATAATGTATCACATATTGTTAAGCAATGCATGACTGTAGTTAAGACAGGACTTGAAACCAGTTCTTCTGACTCCAATTCTTGTGTAATTTCCACTATGCCAATAGTGGTTTCAATCACTTATACTTAGACAAGGAAATGGAAAAATAAGTGTCATTTCAAAAAGGATGTACATGTATGTACTTGACAGAATGCATGAACAAGAGAAGGAAGTTTGCTAATTAAAAGAGGTTCTTAATAGCCGCTGCCCTGTCTGGGAAGTGGGGAGTGCCTCTGCCCAGCCGCCCCACCGTCTGGGAAGTGAGGAGTACCTCTGCCCGGCTGCTGTGCAACCCTCCAAGTGTGAAGGCACAGCCTTGTGTGTGATCTTTCTGCCCTCCCCAAGTTTGCATTTTTGACATTAAAGTTTACTTTTTAATTAAAAAAAAAAAAGAGGTTGTTAAATCTAATTCATCTTTAAGAGACACATGATCTGGATGCTTACAGTCCTTTATAATTTCCAAAATATTTGCTCTATTTATAATAATTTCATTTACTCCTCATAACAGCTCTTTGAGGTACAAAAGTAGATATTATCTTTGCTTTCTATATGAGGAAAGTGAGACTCAAGGAGGTTAAGCAACATGCCCAATATCTATGACATCTAGGAAGCAGAACCTGAAAACCAGGTCTTGTTTTCACTATGGTACAACGTAAAATTTACCTACCAATCTAAACTAATTACAAGGTATTTCAAAGAAGACACACTAACAAAACAGGTAGAATTCTCGTATTGTCAGTTATAAACAAAAGAAGTTATAACTAGTCCATTCAGCAAACAGATGTCACTTTGCAAAGCTTTGATATTTTTCTTAAATACCTTTGAAAACAAGGATCAAAAAATATGAACTCTTATAAAAAGGGCTTTATTGTATTTTTATAGCTTATTACATACCTTGTAACAATCATTTTGTTAAATGTGAATGTCAGTTTTATTTTCTGTCCCTTTTTTCCTGGCTATTTACAAGCTTTGTAAGAATCGTTCCTTAATTAAGTCTAAACATAGTTTTATATAAATGGATTCCTGGAAATAAAACGTTCAGACTTAAGAAATGATTGTTACAGAGACTGTAACAGGCCATAAAAAAACGAGTGCCACTTTAAACAAAGATTTCTCATTTTAATTAAAAAGATAATCATCAGAACATTCCTACACTTAACAGAACCATTTAAATAAGCTTCTTAGGAAAAAAAAATATGTAGTATATTATGCAGGCCTCCATACTATAATTTATAACATATTTAAATCAAAGTCTCAGTTGATCCTTTAGTATGAATTCTTATATACTGTACCTACATTTTAAAGACACATTGAAAAAGAACAGGTCTAAATGAGATAAATCACGTCTAATTCTTTTTAACACGAATGCTTTCAAAAGATTATATTTTTCCACAAGACATTAGTAGAACACATTTAAGAGTACTTAAGAAATCCTTTGTAACATGACCACATATAAACCTAAGAATTGTATGTAGTTTATTGATGAGGTGCATATGTGTCAGGTAAGAGGACCATATTCAGAAGACTACCATATAATCAAAGGTGACCCATACCTACATGAAAAGAGTTTCTACTTTCAAACTCTGATATAAGTGGAAGCAATCCTTTCTGATTTTCAAAATGCCATGTCTGGATATGATTACAGGCAAAATTTGATAAAGCAGGATTCTTCTCAATTAATTTGACTAGCTTTTAAATTGTTTTTAAATTATGTGAAATTTATAGTCAACATTCCAAGAGAGAAGGAAGGAAAGAGATCTTGTAAGTTGTCATTATAATTAGGTGCAATTTAAAAACAGATACATCAATGTTCTTCAACTTAAGTCACCTTTTCTTAATTACACTGAACACTAAACCTGAATCACTGCTTGACCGCCTATTTCTCATTTCAATATATTACTGAATACTGCTTCAAAGCGGATGTTTTCCCATGGAAACAAGTTATAACTGGGGCTGGGCACAGTGGTTCAATTCTAGCACTTTGGGAGGCCGAAGTGGGCGGATCACTTGAGGTTGGGAGTTCGAGACCAGCCTGGCCAACATGGTGAAACCCCATCTCCACTAAAAATACAAAAATTAGCCGGGCGTGGTGGCTCATTCCTGTAGTCCCAGCTACTTGGGAGGCTGAGGCAGGAGAATCGCTTGAACATGGGAGGTAGGGGTTGCAGTGCACCAAGATCGCGCCACTGCACTCCAGCCTGGGTGACAGAGTGAGACTTCGTCTCAAAAAAAAAAAAAAAAAAAAAATTATAATTGGGAGCCTATTTCCTAACTGAGAACTCGGTAGCAAATAAAGTACTGACATGACTAACACCACCAAAACAAAGATTAAATAACTGTAAAACTCACAGTCATTAAAAAGAAGGAAATTATGTTCCAGCTTCATAAAATGGGAGTAACATACCAATGATCAGCAAGTATGCATTCCAAATGTGAAAAACATAATTCTTCCATATTTACTCATTAAACAAATTTAACCTCAAGCTAATAACCAACTCAAAAAAAACACTAAACATTTAATTAGCAATCATTTAAGTTTGCTTCTTATAATACAGACTGCTGCTTGGGATGATCTACAAAGGAGAAGAGATAGATGGGGCCAAATTAATATATTACTCAAGGGAAAGCCTTCCTTGCCTCCATCTAAATTACTTCCCTGAATAAGAATTATTAAAATCATACCATTGATCTATGCTACTAGGAACATGAAATCAGTAAATGTAGATCATGATCTTGTTCACGATCTTGATCACAGTGTCCATAAGCGTTTCTCACTTATTTCTGCTTTAAAAAAATTACAGGCATATAAAAAAAATTTTGGTCATCCTATCTCCTCAGTTTATTAAAGGCCACAAGTGTTCTACACACCAAAGGTCACCAGAAAAAAAAAAAATGCTCTGAAGTCACTCTCTTATCCACACTGTCACATGGCTTACTTAAAACTTTGTAGATAGGCTTCAGAGTACCTCAAACTTCACTGAAAAACCATGAATATTCAATAGTACAAACTCCTTTTTAAAAATATTAATGAAGTCTTTCATAGAATGTTAAAGTTAGGCATATCAAATATTTTGTTCTCATGACCATGCATTATCTTTTGTGTTGGATCCTCCATCAATAAAAGCATCAAGAATCGAGGAATGCATTAGGGAAATACAAATTGAAACCACAATAGGATATCCCTATACACCTATTAGAATGGCTAAAATTAAAAATACTGATAATCCCAAATGCTGACACGGATGTAGATCAACTAGAACTCTCACCCATTGCTTGTGGGAATGCCAACTGGTACAATCACTCTGGAAAATAGCAATTTCTAAAAAGGTTAAACCTACATTTATCACGCAATTCTCCCTCATGGGTATTTAGAGAAATGAAAATGTTCACACAAAATCTATACACAAGTGTTTATTTATAGCAGCTTTATTTATAATCACCAAAACCAGAAACAACCCAAATGTCCTTCAGGAGTGAATAAACAGTCTGGTACACTACACAATAAAATACTAATCAACAATAGTAAGACGTGAACTCCTGATACATGCAAAAACATGGATTAATCTAGCTCAAAGGCATTATGCTGAACGGAAGAGGTCAGTAACAGAAGATTTCATATTGCACGGTTCCATTTATATGACATTCTCAAAAACATAAAATGAAGTGAGGAAGAGGGGGTTAGAGGTGGAGGAAGAGTATAAGAGTTTTTTGCGGGGGAGTGATACAATTGTTCTTATCCTGATTGTGGTTTACATGAATCTACTACACATATTAGAATTCCTAAAACTGTGTACATTAAGAAAAATCCATTTTACTGTATGTCCATTAAAAAAATTGGAATCAAAAATTTGCATACAGCAGGCATGAATAAATATATATTTAAAGAGTAAAATGGAATGAGAGTGGAATGCCTATTCAATAAACTTTGGGAGTCTGTATGAATTGCTTTGTGTTAGAATGTTGTTGTGAAAGCACCACCACCACCACCACCTTACCCTATGACCTACAAAGCACCTTTACATTTACCTTATTTAATTGTACTGAATTACATCCTTTTCCTCTATGTAAAGATGCCATGGCTGATGGTGATTATGAGCTGAGGGACCAGCCACAGCATCTTTAAAATAAATGAAGATGATACACAATCTGTTCATAGTACTAGGAAAAACTACCAGTTTTATTGTGATGTGATTTTAATGTAGTACCTCAGTGGCCACATTCTGGGATGTTGCTATTGTCCTTCCACTAGATATACCTCTTCTAAGTGTCACAGCTTGCTTATATTCCTACTCCCATGGTTCACTATTTCTCTAGCTGCAAACAGCCTACAGAAGTAAATTGTTTTCTGAAACCAACTTACTACCAACTAGTTGGAATTCAGAGAGTCCAAGCCTTGGCCATGAGATTTGTCTCATTCTGCCATCACTTGTTGTTGTTGTTGTTGAGATGGAGTCTTGCTCTGTCACACATGCTGGAGTGCAGTGGCATAATCTTGGCTCACTGAAACCTCCGCCTCCTGGTTTCAAGCGATTCTCTGGCCTCAGCCACCCAAGTAGCTAGACTACAGGCCTGGGCCACCATGAGCGGCTAATTTTTTTATTTTTAGTAGAGACGGGGTTTCACCACATTGGCCAGACTGGTCTCAAACTCCTGACCTCAGGTGATCCGCCTGCCTCAGCCTCCCGAAGTGCTAGGATTACAGGCGTGAGCCACTGCAACTGGCCTGCCATCACTTTTGATTCCAGTTAATTCAGCTCCTTCCTGCTGTGTTTCCCAAGTACAAGGCCTCACCTTTTACTCTGGTTCTAGCCACATCATTTCCCCCACTTCCCCTGTGTTGATACACTGGCCAGCACACAGTGGACTAGATATTTTGTCAAAGCATGATCCTGAGAAACACCAGCATCAGAAACATCTGATATGCTTGCTGAACATGCCAATTTTTTAGGCGTACCAAGTAAAAGGGAAGAGGGGGGAAAAAGAACTAAGAATCTGTACTACATTTTAACATGCATTCCAAATAATTCCTATACAGGGTAAAGTGTAGAACTATTACAATAGACACTAATCAGTATAGGCTGAATGAATCAATTATTTAGTTCCTTGCTAGGTTTCCCAGTTCCACTTTTGAGTTCAAGCTTGAAGCAACGCTTTGCTACCTGTTTCTAGTATTCACTGATGCTTTCTGCCTATTGATCTCCCCAGAATATCTGCCCCAGACTCCCTGCCATTATTCTCCTGCTGAATGTATACCCTTGTATATGAGTCCATTTTTGCACTGCTATAAAGAAATGCCTGAGACTGGGTAATTTATAAGAAAAGAGGTTTCATTGGCTCACGGTTCTGCAGGCTGTACAAGAAGCGTAGTGAATTCTGCTTCTGATGGTTTCTGCTTCTGGGGAGGCCTCAGGAAACTTAAAATCACGGGAGAAGGCAAAGGGGAAGCAGGTGCATCTTATATGGCCGAAGCAGGAAGAAGAGAAGGGGGGAAGAGAGGGGGGCAGAGAAGGTGCCACACACTTTTAAACAACCAGAACTTGTGAGAACTCTATCACGAAAACAGCACAAAAGGCGGAAATCCGCCCCCATGATCCAAACACCTCCTACCAGGCCCCACCTCCAACACTGGGGATTATAATTAGACATGAGATTTGGGTGGGTACAGAGCCAAATCATATCACCTTCCCTTGCTAAGTTCCCCTGCGTCCACACACCTGGTTGAGTTGCCAACAGACACCTAGTCAATTTCTTTTCCCCAACTCCTAGCCACCCTGCAGCACCTGGCCTCTGTAGCTTTGTGCCTCCTTAACTGGCAGATCTTGATAAAACTGTGTTCCCAATAGACAGCGGTTATGAAATTACTCAAAACCAAATCCTGATATTTCTCTCACATAACAATTTGAGTACAGCTGGTCCAGAGATCTTCAATCTTCAGTTCAGCCTACTTTTTATGCGGATAAACTTTTCTTTTTTTTTTTTTTATTTATTATACTTTAAGTTTTAGGGTACATGTGCACATTGTGCAGGTTACATACATATGTATACATGTGCCATGCTGGTGCACTGCACCCACTAACTCGTCATCTAGCATTAGGTATATCTCCCAATGCTATCCCTCCCCCCTCCCCCCACCCCACAACAGTCCCCAGAGTGTGATATTCCCCTTCCTGTGTCCATGTGATCTCATTGTTCAATTCCCACCTATGAGTGAGAATATGCGGTGTTTGGTTTTTTGTTCTTGCGATAGTTTACTGAGAATGATGATTTCCAATTTCATCCATGTCCCTACAAAGGACATGAACTCATCATTTTTTATGGCTGCATAGTATTCCATGGTGTATATGTGCCACATTTTCTTAATCCAGTCTATCGTTGTTGGACATTTGGGTTGGTTCCAAGTCTTTGCTATTGTGAATAATGCCGCAATAAACACATGAAAAAATGCTCATCATCACTGGCCATCAGAGAAATGCAAATCAAAACCACTATGAGATACCATCTCACACCAGTCAGAATGGCAATCATTAAAAAGTCAGGAAACAACAAGTGCTGGAGAGGATGTGGAGAAATAGGAACACTTTTACACTGTTGGTGGGACTGTAAACTAGTTCAACCATTGTGGAAGTCAGTGTGGCGATTCCTCCGGGATCTAGAACTGGAAATACCATTTGGCCCAGCAGATAAACTTTTCTTAACCTCTTATCATGGATACTTTTAAATATACAAAAAAGTACAGAATAATATATAATCTCCATCTAATCATCACCCAGCTTTCCACCTTCCAAGTCTCATATATTCTATCACTTTGACCATCTTTTTTTTTTTTTTCTGTCTTGTTTGTTTTGTTTTGGAGATGGAGTCTTGCTCTGTCACCCAGGCTGAAGTGCAGTGGCACGATCTCGGCTCATTGCAAACTCCACCTCCCTGGTTCATGCCATTCTCCTGCCTCAGCCTCCCGAGTAGCTGGGACTACAGGCGCCCACCACCATGCCTGGCTAATTTTTTGTATTTTTTAGTAAAGACTGAGTTTCATCATGTTAGCCAGGATGGTCTCGATCTCCTGACCTCGTGATCCGCCCACCTCGGCCTCCCAAAGTGCTGGGATTACAGGCGTGAACCACCGCGCCCGGCCCTGCCCATCTTTATTTATACGAATATATCTTAAATTCAAAGTCTCCTTATTATAGTTAGGGACCATCCCAATATCTTCACCCACCAAACACTCATTTTCCCTTACCTACCTACTGCTTTGATAACCCTCTAATTGCCCTTAACATGACTGATGCCAGCTATATTTTACTCTTTTTCTTCATTTGTTCTACCCTACTCTCAGCAACCTTCTTCATTCTGTCTCCAGAATATCCTTGAATGTCTTTCCTCCTTTTCCATACCTACTGCCCTAGCTCAAGCCCAGTCTCTTGCGTAGACTATTACATACTTTAAATGGCCTCCCTGCCTCTCTGGTACCCCTCCCTAGTCTAATCCACTCTAAAGCACTAAGTGCTCTTTCATCTTTGTTGTTATTGCTCCCAGTGGGAATCAGATTCAAATGTAAATTACAGATCTTTCAGGAAAAAGTATTCACATGTTTATAGCTTGTACAGGGGCCACAGACCACAGATTTAAAGCCTCTGCACTATCAGCAACAAAGAGGATTAAATTTTTTAAATAACACCTAAAAACATCTGCTTCCTAGGAATAATTTAACAAAAGATATATAAAGACCTCTAAACAGAGAAATTCAAACCTAAATAAATGGAAAGACACATCATTTTTGTGGACTATGAAACTCAATAGTGTTAAGATCTCAGCTCTCCCAAAACTTATATATGGATTCAATGCAATTCCAATAAAAATCATAAAAGTATGTTTTGTGGAAACTGACTAGCTAATTCTTTTTTATTTTTTTGGAAACAGTCTCGCTCTGTTGCCCAGGCTGCAGTGCAGTGGCATGATCACACACTGCAACCTCTGCCTCCCAGGTTCAAGCGATTCTCCTGCCTCAACCTGGAGTACCTGGGATTACAGGCATGCCCCACCATGCCCGGCTAATTTTTGTATTTTTAGTAGAGACGGGATTTCACCATGTTGGTCAGGCTGTTCTCCAACTCCTGACCTCAGGTGATCCGCCCGCCTCGGCCTCCCAAAGTGCTGGGATTACAGGTGTGAGCCACCGCAACCGGCCTAGCTGATTCTAATACACATGAAAATGCAGGCCAGGCACAGTGGCTCACACCTGTAATCCCAACACTTTGGGAGGCCGAGGCGGGCAGATCACGAGGTCAGGGAGTTCGAGACCAGCCTGACCAACATGGTGAAACCCCGTCTCTACTAAAAATACAAAAATTAGCCGGGCGTGGTGGTGTGTGCCTGTAATCCCAGCTACTCGAGGCTGAGGCAGGAGAATCACTTGAACCCAGGAGGCAGATGTTGCAGTGAGCCAAGATTGCGCCACTGCACTGCAGCCTGAGTGAAAGAGCGAAACTCCATTTAAAAAAAAAAAGAAAAAGAAAAAGAAAAAGAAAACGCAAAAGGCCAAGATAGCCAATGCAATCTTGGGGGAAGGGGAAGCTGAGGGGCATATACTATCAGATATCAAGAAATGTTATTATATAAAAATATAGAAATTAAGACAGTGTGGTATTGGCACAAGAATAGACCAATGGAGCTACTGAGAAAATCCCAAAAGCAGGCCTACATACATATATAGACATTAATATGACAAAAATGACCCTGCAATAGAAAAAGAACAATCTTTTCAATAAATAGTGCTGAATAAGCTGGCTATAGAAAGAAAAGGAAAAAAAGAATTCTGATCCTTTTGTAGTTTGTAAGCATGACGATTGGGTTTTCAGCCTCATGTGTGAGGTGTGCCTCCCTCAAACCTTGTTACATAGGCACATTACCTGTCTGGCATGGAGAAAGAAAAAAAAAAAGAATGCTGACGTCTACCTCACACCATATGCAAAAATTAATTCCAGATGGATTGCAGAGCTAAATGCAAATGGTAAATAAAACTTCTCACGGACTTGAAGAGGTACTTGTAACATATACAAATAGCAGCATTATTCACAAAGGTCAAAACGTACAAGCTTCCCAAGTGTCCATTGACAACAAATAAAATGTGGTATATACATACAATTAAATGTTATTCAGCCTTAAAAAAGGAAGAACATGGATGAAACCTGAGGACATCAAGTAAAATAAGCTAGTCACAAAAAGGCAAACACTGTATGATTCTACTTAAATGAGGTATCTAGAGGAATCAAATTCATAGGAAAAAAAATAGAAGGCTGGGCTCAGTGGCTCATGCCTGTAATCCCAGCACTTTGGGAGGCCGAGGCGGGCGGATCACCTGAGATCAGGAGTTCAAGACCAGCCTGGCCAACATGGTGAACTTCGTCTCTACTAAAAATACAAAAATTAGCTGGCATGGTGGCACACACCTGTAGTCCCAGCTACTCAGGAGGCTGAGGCAGGAGAATTGCTTGGCGGAGTCTGCAGTGAGCCAAGATGGTGCCATTCATTGCACTCCAGTCTGGGCAACAGAGCAAGACTCCGTCTCTGGGGGAAAAAAAAAACACCAAACAAACAAAAAAAAAAGAATAGTGGTTGCCAGTGGCTGGGATAAGGGAGACATCGATAGTTTGTCTAATGGGTATAGAGTTTCAGTTTTGCAAGACAAAAAAGTTCTAAAGATTATATATGCAAAACAGTGTGAATATACTTAACACTACTTAACTATACATTTTAAATAGTTAAAATGGTAAATTTTACATGTATTTTACCACAATAAAAAATGTTTAAATGAAGCTTATATGTGTGTGTATGTATATAGGTACATATGTATGTGTGTCTGTGTGTGCAGATAAATAAAATCAACATCTTGGCCCAGTGAAGTGGTGCACACCTGTAACCCCAGCATCCCAGCACTTGGGGAGGCAGAGGCAGGTGAATCACTTGAGCCCAGGAGCTTGAGACCAGCCTGGACAACATGAAGAAACCTCATCTCCACTAAAAATGCAAAAAAATTAGCCGATGTTTGGTGGTACATGCCTGTAGTCCCAGCTACGGGGAAGTTGAGGTGGGAGGATCGCTTGAGCCCAGGAGGTCAAGGCTGCAGTGAGCCTAGATGGGAGAAAGGGAGGGAGGGAGGGAGGGAAGGATCTGTATGATCTTGGGATAAGCAAAGAGAAAAAGTGCTAACCATAAATTTAAAAATTGAAAATCTTGACTACATTTTGACTACAATAAACCTCTACTCATTTTGTCAGGGCCAGGCAAAACAGACATCTGCAGGATCAGCAGAGGTCTTAGTACAGGATGACAGAGTACCATCAGGATAAGGAAGAAGGGGCGGGCCCGATGGCTCACACCTGTAATACCAGCACTTTGGGAGGCCGAGGCCAGAGGATCACTTGAGTCCAGGAGTTTGAGACCAGCCAGGGCAACATGGGGAAACCCCATCTCTACAAAAAATTAGCCAGGCGTGGTGGCAAGCACCTGTAGTCCCAGATGCTCAGGAGACTGAGGCAGGAGGATCACCTGAGCCCAGGAGGTTGAGTGAGGCTGCTGTGAGCTGTGATTGTGCCACTGCACTGCAGCCTGGGCAAAAGAGTGAGACCTTGTCTCAAAACAAACAAAAAAACAGGATAAGGGATATGTCCATACAGAAATATGGCAGGTAACATGGCAGCCCTGCACAGAGTGTTGAAGTCCAAATGTGATGTGAAAAGCAATCTAGCACAGGTATCGGACAAGGGTGTTCATGGAAGGGTGTAGGCCAGCAATCTGACATGGGGTTTTGGAGCCTAAGTAAGTCAAGGACGGCATCTATATAGTGGGTGTGGGGAACAGCAGCAACATGAGAGTGGTCACATAGAAAGGGGCTGATTGACTAAGAAAATATTTTGAGGATAATGAAAGCCAAGTTACTCACTGTCAGAAAATGGAGTTACAATTATGAAATTATCGAACGAACCCTGTGGTATTAGACTGGAATTGGGGATATCAGTGTGAACTCATGGTTTTAAATAATATGTAAGATAAAATAACAACGTAAATGTGCAATGTGCACCTGTGTGTGTGGTGTGTCCAGTATGATGGCTTGTGAGCAGTGACACCCCAATAGCAATGAGCACGCTTAACACCCAGATCTGGACTTCTACATGTCATTCTCTACTAAAAGAAACTTCTAAAAGAGCTTCTCAGAGAAATCACTAATTCCAGGGCTAGGGCAAAAAAAGTATAAGAAGAGCCTGGAGTATCTTTCAGTAAACAAGAAAATGCTCAATGACACCAAAAAACAGAGGAAGCAGTTTGAATGCACTTCCCACTGGCCAAATAGGGAACAATTCAAGCATCAAAATAAATAAGGAGTCCTGGCACACAAAAAATAATGAGGCTCATGCCTCTCAGCACTTTGGGAGGCCCAGGTGGGAGGATGTTTGAGCCCAGGAGTTGGAGGCTGCAGTGAGCTATGATCACACCAGTGTACTCGAGAGCCTGGACAAGAGGGCAAGAACCCATCTCTTTAAAAAAAAAAAAATAATAATACTCCAATAGGGGAAAAAAGGCCAAGACTTGAATAAACACTTCAACAAAAGACTATGTCTAAACAGTCAACAAACCTAAAAAGGTGCTTGTTTACAGTAGTCATTAAGGAAACACAAATTAAAACGGTGGGATAGTACCATCATCCACTACAGTGGCAACAACGAAAAAGACGATGTTATTATTATTATTATTTAAGATGGAGTCTCGCTCTGTCGCCAAAGCTGGAGTCCAGTAGTACCATCTCAGCTCACTGCAACCTCCGCCTCCCAGGTTCAAGCGATTCTCGTGCGTCAGCCTCCTGAGTAGCTGGGATTACAGGTGCCCGCCACCACATCCAGCTAACTTTTGTACCTTTAGTAGAAGCGAGGTTTCACCACGTTAGCCAGGCTAGACTCGAACTCCTGGCCTCAAGCGATCTACCTGCCCCAGCCTCCCAAAGTGCTGGGATTACAGGCATGAGCCACTATACCCGGCCTCAAAAAAGACGATATTAAGTGAGCACTGCAAGAATGTTCAGCAACTGGGACTCCCATACACTGCTAAAGAAAGTATAAAATGAAAAACATTGGCTGACTGTGGTGGCACATGCCTGTAGTCCTAGTTACTCAGGAGGCTAAAATGGGAAGACAGCTTGAACCCAGGAGTTCAAGGGTGCAGTGACCCATGATCATGCCACTGCACTCCGGCCTGGGCAACAGAGTGAGACCCTGTCTCTAAAAAAAAAAAAAAAAAAAAAAAAAAAAAAAAGAAAAACAGTTGCATAGGTTCTACTAAAGTGTCTTAGTCCATTTACGTTGCTATAATGGAATACCTGAGGGTGGGTAATTCATAATAAAAAAAGGTTTATTTGGCTCACAGTTCTGCAGGCTGTACAAGAAGCATGGTGCTAGCATCTGCTCCTGGTAAGAGTCTCAAGCGGCTTCCACTCACGGTGGAGGGCGAAGAGGAGCTGCATGTGCAGAAATCACACGCCAAGAGAGAAACCAAAAGAGAGAAAAGGGAGGTGCCAGACTCTTAAACTACCAACTCTGGCAGGAACTAATGGAGCGAGAACTCACTTATTTCCAAAAGGATGGCACCAAGCCCTTCATGAGGAACGCACCTCCATAATCCAAACACCTCCCACCAGGCCCCACCTCCAACACTGGAGATCAAATTTCAACATGAGACTTGGCAGGGCCAAACAAGCTATATTCAAACCATAGCATAAAGCTAAACATTTTCATACCCTGTGACCCAGCGATTCCATTCTCAGGTACCTACCCAACAGAAATATGTACATATGTTTAAGGAAAAACTGTACAAGATTATTTATAATAGCACAATTTAAAGTAGCCCAAAACTGGAAATAACCCAAGTGTCCATCAAAAATAGAATGACTAATCTGAATGATTAATCACAGTGGAATACATTAACAAGAATAAACACACCACACCTCCCACAACAACCTGAATGAATCATCTTACGAACAATGTGGGACAAAAGATACCAGTCACCAAAGAATACACCCTGGAATGATTCCATTTAGATGAGCTTACATACCAATAACAGTAAAACTAATCTACAGATATTATAAGAGAGTGGTTTCCCTTGGGATTAGGGAGTTAGTAACTAAAGGGAGCATGAAGGCAACTTGTGGAGTGCTGGCAAAGTTCTATTCCTGATCTAGATAATGGTTACGAAGATGTGTTCACTAGGTAAAAACTCACTGAGCTATATATAATTATTTGTACATATTAAAAATATGTAACTATTTGTATATATATTTTACTTTAGTAAAAAAGCTCACATTAACACATACATAAAGTACACTAGAACATTCTTCTTAAATATAGACCTAGGCCAGGCGCAGTGAGTGGCTCACGCCTGTAATCCCAGCACTTTGGGAGGCCGAGGCAGGCAGATCACAAGGTCAAGAGATAGAGACCATCCTGGCCAACATGGCGAAACCTTGTCTCTACTAAAAATACAAAAATTAGCTGGCGTGGTGGTGCGCGCATGTAGTCCCAGCCACTGGGGAGGCTGAGGTAGGAGAATGGCTTGAACCTGGGAGGCAGACGATGCAGTGAGCCAAGATCGCGCCACTGCACTCCAGCCTGGGCGACAGAGCGAGACTCTAGCTCGAAAAAAATATATATATATATATTTATATTTATATATATATATATTTATATATATAAATATATAAATATAAATATATATATAAATATATATATTAATATATATAAATATATAAATATATATTTATATAAATATATATATAAATATATATAAATATATATAAATATATATAAATATATATTAATATATATAAATATATATAAATATATATAAATATATATTAATATATAAATATATATTAATATACATAAATATATATAAATATATATTAATATATATAAATATATATATAAATGTAAAAATATATATATATATATATATATAACTAGATTAAGTCCAAACTCCCTGGGCCTCCAATTTATATTTTCCTTATCTGCTATACTCAAATTATATCTATCTACCCACCTATAACTCACTGCACCTGCCCAACTTCTGATCTCCTGGCCTTTACCCAAGTTACTTCCTATTCTTGGAATTGCCCACCTCAGACACAAGTCTGTCAAAATCTATCTACTCTTCAAGGTCCAATACAAAACTTTCTTCTTTAAAGCTTCTAAAAAATCTCTCATTAAAACTAATTTCTCCTTCCTTTAACTCAATTTACTTTTTTTTCCTGTCGCCTCTCTTAAATTCTATAGCTCTTTGTGCCACTATTTTAGCACTTAACAAAGTGCGCCTTAAGAGATATTTATAAATGCCTATCTTATTAGATTGTGAAGCTCTAGAGAAGTTTTATTCAACTTTGTATCTTCACCCCCCTCTGCCCCCATAATGTCTTCCCCTATATGTAACAATGCTTTGCAATCAGTTCAGGCTCACATTTTTTATCAAATTACATTACAGGTACACTATCATGACCTCTCTTTGTCAACCCACTGATTTTTTTTTCCTATACTTTATTGCCAAGTACTACTTAACAGAAAATGTGGTACTCCAGCACAATTTAGGATCATACAGTCCTAAATTTCCTATGAAAACCTTGGATACATAAAGGGGTTTTATGGTGTAAATTGACAACCCCTTACTTATACATGGCAATTTAGAAATTAACATGAACTGAAAGGAAAAATAGAGAGAGACCCTAAGTAGGTAAAATTAACAATAGCTGATTTTCTGGTTAAGAAAACTGGAGCTCAGAGTAAGGAGTCGTTTAAGCAGCCACTGTCAGCCCACTGGCCAGTACACTTGCTACAATGTAGTCCATGATCATTTTGTTTTATAAATGCATATACTCAATATACTAAATTTTACTTTTTCCGATTATGATATATATTCACTGTAGAAAATCCGTAAAACATAAAAGAATTGAAAGAAGTCTAGGCATGGTGGCTCATGCCTATAATCCCAGCACTTTGGGAGGCCAAGACAGGTGGATCACTTAAGTTCAGGAGTATAAGACCAGCCTGGCCAACATGGTGAAACCCTGTCTCTAATAAAAATCACAAAAATTAGCTGAGTGTGGTGATGCACACCTGTAGTCCCAGCTACTCAGGAAGCTGAGGCAGGAGAATTGCTTGAACCCGGAAGGCAGAGGTTGCAGTGAGCTGAGACTGCACCACTGCACTCCAGCCTGTGCAACAAGAGCGAAACTTCGTCTCAAAAAAAATAAAAATAAAAATAAAAAATTTTTAAAAAGAAAAAGAATTAAAGAAAAGAAATATCACCCAGCCTGGGTGACAGAGTGAGTGAGACTGTCTCAAAAAATTAAAAAAAAAAAGGGCCAAGCGCGGTGGCTCACGCCAGTAATCCCAGCACTTTGGAAGGCTGAGGCGGGCAGATCACCTGAGATCCGGAGTTCAAGACCAGCCTGGCCAACATGGAGAAACCCCATCTCTACTAAAACTGCAAAATTAGCTGGGTGTGGTGGTGCATGCCTGTAATCCCAGCTACTCAGGAAGCTAAGGCAGGAGAATCACTTGAACCCGGGAGGTGGAGGTTGCGGTGAGCCGAGATCGCGCCATTGTATTCCAGCCTGGGCACCAAGAGCGAAACTCCATCTTAAAAAAAAAATAAAAATAAAAAAATTTTAAAAAGAAAAAAAGAAAAAGAATTAAAATCACTTCTCGGCCTTTTGGCTAAGATCAAGTGTAGTATCTGTTCTCATCAGTTTAGTATCTGATATGTCCTCTATCTGAGGACAATATATTAAATAGATTTTTGGAGCAGGGAGATGGAATAGGAGCTTGCTCCGTCCACTCCATGCATCGACCTGGTATTGCAGTACCTCCAGGAACGGTGCACTCGCTCCGGGGATACAAAAAAAAAAAAAAAAGAATTAAAAGAAATATCACCTAAATAATGCTTTTCTGTGTATTTACTAGTATATTTTCAGAATACCATTAAATATTTTGAAATATTACCCATAATTCAGCAACTCACAAATAACCACATTAACAGTTTGGTGTAGTACTTCCTGCATACAAGGATTTATGAATCTGTGCTACAAAAATATTTATCCACATGCTATAATTCCTGGATATCTGTCTCTATGACTTTTCAGTGAAAGCATGAAAGTTTTCCAGACATCTAAATATATCAGCACCTGATCTTTGCAACCTTAAGTTTAGGTGCAGCGAAGAGATGGAAAGCTGTTAAAACTGTTAACAAAGGAGTTGTTGGGTTATTATGTATGACCTTGATGTAAACTCTGTTACAGTTCAAATTCTGTTACAAATGCCATTCCAGTGACATCAAGCTTATCAGTCCCAAAGATAGAAGAATAGCACCATGATATTGCTGAACTTTTCAGGGCATCACTGTGGAATAGTCAAGATTCTGATTATTTCTTTATGCTTTTTTTCTACATAACATGAAGAGAAGAAATCTGCTGTATTACATTATGATTCTAGGAGTATCCAATCAACAGGTATTATTCAGCAACCAAAATGAAAAAGTGCTATCAGGAGAGTGTCAACAATAGAGAGCAGAAAGAAGAAAGCACAATAGTTGTCATAATAAGCATCTTACCATTCTTCTCTAAATCAACTGTACTAGATCACTGCAGTAGATTACTGTCACTATAGTATTGTGCAAGTTACTCCCTGCCCTGCTTGACTTTGGGCTTTTGACTTTGAGTAAGCCAAGTTTAGATCATCCACTACCCAGCAAACCCACAATTTCAAGAGAATAAATACCTATCACTGTAAGATGCTGGTATTTTGTGATTCTAAACGCCAATAGCTAACTGAAATGATACTGTGACAACAGTAGAGTCTTACTGCACTTCATCGGTAATTTAAATAATCAGGAAACCTATATGTAAATCTGGACAGTAATTCTTCCACTCTGGCCACCGCTTGACTGCCTACCTCAGAGAGATATCTGTCAAAATCTATCTATTCATCAAGATCTAATATGAAGCTTTCTTCTACAAAGCTGCTAAAGAGCTCTTCAGTTAAAACGAACTTCCCGGCCAGGCACAGTGGCTCACACCTGTAATCCCAGCACTACTAAAAAATACAAAACTTAGCCGGGCGTGGTGGTGCACACCTGTAGTCCCAGCTACTCGGGAGGCTGAGGCAGGAGAATCACTTGAACCCGGGAGGTGGAGGTGGCAGTGAGCTGAGATTGCGCTACTGCACTCCAGCCTGGGTGACAGAGTAAGACTCCATCTCAAAAAAAAGAAAAAACAAAAACAAAAACAAAAACGAACTTCCCCTCCCTTAAATTCTATAGCACTTTGTGCTTCTATTTTAGCATTTACCAAAGTGTGCCTTAACAGATATTAAGGAAACATGCCACCATATCCCACAGTTTTCCTGCTCTTCAAAGAGGAAGTATACTGCACGTAAGTAAGGCTCTCAAGTCAGACTGCCTGGATTTAATCTCAGGATACCTGCTAGCATGACTTTGAGCAAGTTACTTAACCTCTCTGGAATAATTTTCCTTAAATGAGAAATGGGGATAATAATAATACTGAATCTATCTCACAGGATTACTGGGAGGATTAAATGAAATAATATATATAAAGAGCTTAGAACAGTATATTTAGAACAGCAAATAGTACATGCTAAATAATTATAGTCAAACCTCCATAGCTGCAGGGAACTGGTTCCAGGATCCTCCCATCGGATACCAAAATCCACAGATACTCAAAAGTCTCTTATAGTGCCTTAAACGGCACATAACCTACACACATCCTCCCATATATTTCAAATCATCTCTAGATTACATATAATAATGCAATGTAAATGTTATGTAAGTAGTTGTTATACGTATTGTTTTTAATTCCCACTTTTATTGTTATATTGTTATTTTTTATTGTGGTCTCTTTTTCTGAATATTTTCAATCAATGGTTGAATTAGCAGATATGGAACCCACAAATATGAGGGACCAGCTGTTAGCTGTTAGCTATTCGTGGCTGACTGTATTAACAAAACACAAAAAATTTCTTCTGGCCGGGCGTGGTGGCTCACACCTGTAATCCCAGCACTTTGGGAGGCAGAGGCGGGCGGATCACCTAAGGTCGGGAGTTCAAGACCAGCCTGACCAACATGGAAAAACTCCGTCTCTACTAAAAATACAAAATTAGCTGGGTGTGGTGCCGCATGCCTGTAATCCCAGCTACTCGGGAGGCTGAGGCAGGAGAATAGCTTGAACCCGGGAGGCGGAGGTTGCTGTGAGCCGAGATTGTGCCATTGCACCCCAACCTGGGCAACAAGAGCGAAACTCCATCTCAAAAAAAAAAAAATTTCTTGCACCTCTGCATTCTCCTGTAATTGACAGCATCAGGTCAGGTCACAAGCCTAGGAGCAGGAAGGCAAAATCAGATACCCTGAAAGGAAAGCCAAACTACAGAAAGGAGCAAGACTTTAGAAAGAAATTCCAACTCAAGGCCGGGCACGGTGGCTCACAGCTGTAATCCCAGCACTTTGGGAGGCCAAGGCGGGCGAATCACAAGGAGGAGATCGAGACTGTCCTGGCCAACATGGTGAAACCCCATCCCTACTAAAAACACAAAAATGAGCTGGGTGTGGTGGTACGTGCCTGTAATCCCAGCTACTCGGGAGGCTGAGGCAGGAAAATCATTTGAACCAGGGAGTCGGGGGTTGCAGTGAGCTGAGATCATGCCACTGCACTCCAGTCTGGCGACAGAGTGAGACTCCGTCTCAAGGGGGAAGAAAAAAAAATATCCAACTCAGAAGGTTCATCTTAGGCAGGCAGAAATTCTCTCTCCCTTAGCTCTAGGGCTTTTGCTCCCTTGCTTCCCAATCCCCACCTTGGCCACATATAAAGGTAATCCAGGAACTAGCAGGTAGTGCCTCAGAGAACAATCATATTCTTAGTTCAACATTAATCTCAGTTATCTTTTTCACTTGTTTATCTCTGAGTCTTCTGTACAATGTTATAGCTGGTCTTATAGCTCTATCTCAATCAGGCTATGGGAAACTAAAAGGAATAAGCCTCAGACTATTCTAATTATCCAGAAATTCTCCCCAAGTACAGCAGAAATATTGTGGAACACTAGTTGAAACTGTTAAGATCCAGTGGACCCTTCCCATAGAGATTTCTTCCCCCCTCCATTGCCTATTTTAGAATGCTGAGATTGACTTATTACGGAAAGAGAAAGTTTTATTTTTATTGACTAAGTTGTTAAACTTTGGTAAATATTTTCTATTTCATCCTCAATGGATTCTCACTATACACATTTAGAAAGGACTTCTGTGCTATATTAAAATATTGCTGGCCAGGTGCGGTGGCACATGCCTGTAATCCCAGCACTTAGGGAGGCTGAGGCGGTTGGATCACAAGGTCAGGAGATCGAGACCATCCTGGCTAACACGGTGAAACCCCATCTCTACTAAAAATACAAAAAATTAGCCAGGTGTGGTGACACGTGCCTGTAATCCCAGCTATTTGGGAGGCTGAGGCAGGAGAACTGTTTGAACCCAGGAAGCTGAGGTTGCAGTGAGCTGAGATCGCACCACTGCACTCCAGCTTGGGCAATAGAGCGAGACTCCGTCTCAAAAAAAAAAAATTGCTAAAGCTGGGCATGGTGGCTCAAGCCTGTAATCCCAGCAATTTGGAAGGCTGATGCAGGAGAATAACTTGAGGCCAGGAGTTCCAGACCAGCCTGGGCAACACAGCAAGACCCCATCTCTACAAAAAAATAAAAATATAGCCAGGTGTGGTGGCACAAACCTGTAGTCCCAGCTACTCAGGAGGCTGAGGCAGAGGCATTGCTTCAGCCCAGGAGTTTGAGGCTGCAGGGAGCTCAGCCTACTGATGGCAGAGCTGCGCCCAAATAAAATAAAATACTGCTAGAAAGTAGGTGAGATTTAAAAAGTATTTTAGGCTGCGAGTGGTGGCACGCACCTGTAGTCCCAGCTACTGGAGAGGCCGAGGCACAAAGATCACTTAACCCTAGCCTGAGTTCAAGGCCAACCTGGCAACAGAGCAAGCAAGATCCCATCTCTAGAGGCCAGACGCGGTAGCTAATGCCTATAATCCCAGCACTTTGGGAGGCCGAGGCGGTCGGATCACCTGAGGTCAGGAGTTCAAGAATAGCCTGGCCAACATGGTGAAACCCCGTCTACAAAAATACAAAAATTAGTCAGGGATGATGGCAGGTGCCTGTAATCCCAGCTACTTAGGAGGCTGAGACAGGAGAATTGCCTGAACCTGGGAAGCGGAGGTTGCAGTGAGTTGAGATCGTGCCATTGCACTCCAGCCTGGGTGACAGAGCAAGACTCCATCTCAAAAAAAAAAAAAAAAAAAAAGCAGATCCCATCTCTAGGCCAGGCATAGTGACTCACGCCTGTAATCCCAGCACTTTGGGAGGCCAAGGTGGGCGGATCACTTGAAGTCAGGAGTTCGAGACCAGCCCGGGCAACACGGTGAAACCCTGTCTCTACTAAAAACACAAAATTTAGCTGGGCGTGGTGGCACATGCCTGTATTCCCAGCTACCTGGGAGGCTGAGGCACAAGAATTGCTTGAACCCAGGAGGTAGGGGCTGCAGTGAGCCAAGGTTGCACCACTGTACTCCAGCCTGGGTGACAGAGTGAGACCCTGTCTCAATTAAGTTTTTTTAAAAAAAAGAGATCTCTTTTGAAAGTTTATTTTCTAATTTAGCAATAAATAATTTCTAAAACTACTCAAAGTTGAATTTTTACTCCACATCTAATAATTCACTTTTGATAATTTATGAAAATCTACTATAAACATAAATTTAGAAAATTAGCAAAAAGAGGCCGGACACGGCAGCTCACGCCTGTAATCTCAGCACTTTGGGAGGCCAAGGCGGGCAGATCACCTGAGGTTGGGAGTTCGAGACCAGCCTGACCAACATGGAAAAGCCCTGTCTCTACCAAAAATACAAAATTAGCTGGGTGTGGTGGTGCATGCCTGTAATCCCAGCTACAGGGGAGGCTGAGGAAGGAGAATCACTTGAACCTCAGAAGCAGAGGTTGCAGTGAACTGAGTTTGCACCATTGCACTCCAGCCTGGGCAACAAGACCAAAACTCCATCTCAAAAAAAAAAAAATACAACAAAATTAGCCAGGCAAGGTGGTACACGCCTGTAATTCCAGCTACTTAGGAGGCTGAGGCAGGAGAATCATTTGAACCCAGGAGGCGGAGGTTGCAGTGAACCGAAATTGTGCCACTGCACTCCAGTCTGGGCAACAGAGCGAGACTCAGGGTATCTCAGACAAAAAAAAAGAAAATAGGCAAAAAGAATTACCACTAATTTCATACCCCAACACCTATAAGAGTACCCAGAAAACAAACTGTTTGAAAGCCAATTTAAACTGGGAATAGGTAAAGTATACACAAAAACTCAGACAACTTAAACTAAGAACTAGTTTCAGATGTTCATCCCACTACCTGGTAATCAATTTCACTGATGTAAAGAAAATTCCATTACAGTGAAACATCTGACAATTTATTTTAAAATGTAATCTGTTTAGATACCTCTGTTTCCTGAAGTAAGTAAGCAAGTTTACTTAATCACATTAATTCACCCAGTATTATGTCAACAGTGACATCATTAAGGGAAGTCACGCAGGAGATCATGTTAGTGCCTTCCGAAGTTAACCTCAAAAAAAGAGATGCCTCCTAAACATTCCTAGCATTATGACCCACAAACTTGGCCGATACCATTTTTATTTTTAGCCTTAACATCCAACTAGCATAGCACCTACGGTAGCAAGTCTCAAAAGGTGGCCCCCAGCAATTCCCCCTTCCTTGTTTATGCACGCCACCCTTCCTATCAATAGGTAGACATTATTTCTCCTCCCTCTGTAGTTGGCCTTGACTGGCTTTGACCCACAGTGACATTCTTGGACTTCCAAATCTAGGATTTAGAAGACTGGCAGTCTCTACCTCCTGTCTCCTGGAATGTCCCTTCTTAGAACCTTGCCACCACACTTTAAGGAAATCCAAGCAGCCAGGTAGAGAAAGGCCCATATAGAGGAGAAGTGAAGGTCTTTCCCACACCTCAGCCAATACCAAGTGAAGCAGAAAAACCATCAGATTTGAGGGGAAAAATAATTGTTTTTTTTAAGCTAAGTTTTGAGGTTGTCTGTTAAACAGCAAATATTTACCCTTTATACTGTTTCATTTATCTATCAGCTCTATAAATAAAACAATACATTCTAAAATTATTTCATCTATTTCAAGCTACTGTACTTGATTCTGGGATTGGCTGGACAAGAATATATTTATCCTGTTTTTAAAAATAAACGTGGCTTGGCAAGGTGGCTCACGCCTGTAATCCCAACAATGGGAGGCCAAGGCAGGAGGACCCCTTGAGCCCAGGAGTTCAAAAACCACCCCTGTCAACAAAGGGCGACCCTTGTCTCTACAAAAACAAAAAAGAAAAAAAAAATAGCCAGCATAGTGGTGTGTGCCTGTAGCCACTTGAGACGCCGAGGCAGGAGGATCATGTGAGCCTGGGAGTTTGAGGCTGCAGCAAGCTATGACTGCACTCTAGCCTGGGCAACATAGTGAGACCCTGTCTCAAAGGTGAAAACAAAAATAAAGTTCAAATTCCTCCTCAGTATGTCTTTTCAACCCCTATCTTAAACGTGCTTGTGTGTGTGTGTTTGTGTGTTTTGGGGTCTATATTCCCTCAATCATTTTCATTTCTCTTCTTAGGTTCTCTTCAAGTTTCCATTTATACTTTTGTTAACCAAAAAAGTATTAAGAAAGGTCCTTGAGGACCTGCTAAAGCTGAATGAGAGACATTAGCACGTAAGTTAATGTAAACCGTTGCTTTCAATATCATTTATTTGTTTTTAAAAGTTAAACATTCTGCTTAAACTTTTTTCACAAGTAAAACAATAAGCTTTAAGTCTCGATCACGTGTGAATTATGGTCATCTCTGAATCAGCAGTCTTATTAACAGGATTTTATTGTAAAATTCTTTATCAAGGCACTTTAGTATAGCAATGAGCAAATTTGTGAGAGTATCCATTTCATTCTGGCATTTTAAACTAATTTTACATTTGTTTAAACCATGGAAATCATGACATCTGTATAAAAGTTGTCATTAGCGATTCACAATTGAGGGAAAGGTTAAGACCAGAACAAAGCCAAATAGTAATAAAAATGCCCGTTTGATTAAAAGGATAGTTCTTCCATGTGTACTGTGCACTAATTATTTGATGCTAGCTCAAATAGCTTCCTTTTTTTTTTTTTTTTTTTTTGAGACAGAGTCTCGCTCTGTCACCCAGGCTGGAGTGTAATGGCACGATCTCAGCTCACTGCAACCTCCACCTCCTGGGTTCAAGTGATTCTACTGCCTCAGCCTCCCGAGTAGCTGGGACTACAGGTGCGCGCCACCAGGCCTGGCTAATTTTTGTATTTTTAGTAGAGACAGGGTTTCACCATGTTGGCCAGGATGGTCTCAATCTCCTGACCTCGTGTTCCGCCCGCCTCAGCCTCCCAAAGTGCTGGGATTACAGGCATGAGCCACCACGCCTGGCCAATATCTTCCTTTTTTGTTTGTTTGTTTTTTTGAGACGGAGTCTTGCTCTGTCGCCCAGGCTGGAGTGCAGTGGCGCGATCTTGGCTCACTGCAAGCTCCACCTCCCGGGTTCACGCCATTCTCCTGCCTCAGCCTCCCGAGTAGCTGGGACTACAGGCGCACGCTGCCACACCCGCCTAATTTTTTGTATTTTTAGAGAGACGGAGTTTCACCATGTTAGCCAGGATGGTCTCGATCTCCTGACCTCGTGATCCGCCTGCCTCGGCCTCCCAAAGTCCTGGATTACAGGCATGAGCCACCGCACCCGGCCTATCTTCCTTTCTTAAAACTGACTCTGAATAAACAGACATGTTATAGCAGGGTAAATGGCACCAAAGGGAAGTTGTGACTTACTCAGATTCATAAGACTGTTACTGCACTGAAAGAGAATACCCAATCTCAAACTCTCCATTCTCTGTTTCTTTTATTAAGGTGTCATTCTGGTGACCCTCTTCTAGTTGACCTTTTCTCAAATGGCAGCCAAAACAGCAGGCAAGGTCAATAATGAAAGTAACTAAAATTAAAAGAAAAAATTGGCTTCTCCCTATGAAAACTGATTCAAGATTTAATAATGTGTGGTGCTCTAAAAGCTGCAACTACTATATGGTCATCTCCAAGTCCACTTTAACTCAACCAGGGAGGCCATTATCAAAACATAACTCACTGGTACAAAGCAGAGATTAAGTAGCTGAGAATGTTACTAGGCTGAAGTCTAACTGAGAGTAAAAAGGATGATCTCATAATGTCTCTTTATGATCTGTAAATCACATTATTCCATAAATCTGACACAAATGTCAGGATTAGGATTAAGAGTCAACCCTCTGCTGGGCGCTGTGGCTCACACCTGAAATCCCAGCACTTTGGGAGGCCAAGGTGGGCGGATCACGAGGTCAGGAGATGAGACCATCCTGGCCAACATAGTGAAACCCCGACTCTACTAAAAATAAAAAATTAGATGGGCGTGGTGGCCCACACCTGTAGTTCTAGCTACTCGGGAGGCTGAGGCAGGAGAATCGCTTGAACCCAGGAGGCGGAGGCTGCACCACTGCACTCCAGCCTGGGCGACAAAGCAAGACTCCATCTCAAAAGAAGAAAAAAAGGAGTCAACCCTCTAAGTAGGAAAACAAAAATAAGCAGTAACAGTTTTCTAACTTAAGTGTAGTAACTTTCACTTACTTCTAAAGTCCAGTAAAAGTTCAAGGTCTCTTCTTCATATTTAGAATTTTAATGTTGGGCAGAAATCCAAGAACCTTCTTCAGGCTCAATGAAATTTTGTTAATGATACCCCTGAATTTTAATTAGGTGTTTTCGAAAACACTAATGCAAGATAAAGTTTTAGTGAATTTGACTAGATTCCAAAAAAGTATTCTTATAAATGGGGCAGTTTAAAGTCTAAAATTCAATTTTGTTAGTATCCATGTTTATCTGGATTTGTTACGGTATTTTAGGCAAAGATACAAAATAGCTATTTTTTTAAGCAAAGGAGTAAGATTTGGAGTGACAAGTCACAATAACTTCTGAAAAAGCAAGACTGGACTGCAAATAATATCAATGTCCCTAAGGCCACCTGTTAAGCTTAAAATCTATGCATTCCATCATTCTTTAGTTGTAACCACAAAGTCTGGTTTTACACCTAGGAAATACAAAAAGCATCAGATTAAAAGCATCAAATATCAGACTATACGAGTTTGCCAAAGATAAGCACAGCAAAAAGAAAAGCGTGATACAAAGTTAAAGAAATATGTTCCAAGGGGTTTAAGCACACCCACAAAATCCAATCTTTGCTCACACTGTGCTTCAACCTAAAACTGACGGGTAACCACAAATCCTGACTTATCCCTGACTTACTTCCCTCTACCAACCTCCACCCTTTTTATCTCCTAAATTTCTCAACTGATCTCATCACTTCTTATGGGTCTTTGCAACTCTCATCTCCACGGCCTTTCCTTTCCCAGAAAATGATACAAAGCACCTGGCCTCCACATTTTACCGTCCCACAATTTACCTTTAAATTTTGTTTTGCTTACCCTATTAGATACTCATTTTGCCCCAATCTCCTGTACCCATGTTTCCCTGACAATCTGCTCTTACTTTTCATCACCTTGTCCTTATTACAGTATTTAGCTTCTCCTTTCAAAGTAGCGTTATGTACCCCTCCCTGACATTTGTAATTCTAGCTTACAGTCAACACCCTTTTCCCCTCCCAGGGACTGTCATTATAGCCCTAGGTCCTCATTCCCAGTCCTTATCTTCTTTAGTGAGGCCTCTTCCCTTCCAGAGTTTGTCAACAGTAGTTTGGCCAAGCTGGGATTCCACCCTCAAGGCAAAGGCTATCCTCCCTCCTCATTCTACAAAACTATAAGCCTCTCACCAGCCCTAGCGTTCCCTCCTCCACCCTTAAATCCATCTGCATCCAGCCCTGCCCGTTCCCCTCTACCCACCGTATCTGTCTTCACTCTATCCCGCGCTCCCTTCCCCAGTCGTGAATGCACCTCCTCTCCCGGGCCTTACCGGTAACCCTGACACCAGGAAGGCCCCGCCAGCGGCCTCACGGCGTTTCTCCAGAGAGCTTCCTCCGCTTTTCAGTAACAGTCCCCACGCCCCTTTCCCTCCAGGGCCCCGCGCGCCGCCTGGAGCCCCCTCCTCGATTAAGCTCCCGCTGTCACTTGGCCTCTCATCCACAAGATGGCGGAGCCGCTGCCCCCACCCCTGGGTCCGCTCCGCAACCCCCAGCCTCCTTTCTGGAGCTCCCATCCCATCCCTCCAGCCGCTCCGCCGCCAGCCTCGGCCCAGGGTCCCGCTGCCCGGTCCCGCAGTGGGCGGGCGGCCCAGGCCAGCGACGCCGCCAACGCCAGCGCCTCCACCGTTCCCCGGCCTCCACCGTCTCCTCACCATAAACTTGAGTGCCTTCTCTTGCAGCACCGCCTCGGCCGGGTCCATAATCGCCGAGGCCACTGGGTCCGCTCTCCGCCGGGGCCGCCCCTTTGGTGCCAGGCCGCAGCCAACGCAGCGCCCGGATCCCGCCTCCTCTTCCTTCCCCCCGCCCTCTCTTACCTCTCAGGCGCAGGCTGAGGGGCCAAGGAGAATCGGCTTCTCCGTGCGCAGGCGAAAGCCCACTGGCTCACGGGATTTGTAGTTCTGGAACTTCCCCCAGGAAAAAAACTGAGGCTACGCCGTGAACCGCAACTCCCACAGTTCACTGCGGCAGCGTTGCGGTTGCCCACAAGCCAGATTTAGATAAGTTGCCATTACGCAGAGGAAATCGGCTGATGGGAATTGTAGTTTACAGCCTCTAAGGATGAGAAACGGGAGGGGCACGGGTGTCTCCGTGGTTACCGAGCGACGCCAGTAGCGGCTTGCCTGGCATTTGATATCAAGATGGCGGCCAATGCCTCACTTGTAGCCCAAATACTAAGAAAAACTGTGGCAAGAATCACGGGTCCTAGGACCTGCCTAACTGTGGTTTTAGGAAGCTGAACGTCCCCAAATTTCATGTATCTGGCATCTGCAGGTTTGCGACCCAGAGTAGCTGGGCCAATGGGCACCTGGCAGCAGCTCACAGACAAATGCGGAATTTCAAGGTCCTCCTAAGCCATCGCCACCCACACTTCTCCCGAGGAATCTTTTCTCCCCCACAGCAAGTCAGGGCCGAATAGAACTCGGTTCAAGAAATTCTCAGTGTTTAGAGCTCAAAAAGCACATAACTTGCTATTGCTAACTGTGGGATGTAAGCCCTGCACTAAGGGTCAAACAGGTACTTAACAAAAGTCCTTCAACGGTGGAATATAATGGCCTCCAGCAAATAAAGCATATAAATATTTTCTTTGGCCTGAAAAGGTACAATATGGGTTTATTTTGGAAATTGGGTCTACCTTAGGAGGAGAAAACTCTAGGGTTTGGTTAAAAGTGATTTAGGTTGTTTTAAGCTGCTATGTTTGTGATAATTGGTTATACAGCCTAAAAAACTGACACACACCCAAATGCCCCTCAGCAGGTGGTTGTATGAACAAATTGTAGCATATTCCATATGTAGCACAGTGGAATATTACTTAGCAATGAAAAAGAACAGTATAACAACAACAACAACAACAAAAGTGATTTAGGGCCAGGCGCGGTGACTGACGCTTGTAATCCCAGCACTGTGGGAGGCTAAGGCGGGTGGATCACCTGAGGTCAGGAGTTCGAGACGAGCCTGGCCAACATGGAGAAACCCCCGTCTCTACTAAAAATACAAAAATTAGTCGGGCCTGGTGGCACGCGCCTGTAATTCAAGCTACTCGGCAGGCTGAGGCATGAGAATTGCTTGAACCCGGGAGGCGGAAGTTGCAGTGAGCCGAGATCACGCTACTGCACTCCAGGCTGGGCAACAGAACGAGACTCTGTCTAAAAAAAAAAAAAAAAAAAAGTGAGTTAGATTGTGACAGCCTTGTACAAAATATCTGAATTTATAAAATAAATGAACTAGGAAAATACTTTTTGACTTATAGGAAAAAATCTCCATTTTAAACTATCTTATTCACTCAGTCATCCAACAAATGGTAAGCATATAACCGTGTGCAGACATCATCTCAAGAAATAGGGATTCATCACTACTTGGGTGGCTAAAATATCAGACTTCACCACTATAATTCATCTATATAACCAAAAACCACTTGTACCCCAAAAACTATTGAAATAAAAATAAAAGTAATTAATTAAACAAAAAGAAAAAGGAATGGGGATTCATTAATGAACAAGACAGACCCAGTTATTTCCTCGTGGAGCTTACACTTTTACTCTGTTGATACTTTGTCCTAGCCCCTATATCCACAAAACTCAGCATGATACTTAATACATAATAGGCTTTCAGTTAATAAAAAGTTTTGTTCTTGAATTTTTAAAAAAATTCTACACAAGTGCAAAATGGAGAAGACTTCAAACGCATTCGTATGAAAACTAGCTGGAGGTTTTCAGAGGACTAAGGCAGTAACAGGATGGAGTTACAAAAAAAATAAATAAATAAATAAATGAAAAGATAAGGTGGGATGATGGTGCAGCCACTGGAAAAGAGTATTCCAGGCAAAGGTAACTGCATTTTTGGTGATTGATTCTGAGAACCAAAACAAGATCAGTGGGACTTTAGAGGAAGAGTGGCCCTAGATGAGACTGCAGAAGAGTATGGGGCTCTATAGGCAAGCCATTATTTAGCCGGCATAAACTGGTCAGATAAATCAGCTGACATGCTTTCTAAACTGGCATCAGGGCCTGTACCTTACCAGATATAAAATACCTTGACTTTCACTCCAGCTTATAGGCCAAGTTCAGTCATTTAGACTGTATCCTGAGAGCTGTGAGAAACTAGCTGAACAATTTAAAAAATGGTCAGATTTGCATTTTCAGAAAATCACTCAGAGTCCAGGGTGGAGGAGAGATTAAAATGGAGCACAGCTGGAAGCTTGGGGAAAGGATTATGAGGTTGCTGAAATATTCCTGGGAGAGATGATGGCAGCCTGAATGTGGTGGTGAGAACAGAAAGAAGTAGATGGATTCCAGAGATACTAAGAAGATAGAATCAGTGGAGTATGGTGATTGATTAGATGTGTCATGGATGATGTCAAAAGGATGTGTCAAAGATGACTTCTATGTATCTGGCTCAGGTAATGAATGAGGGATGCCATATATATGTATTTTTTTCTTTTTTTTGACAGAAAGCACAGTAGAAGTGGTAGGAGGATAATCAGTTCTCTTTTTGGACATATTGCTTCAAGGTGCCTGTGAGATTTCTAAGTGGATTCAGATGTTGAGGAGGCCATTGGAGATTTGAAACTGAAGTTGGAGGGAAAGACCTGGGCTACAAATAGGGATTCCAGCATGTAGGTGGTAAATGAAACTCCACTCCCGCTTCTTCCCCCGAAAAGAATGAAATCATCCAGGGAGCTGGGCATGGTGACTCACACTGGAAATCCCAGCACTTTGGGAGGCTGAGGCAGGTGGATTACCTGAGGTCAGGAGTTCGAGACCAGCCTAGCCAACATGGTGAAACCCCATCTCTATGAAAAATACAAAATTAGCTGGGTGGGGTGGTGCTCACCTGTAGTCCTAGTTACTCAGGAGGCTGATGCAGGAGAATCGCTTGAACCCAGAAGGTGGAGGTTGCAGTGAGCCGAGATCACACCACTGCACTCCAGCCTGGGTGGCAGAGCAAGACTCTGTCTCAAAAAAATAAATAAATAAAATAAAGAAAGAAAAGAAATCACCCAGGGAAAGCATAAACAGTGGAAAGAGCAACAGGACTAGGACAGGGTCCTAAAGAACTGTAAGATTTATAGGACGAGCACAGGAAGAGGAGCCTACAAAGTAGCCCAAGAAGTGACCAGAGAGGTAGCAGGAAAGTCTGGTGAGTGAGGATCATGAAGGGGTTAGGGGGTGCAGATGCCACACTGCAGCCTGTTGAAGAGGGAGGTGAGGATATGAAGACTGCTGAGTCTCTTCTTTACAAAACGTGGCTATCTAGGGAAGGAGAGAAAAGCTAGCACAGTGGTGGGATGTAGAAGTTGAGAGTCTAAGGAAAGCATTGTTTTGTCTGAAAGAAGGAAGATTTTAGTTCAAAGGAAATTGAAGAAGCATGGCAACTAAATGCAATGAATGATCCCTGATTGGACACAGGAACAACACACATACACTGACACTGATACACAGCAGAGAAAACAGCTATAAAAGGCATTAATAGGGCCAGGTGCAGTGGCTTACACACAGGTGTGGGAAGCCAAGGCAGGAGGATCTCTTGAGCCCAGAAGTTCAAGACCAGGTTGGCAACCTGGCAAGACCTTGTCTCTCTCTCTCTTTTTTGAGACTGAGTCGCGCTCTGTTGCCCAGGCTGGAGTACAGTGGTGCGATCTCGGCTCACTGCAAGCTCTGCCTCCCAGGTTCACGCCATTCTCCTGCCTCAGCCTCCCAAGTAGCTGGGACTACAGGCACCTGCCACCTCGCCTGGCTAATTTTTTGTATATTTAGTAGAGACGGGGTTTCTCTGTGTTAGCCAGGATGATCTCTATCTCCTGACCTCATGATCCACCCGCCTCAGCCTCCCAAAGTGCTGGGATTACAGGCGTGAGCCACCGCGCCCAGCCTAATTTCTGTATTTTTAGTAGAGACAGGGTTTCACCATGATGGCGAGGCTGGTCTTGAACTCCTGACCTCAAGTGATCCACTCGCCTCGGCTTCCCAAAATGCTGGGATTACAGGCGTGAGCCACCATGCCCCATGCCCAGCTCTTAAAAAAATAAAATTAAATAAATAAAGACATTAGTGAAACAGTCAGGGAAAAACTGAATATGGGCTGTGTATTAGATAACAGTATTTTATCAATGTTAAGTTTTCTGAGTGTGATAACTGTGAGAATAAGAAAATCAGAGAATGTCTTAGATGATACATGCTGAAGTATTTAGGGTGAAATGTTATGATACCTGCAGCTAACTCTCAATTGGTTTAGGAAATAAGGAAGGTGTCTATGTGGAGTGAGAGAGAAAGAGGGAAGGAGGAAGGGAGGGAGAAAGACAACTAAAGCGAACGTGGCAAAATGTTAAGAATTGATGGATCTGACTGGGTGTGGTGGCTCACATTTATAATCCCAGTACTTTGGGAGGCCAAGGTGGGCAGATCACTTGAGGTCAAGAGTTCCAGACCAGCCTAGCCAACAAGGTGAAATGGTGTCTCTATTAAAAATACAAAAAATTAGCCAGGCATGGTGGTGTGTGCCTCTAATCCCAGCTACATGGAAGGCTGAGGCAGGAGAACCCCTTGAACCCGGGAGATGGAGGTTGCAGTGAGCCGAGATTGCACCACTGCACTCCAGCCTGGGTGACAAAGAGAGACTCTGTCTCAAAAAAAAAAAAAGGAAAATTGATGGATCTAAGTGAAGGGTTGTAGGAATTCGTTGTACTCTTCTTGCAACTTTTCTGAGGGTTTGAAATTTTCCAAAATTTAAACTTGGGGAATAAAATGAAGTGAGATACTTGAGCATATTTAAATGCTGATAGAAAGGATCCATTAGAGAAAGGCTAAGGATGAAAGAAAGAGGATAATGATGGCAACAGTTCCTGAGAAGACAGGACAGAAAGGGATCTAGGAACAGATGGAGGGATTAGCCTCCTCTGAGAGACAGGAGGAGGAGCGTATGAGGACAAATAAAGTTAAGTTTAGAATTGGCAGAGAAAGGTTAAGGTAGTCCCTTCTTCTTCTTCTTTTTTGAGATGGAGTCTTGCTCTGTTGCCCAGGCTGGAGTGGAGTGCAGTGGCACGATCTCTGCTCACTGCAACCTCTGCCTCCCTGGTTGGATTATCCTGCCTCAGCCTCCTGCGTGGCTGGGATTACAGGAACACACCATTACGCATGGCTAATTTTTGTATTTTAGTAGAGACGGGATTTCACCATGTTGGTCAGGCTGTTCTCAAACTCCTGACCTTGTGATCCACCTGCCTCAGCCTCCCAAAGTGCTGGGATTACAGGCATGAGCCACTGCGCCCGGCCAAGGTAGTCCCTTCTAATAGGTGTCGCAATAGGCAAGTAACAATTTCTGCCATACAAAGAAATAAAATTTTTGTATTTTCTGTTCTTCTGGATTATGTTTTTCCCTTTTCTTTTATTAGCACAATTAGTGGAAAAGTCGCTTTTCTTTTTAAATTAATATTGTTTTAAATTGAGAGATCGTAATTGTATACATTGATGGAGTACCATGTGATGCTTTGATATATGTATAGGATGTGGAATGGTTAAATCAACCTAATTAACATATCCATCACCTCACTTACTTGTCCTTTTTTGTGATGAGACATGTGAAATTTACTCTTAGTTATTTTGAAATATACGATACATTACTATTGGCTATAGTTATCCTACTATGTAACCCAGCCAGAATTTCCTTCTTTTTAAAGGCTGAATAGTATTTTATTGTGTATATATACCACATTTGGCTGGCCTGTTTGTAATCCCAGCACTTTGGGAGGCCAAGGCAGGTGGATCACAAGGTCAGGAGATCGAGACCATCCTGGCTAACATGGTGAAACCCCGTCTCTACTCAAAAAAATTGGCCGGGCGCGGTGGCTCACGCCTGTAATCCCAGCACTTTGGGAGGCTGAGGCGGGCGGATCACGAGGTCAGGAGATCGAGACCATCCTGGCTAACACGGTGAAACCCCGTCTCTACTAAAAATACAAAAAAAATTAGCCGGGCGAGGTGGCGGGCGCCTGTAGTCCCAGCTACGCTGGAGGCTGAGGCAGGAGAATGGCGTGAACCCCGCGGGGCGGAGCCTGCAGTGAGCCGAGATCGCGCCACTGCACTCCAGCCTGGGTGAAAGAGCGAGACTCCGTCTCAAAAAAAAAAAAAAAAAAAAATTAGTCGGGCATGGTGGTGTGTGCCTGTAGTCCCAGCCTCTTGGGAGGCTGAGGCAGGAGAATCGCTTGAACCCAGGAGGCGGAGGTTGCAGTGAGCCGAGATCATGCCACTGCACTCCAGCCTGGGTGACAGAGCGAGACTCAGTCTCAAAAAAAAAAAAAAAAAAAAAAAGGGCCGGACATGGTGGCTCACGCCTGTAATCCCAGCACTTTGGGAGGCTGAAGTGGGTGGATCAGGAGGTCAGGAGATCTAGACTATCGCGGCTAACGCGGTAAAACCCCGTTTCTACTAAAAATACAAAAAATTAGCCAGGCGTGGTGGCAGGCCCCTGTAGTCCCAGCTACTGGGGAGGCTGAGGCAGGAGAATGGTGTGAACGTGGGAGGTGGAGCTTGCAGTGAGCCAAGATAGTGCCACTGCACTCCAGCCTGGGCGACAGAGCGAGACTCTATCTCAAAAAAAAAATAATAAAATAAAAAATATATATGTATATGTATATATGTGTTTATGTATATGTATATATGTGTGTATATATAATCACATTTTCTTTATCCATTCATCTGGTGATGGATACGTAGGTTGATTTCATATCTTGGCTATTATGAATAATACTGTAAGGAATATAGGAGTGCAGATATTCCTTTGACAGACACACTGATTTCAATTCATTTGGGAAGTGGGATTGCTGGATCCAAAAGTAGCTTTCCGGCTGGGCGCAGTGGCTCATGCCTGTAATCCCAGCACTTTCAGAGGCTGAGGTGGGTGGATCACCAGAGGTCAGGAGTTCAAGACCAGCCTGGCCAATATGGTGAAACCCCGTCTCTACTAAAAACACAAAAATTAGCTGGGCATGGTGGCGGGCGCCTGTAATCCCAGCTATTCGGGAGGCTGAGGCAGGAGAATCGCCTGAACCAGGGAGGCGGAGGTTGCAGTGAGCCAAGGTCATGCCACTGCACTCCAGCCTGGGCCACAAGAGTGAAACTCCATCTCAAACAAACAAAAAAACAAGTAGCTTTTTTTAGATTAGTGCTATTCTAGATAGTAATTCTCAACTGGGGGCAATTTTGTTCCCTGGAAGACATATAGCAATGTCTAGAGATATTTCTGGTTGTCACAACTAGGGACAATGGGAGCTGCTACTGGCATCTAGTGGGTAAAGACCAGAGATGCTGCCGAACATCTTATGATGCACAGGACAGCCCCCCACAACAAAGAATTGTCCAGCCCAAAATGTCAATAACCCTGAAGTTGAGAAACCCTGTTCTAAACCAAGGCTGTCCAAAATATTATTAATCGTATATTGGAACTCAAATATAACTCTGTTCATGCCCTAGGTGACTTTAAGTAATAAAACGAGTAATTATGAGTCATCGTTCATTTATCCATTCACTACAAACTTATTTTATACAGTACAATATACCACAGTGTTTAACAGCATTGGGCTCTGGAGGCAGACTACTTAGGTTCAAATCTGACTTCTATTCCTGTGTGTCATTTTCCTTATCTGTAAAATAATGATTATCACAGTAACTTCTTCATAGGATTGCTCTAAGAATGAAATCAATTTATAAACATAACACACTTAGAGCATTGGTACATACTAAGAACTCAGTAAGTGTTAACCATTATTATTGTAATGATTAACTCTCTGCCATGAAGGGTACACAGAGAAACAAGAGACATTTCCTTCCTCACTGTCTATGAGAAAACTTGGAAGAAAAAAAAAAAAACCAAGACTACAATGTATTGTGATTATCGCTATGAGTGAAGAGTGTGGGAAATGCTATGGTAGCATCCAATAGGATGTTAACTAGCTCTGCTTGGGAAATAGAAAAAGACAAAAGCAATAATATTTGAACTGAACTGTAAAGGATAAAGACTAATTACACTTTGTTTACTATTTCTTTGTTAACACTTTGTCTTCATAGGCGTGAGCACCTGTTTTGTTTGTTTTTAGTGTGGCAGCCTATTATTAAGAAATGTGTGGCCAAGGCCAGGCATGGTGGCTCATGCCTATAATCCCAGCACTTTGGGAGGCCGAGGCAGGCAGATCACCTGAGGTCGAGACTAGTCTGGCCAATATAGTGAAACCCCTTCTCTACTAAAAATACAAAACTTAGCCAGGTGTGGTGGTGGCCACCTGTAATCCCAGCTACTCGGGAGGCTGAGGCAGGAGAATTGCTTGAACCTGGGAGGCGGAGGTTGTAGTGAGCCAAGATGGCATCATTGCACTCCAGCCTGGGCCACAAAAGCGAAACTCCATCTCAAAACAAACAAATAAAAAGAGAAATGCAGCTGGACGCAGTGGCTCACACTTGTAATCCCAGAACTTTGGAAGGCAGAGAGGCAGGATGATCACTTGAGCTAAGGAGATCAAGACCAGGCTAGGTAGGCAACATAGCAAGACCTCATCTCTACCAAAAATTACAAAAATAGTTAACCATGCATGGTGGCACATCCCTGCAGTCCCAGCTACTCGGGAGGCTAAGGCAGGAGGATTGCTTGAGCCTCAGAGGTCGAGGCTGCAGTAAGCTATGATCCACGGCACTCCAGCCCGGGTGACAGAGTGAAACCCTGTCTCAAAAAAAAAAAAAAAAAAAAAAAAGAAAAGAAAGAAATGCGAGTACGTGAGAAGTTACTGAAGGTACAGTCTGGTCTGCACAGAGGCCTGTCAAACGTCATCACCTGCACTTCCTTCCATGGAGTAAAGAAAAGCAGGCAAGGGGCCGGGTGCGATGGCTCACGCCTGTAGTCCCAGCACTTTGGGAGGCGAGGTCGGCGGATCACCTGAGGTGGGGAGTTCAGGACCAGCCTGACCAACATGGAGAAACCCGTCTCTACTAAAAATGTAAAATTAGCCGGGCGTGGTGGTGCGTGCCTGTAATCCTAGCTACTCGGGAGACTTAGGCAGGAGAATCGCTTGAACCCGGGAGGCGGAGGTTGCTGTGAGCCGAGATTGCACCATTGCACTCCAGCCTGGGCAACAAGAGTGAAAGTCCGTTTCAAAAAAGAAGTGCAGGCAGGTGAGATTGAGAGAATTGGATTTCTTTCCTTCTTTCTTTCTTTTTGAGACAGAATCTCGCTCTGTCGCCCAGGATGGAGTGCAGTGGGGCGATCTCGGCTCACTGCAAGCTCCGCCTCCCGGGTTCACGCCATTCTCCTGCCTCAGCCTCCCAAGTAGCTGGGACTACAGGGGCCCGCCACCACGCCCGGCTAATTTTTTGTATTTTTAGTAGAGACGGGGTTTCACCATGTTAGCCGGGATGGTCTCGATCTCCTGACCTCTTGATCCACCCGCCTCGGCCTCCGAAAGTGCTGGGATTACAGGCGTGAGCCACTGCGCCCAGCCCTTTACTTTTTTTAGACAGTCTGGCTCTATCGCCCAGGCTGGAGGGCAGTGGGGTGATCTCGGCTCACTGCAAGCTCCTCCTCCCAGGTTCACGCCATTCTCCTGCCTCAGCCTCCCGAGTAGCACGCTGCCACGCCCGGCTAATTTTTTTTTTTTTTTTTTTTTTTTTTTTTAGTAGAGACGGGGTTTCACTGTGTTAGCCAGGATGGTCTTGATCTCCTGACCTCGTGATCCGCCCGCATCGGCCTCCCAAAGTGTTGGGATTACAGGCATGAGCCACCGCGCCCAGCCTACTTTAGTATTTCTTACACTCGAATACATTCTATGTTACTAGTATACAACCGCCAAAATTGGGAAATTAACATCGATACATACCTACCATCTAATCCTCAGAATCCACTCAAGTTTTGCCAGTTGTCCCAATAATGTCCTTTATTGCAGAAGGATCTAGTTCAGATTCACAAATTATATTTAGCTGTCATATCGCTTTGGTCTCCTTCAATATGAAACAATTCCTTCATCTCTTCTTTAACTTTCATGACCATGACACTTTTGAAGCTTACAGGCCAGTTATTTTGTAGAATGCTCCTTAATTTTGATTTATCTGATGTTTCCTTTTTTTTTTTTTTTTGAGATGAAGTCTCACTCTTGTTGCCCAGGCTCGAGTGCAGTGGCCCAATCTCAGCACACTGCAACCTCCACCTCCCGGGTTCAAGCGATTCTCCTGCCTCAGCCTCCTGAGTAGCTGAGATTACAGGCACCTGCCACTAAGCCTGGCTAATTTTTGTATTTTTCATACAGACGAGGTTTCACCATGTTGGCCAGAATGATATCAACCTCCTGATCTCAGGTGATCTGCCCGCCTCGGTCTCCCAAATTGCTGGGATTACAGGCATGAGCCACCGTGCCTGGCTGTGATGTTTCTTCATCATTAGATCCAGGGTATGCATCTGTATTAGTTATCTATTGTTGCATAACAAATAACCCTGAAAATTAACAGCTTAAAACAATAATAAGCATCTTTTTAAATCTGACATGCATTAGAAATTAAGGAACAATTTAGCTGAATGTTCTACCCAGTGTCTCACAAGATTGGAGTCAGTGTTGGCCAGGGCTCTAGCCATCTGAAGGTTTAACTGGGGCTGGAGGATCTCCTTCCAATATGGCTCACTCATGTGGCTGGCAATTTGGGGGTGACTGATCGCAGAATACTTTATTTCCTTGTCATGTGAACCTCTCCATAGGGCTGCTTATGGGACCTCACAACATGGTGGCTAATTTTTCCCAGACTAAGGCAGAAGCCCCAGTACCTTGTATAACCTAGCCTTGGGCGTCACCTTCCATCATTTCTGTAATATCTTATGGAACCAGGGTTCTTTTACAGGTAGTCTAACTCCAGATCTTAAATGCAGTGACAGTTTTTTATTTATTAACACATGTATCCAAAGCAGGAATTCATGTCTAAACAAACAAAAAGAGTATTCACCTTGGTTATAAAGATATACTTCATATATTTGCTACATATGTTTCCCAGGTTGGGAGATTAATCAGTTTTTAGTCTTCAGTGCTGACAAAGCTATCTTTCCCTTGCTTTCTGTGCCTGGATTTCTTAGACACTTTTTGACCAACATTGTTTAACATACTTTATTTTGTATAGTTTAGTCAAAGTTTGAACAGGTTGTTTTATCTTTAACTGGCATTTGTCCAGACTCCCCCACTACCATGTCTTCAAGCTGGTGATTTCCTTTATCTGGCTGCTTTAATTTCCCAGACATTTACATCGTCTGCAGCTATATTTCGTTGGATACCCCTTCCCTCCTAAAAAATGCCTTTTGAGGAAGAGGTGATCGAGGTCAGGATTACTTCTAAGAGTCAGTGTTAAAAACTCACTATTTTCCTTGTGTCTATCACTCTGCAGATAAGAGATGGGCCTTGCCTTCAAGAAGCTTTCCATTATGTGAAGGAAACAAGACATAAAAATAGATACTAACTAGGGCTCTTTTGACAATAGTATGGATTTGTATCAGTCACAGTCCTGGCATATGTAGACTTGATTAATTTCAGAAGGGTTTAATTAAGGACCTATTTGCAAAGGTGTGGACAGAGTGAAGGGAGACCAACAAGGGCTAGTGCATACCCCTCAGCTAGCAACAGCAGACAACCATATTACTCCTAGGCCCCAAGGGCCAAGGGAAGGGCATAGTTACCAAGACCCTGAGAAGGTGGCTGTGGGGAAAGGACCACTTGACCATAGCTATGGCATTCAAAAAGGGATGTAGCCCTTTCATGGCAGCCCAGCAGGGAGGGATCTGGAAGAATCATATACCAGCATCCTCCTGCTCTTTAATCTTCTGATATCTCCTTTTGGTTAAACACAAACAGAAGCCAGAGGACAAGAGAGCCTTTGATGCAGTCCATTTGTGTTCATCTCCCAGGTCCAGAGAGGGCTGGGAAAGGATGGAGAGTGCCTCTAGAAAGGCAAAAGGAAGAGTTTAGCATGGGACTGGTTTGGGGGTGGATGAGAGCTGGCAGCTGGACAGAACTTCAGGGCAGGGCAGGTCATTGAGGGAGGCCCCAGAAGCAGGTACCAGGAAAAAAATCAAGGGGGGCTTTCAGTGGGAAGGATCTTTGATGACAAGCAAATTAGTAGGCAGAGAGAAATCCAGATAGCCAGGCTATAACCCCAGGAGGTCTGGGAGCAGGTTGGGGCAGGAAGTGGGGAAAAGGCAGGACTTTCTTATCAGAGAATTGCCTCTTAAATTAAATGCAATGTCATTCATGCATCAAGAAACATATTTTGAGAGGAACAACCCTGAGAAGGGGCAGCAAAGGGAAGGAGAGAACCAGGGCAGCTGTCCAAAGAGGTCTGGACTCCCACCCCAGACTATTTGTCTTCATGGGACTCTCCTATGAATGTCCCCTTTATAGGCACCTGGATATTAGGAACCCATAACTATCTTTTTCTTACTGGCCCAAAAAAACCATTTGACTTGGTTTGTCCTTATCGCAACTAAGATAGGCTATTTTTTAAAATTTTTAAATAAATGATTGATTGCTTGTTTATTCATTATGTACGTTTCTCTCTCTCTCTCTCTCGTTTTAGAGGCAGGGTCTCACTATGTTGCCCAGGCTGGTCTTGAACTCCTAGGCTCAAGTGATTCTCCCACCTCAGTCTCCTAAGTAGCTATGCCACTGCACCCAACTGGCTTTTTTTTTTTTTTTAAGATAGAGTCTTACTCTGTCGCCCAGCCTGGTATGATCTCGGCTGACTGCAACCTCCACTTCCCGGGTTCAAGTGATTCTCCTGCCTCAGCCTCCTGAGTAGGGATTACAGGTACCACCACGCCTGGCTAATTTTTTTTTTTTTGTATTTTTAGTAGAGATGAGGTTCCACCATGTTGGCTAGGCTAGTCTCAAACTCCTGATCTCAAGTGATCCAACTGCCTTGGCCTCCCAAAGTGCTGGGATTACAGGCGTGAGCCACCATGCTTGCCTGAACTGGCTATTTTTTTTAAAGCACCTTAATTCAGAATAACAAAACAACCAGGAAAAAGAAAACAACTAAAATTAAACACACACACACACACACACACACACACACACACACACACACACACAGAAAAGGAAAAAAGGCATGGAAGAATATGGATGTGTGTATTTATTTATTTATTTTTATTTTATTTTTGAGACAGGGTCTCACTTTGTCACCAGGCTGGAGTACAGTGGTGCCATCTTGGCTCACTGCAGCCTCGACCTCCCAGGTTCAAGGGATCCTCCTGCCTCAGCCCCCAAGTAGCTGGGACTGCAGGTGCTGACCACCACACCCAGCTAATTTTGTATTTTTAGTAGAAACGGGGTTTCACCGTGTTGCCCAGGCTGGTGTCGAACTCCTGAGCTCAAGCGATCCACCCCCCTTGGCATCCCAAAGTGCTAGGATTACAGGCGTGAGCCACGGTGCCCGGCCAGGGTATGTATATTTAACTTTGAATTTAACATTCAAACATATAAAAAAGTAAAGAGAATAATACAATAAATTTCCTTTTACTCATTACCCAGCTTCAAAAATACTGACTTATAGTCAGTTTTGTTTTGTGTGTGCCCTTACCCACTTCTTTCACCCTTTTCTGGCTCATATGGATGCAAATGTCTGGTATCATATCATTTCATAACTATAAAAGCAGCTTACAGTATATTAAGGTCACGAAGTGCTGTACTGATCTGTTTCTGATCTCAAAGCTTTCCTGAGCATAGAGTTCCCTTATCCTTAGCAAGCACTTTTCTACATAGTTATTAAATGGACGCATGACCAAACATTACTCTTCAGTCTCTGTCAGAGAACTGTCCCAAACCTGTCTCAACTGTCAGCAATCTGTCTAAACTTTATGCCCAACCCCTGGCTTCTCCCTGCTGATTCCAGTGCTGGTCTGAGAGTCTGCCTCATTCACAGCAGAGCCCCGGAGACTGACCCTCTGGTTTAGACTCAGTAGTCCAGATTTAGCTGGACCAGGAGGAGACAATCTATGGAAAGCAGTTTGCCCAGGCCCCAGCTCATGGTAAGGACTCAGTAAACATTAGATGCTAGTAATGATGATGATGGTGATGATGATGACAACGATGATGACAAGGGCCTAACAAAGAATTTTGTCAAGGACTCAGGCCCAGAAAGGACACAATGAAGCTTCATTTGGCCGGGCGCGGTGGCTCACGCCTGTAATCTCAGCACTTTGGGAGGCTGAGGAGGGCAGGTCACGAGGTCAGGAGTTCGAGACCAGCCTGGCCAACGTGGTGAAACCGTCTGTACTAAAAATACAAAAATTGGCCGGGCACAGTGGTGGGCACCTGTAATCCCAGCTACTCAGGAGGCTGGGGCAGGAGAATTGTTTGAACCTGGGAGGCGGAGGTTGCAGTGAGCTGAGATCGTGCCACTGCACTCCAGCCTGGGTAACAGAGCAAGACTCCGTCTTGAAAAAAAAAAGATTCATTTACCAGAATTCGGCTTTGAACCTAAGTACAGCAGAGTAGATTTTTGTTTGTTTATTTGAATTCTCCAGACATAGAGAATTTAACAGGAAGGAGACATTCTATTACCCAACATGGAGATGTGCAAAGGATTGTAAAGCTGGGCTTTTGAACATTTTTTTTCTTTCTTTTCTTTTTTTTAAGATGTGGTCTTGGCTGGGCACGGTGGCTCACACCTGTAATCCCAGCACTTTGGGAGGCCCAGTCGGGCAGATTAGCTGAAGTCAGGAGTTCAAGACCAGCCTGGCCAACATGGTGAAACCCCATCTCGACTAAAAATACAAAAAAGAAAAAAAAATTAGCTGGGTGTAGTGGCGGGCACCTGTAATCCCAGCTACATGGGAGGCTGAGGCAGGAGAATCACTTGAATCTAGGAGATGGTGGTTGCAGTGAGCCAAGATCGCACCACTGCACTCCAGCCTGGGCGATGGGAGGCTGAGGCAGGAGAATCACTTGAATCTAGGAGATGGTGGTTGCAGTGAGCCAAGATCGCACCACTGCACTCCAGCCTGGGCGACAGAGTGAGACTTTGTCTCAAAAAAAAAAAAAAAAGTGGTCTTGCTATGTTACCCAAGCTAGTCTTGAACTCCTGGGCTCAAGTGATCCTCTGGCCTCAGCCTCCCGAGTAGCTGGGATTACAGGTACGTACCACTACACCTAGACAAGCTGGGCTTTTAAAGAACTAATTATTGTGTTATGAGGGTTTGCTTCCCAATGTTCTCCCCAGTTCAATCACCTGTCAGAGAATCCAACAGAGGGAGTCCTTCAGAGAAAGGGCCCAGACCGTGGGAGCCAGGAATAAAAGAGGGTCTGAGGATGGACCAAGGTGGAGGTGGAAAGGAAGAGAAGAGGCAAATGGAAGGTCATGCTCTGCCCCTAAGTAGGGTCAAGGGCATGAAGGACCCACACTGACTGAGCAGGAGGAGGAGCCAGACAACAGAGCTAAAGAGCCACTCTTGAATCTTCAGGTCTCTTTGTGGCTACAACAGGTAAAACAGGCTGGGTGCAGTGGCTCACGCCTGTAATCCCAGCACTTTGGGAGGCTGGGGCAGGTGGATCACTTGAGCCTAGGAGTTCAAAACCAGCCTGGGAAACATGGTGAGGCCCTATCTCTACTTTAAAAAAATAAAAACATATACAATTTTTTTAAATAAAAAATAGGCAAAACATTTGCATTGAGTTAATCAGTACTAGGTGAGAAATTGAATGGCTCACAGGCAAACTCTTTGGGGCATGGACTGTTCTGACCCCGCCCTTCAATGCCGGGGCATCATCTTCGCCAGTTCAGGAACAAAGCAGTGTAGCTACTAAAACCACCAATGAGACTCTTGATTCTAAACCTCCAAGCTCCAAAACAGAGCTCCTTTGTGATTCTTCCAGTGATAACTGTGAGAAACCAGAGAAAAAAGGCAGCTCAGAGGCTTCCTGTAGGCTTAGTTCAGGGACAACTCCATTGAGGATAGACTGAGGGTTGATTTCAAATTTGTGTTGAGAGAGAGGAGACGCCATACTGGCTACACAGGTGTATCTGCTTTTTAAAAATTAATTGAGCCATATCCTTATGCATTCTCTGCACTTTTCTGTATATTATACTTAAGTAAAAATTACATTATAAAAGACAGCGAGAGGCTGGGCGCGGTGGCTCATGCCTGTAATCCCAGCACTTTGGGAGGCCGAGGCGGGTGGATCACCTGAGGTCAGGAATTCGAGACCAGGCTGGCCAACAAGGTGAAACCCTGTCTATACTAAAGATACAAAAAAGTTAGCCAGGCATGGTGGCAGGTGCCTGTAATCCCAGCCACTTTGCAGGCTAAGGCAGGAGAATCGCTTGAACCCGGGAGGCAGAGGTCGCAGTGAGCCAAGATGGTGCCATTGCACTCCAGCCTGGGCAACAGAGCAAGACTCTGTCTCAAAAAAAAAAAAAAAAAAAAAAAAAAAAAAGAGAGAGAGAGAGAGAGTCCTACACCAGGCCCAGATGTGTAAAACACAAATATAGGCTGGGTGCTGTGGCTCACCCCTGTAATCTCAGCACTTTGGGAGGCTGAGACAGGTGGATTGCTTGAGGCCAGGAGTTCGAGACCAGCCTGGCCAACATGGCGAAACCCCGTCTCTACTAAAAATACAAGAATTGGCCAGGCATGGTGGCGGGTGCCCGTAATCCCAGGTACTGGGGAGGCTGAAGCAGGAGAATCACTTGAACCAGGAGGCAGAGGTTGCAGTGAGATTGGCCCACTGCACTCCAGCGTGGCAACAGGACAAGACTCCATCTCAAAACAACAAAAAACAACAACAAAAAAAACCAATCGGCAAGGCGCGGTGGCTCACACCTGTAATCCCAGCACTTTGGGAGGCAGAGGTGGGCGGATCACCTGAGGTCAGGAGTCCAAGACCAGCCTGGCCAACATGGTGAAACCCTGTCTCTACTAAAAATACAAAAAAAAAAAAAAAAAAAAAAAAAAAAAGCTGGACGTAGTGGTGTGCACCTGTAGTCCCAGCTGCTTGGGAGGCTGAGGCTGGAGAATCACTTGAACCCGGGAGGCAGAGGTTGCAGCGAGCCAAGATCACACCACTGCACTCCAGCCTGGGTTCCCTTCAGATATTTGTCAGTTTTGATGAACATCAGATATAGTATCAAAGTGAGCATGTTATTATTGTGAAAATTAAATAAATTAATGCATGAAAGCACTTACCACAGTGCCTGGAACATGGTAACTCTGATTAAATGATAACAAGTGTCATTATTTCCTTTGTAGTCCTCCTCTCCTAACCATTCCCTCTGCTAGCTTCTTCCCCAACACTGAGTAATAGAAATAACTGGTGGCTGGGCACAGTGGCTCATGCCTGTAATCCCAACACTTTGGGAGGTCAAGGTGGGAGGATAGCTTGAGTCCAGGAGTTTGAGACCCCATCTCTACAAAAAAAAATTTTTTTTTATTAGCCAGGCCTGTCCCAGCTACTTGGAAGGCTGAGGTGGGAGGATCACTTGAGCCCAGGAGGTTGAGGCTGCAGTGAGCTGTGATCATAGCATTGCACTTCAGCCTGGGCAACAGAGAGAGATCCTGTATAAAAAAACAAACAACAACAACAAAAAAAACACCCTTCCTTCCTCCACCCCTCGCTGGCTTCCCCAGTGCCAGGGCAGCAGCCAGTCAGGGAGAAGTCTCACCTCCACAGACCTCTATCAGCATCTGTGTGGGAGGGGGTTTTCATTGAGACTCTTAGTCTTATCTGTCCCAAATTTTGCTAATGCTAGGTCTAATTTATTTTAGGTCTTGGATTTGTGACATCAGGTTAATTAATGAATTGATATAGTTGTGCCTTGTGAGAATATAGGTCTCCTTATCTTGGATTGTCTCCAGCAGGAGGTTGAGAAATCAGTAGAAACCAGGAAAATTTCTAAAAGGTGGTAGGAGAACAGGTGTCAGGATTGTCATCTTTTAATTTTTTTTTTTTTTTTTTTTGAGACAGGGTCTGGCTGTCACCCAGGCTGGGGTGCAGTGGTGCAATCTCAGTTTGCTGCAACCTCCGCCTCCCAGGCTCAAGCAATCCTCCCTCCTCAGCCTCCCAAGTAGCTGAGACTATAAGCACACGCCACCATGCCCAGCTAATTTTTGTATTTTTTGTACAGACAGGGTTTGGCCATGTTGCCCAGGCTGGCCTTGAGCTTCTGGGCTCAAGCAACCCGCCCACCTTGGCCTCCCAAAGTGCTGGGATTACAGGCATGAGCCACCACACCTGGCCCAAAATTCTTTATTTAGGAGCAAGCACAGCAACCATTCCTCATCACTTCTCCACCGGAGCAGCTCAAGTACCAGCAGCCCAGTGTTTGCTAGAACTTACGAGCAGGGAATGGCCAGACTCACAGAACCACCCTCCCTTCCATGGCCAGGCTTCAACTAGCACATCTAGCAGTTATTTGTCAATATTATTTGTTGTTAGCTTAATTGTAGGAAAATTGAGAAGTGTAATGCGTAGCCATGAAACCCTTAAGGCTGGTTAATCTTTTTGGATTGTAACCAATGTAATTTTTTATTAGCTGATCTCATCTTGATTATAATATGCAGAGCCCTGGAAAAGTTGCTGAAGGCTCCAAGTCATGGTGTGCACAGAGAACAGGCAGCCTCCATCATCTGCATTTTCTACCAGGGAGACAGAAAGGGCAGAGGGGGCTGAATGAAAATAATTGGGTTTGGGATGCCAGTGGGGAGAGGAAAGCAGTCTCCAGGATGGACACAGAAATGATCCTGGCAACCTGATGAGGATAGGGGCTAGGCCAAGCCAGGTTAGGTTCTGTGCCTTTATATGGTAGGGGTGCTGAGGCCCAGCAGTGTGCTGAATGCTGAGATGAGAATATTTGAGTAGGGGCCATATAAGCTCAGAATTAGGTTTTAGTAGAGGAAACCAAGACAAATCCAAAAGGCCAAAGAAAACATTTTCTTTCCATCAGCACCGGTTTATTTATGATTGTTTGGAGAGACCCTATTCTTCAGATCAGGCACGGTGGCATCCAAAATCACAACTATATTTGTGACTTAGAATTTGGAATTTGGAGGCCGGACACGGTGGCTCATGCCTTGGCACTTTGAGGGGCCGAGGCAGGCGGATCACTTGAGGTCAGGAGTTCAAGACCAGACTGGCCAACATGGTGAAACCCCATCTTTAGTGAAAATACAAAAATTAGGCCAGACTTGGTGGCTCATGCCTGTAATCCCAGCACTTTGGGAGGCTGAGGCAGGTGGATCACCTGAGGTCAGGAGTTTGAGACCAGCCTGGCCAACATGGTGGAACCCCATCTCTACTAAAAATACAAAATTAACTGGGTGTTGTGGCACACGCCTGTAGTCCCAGCTACTCGGGAGGCTGAGACAGGAGAATCACTTGAACCCAGGAGGCAGAGGCTGCAGTGAGCTGAGATGACGTCACTGCACTACAGCCTTGGTGACAGAGTGAGACTCCATCTCAGAAAAAAAAAAAAAAAAAAAAAATTAGCTGGACTTGGTGGCTCACGCCTATAATCCCAGCTACTGGGGAGGCCAAGGCAAGAGAATCACTTAAACCCAGGAGCCATAGGTCTCAGTGAGCTGAGATGTGGCCACTGTACTCCAACTTCAGCGACAGAGGGAGACTCTGTCTCAGAACAAAACAAAACAAAAAAAGAATTTGGAATTTGTCCCAGCACTTTGGGAGGCCGAGGCAGGCAGATCACTTGAGCTCAGGGGTTTGAGACCAGCCTGGACAACATGGTGAAACCCCATCTTCACCAAAAATACAAAAAATTAGCCGGGCATGGTGGTGCATGCCTGTGGTCCCAGCTACTTGGGAGGCTGAGGTGGGAGGCTCACTTGAGCTCCGGAGGCAGAGGTTGCAGTGAACCAAGATCGCACCACTGTACTCCAGCCTGGGTGACACAGTGAGACCCTATCTCAAAAAAAAAAAAGAAAAGAAAAGAAAATAATTTGGAACCTGTAAAGGATGACTGTAACAGTCTTTGGTACTTCTCTGGACTTTGATTTTCTGCACCAAAGAATGGGCAACAGATGTTGTCATCCATTCTAACACTCCTTTCTTGACTCTGACATACGAAGGGGCTTTCTTTTCTGCTTTGACATCTCCAGAGAAGGAAGGAGATTTGCCCACTCTTGGATGCTGCTCAGTACCCAATCCAGGAATGAGACCCCCCCCCCTTTTTTTTTGAGACGGAGTCTCGCTCTGTTGCCCAGGCTAGAGTGCAGTGGCACTATCTTGGCTCACTGCAAGCTCTGTCTCCCGGGTTCACACCATTCTCCTGCCTCAGCCTCCCAAGTAGCTGGGACTACAGGCACCTGCCACCACGCCCAGCTAATTTTTTGTACTTTAGTAAAGATGGGGTTTCACTGTGTTAGCCAGGATGGTCTCAATCTCCAGACCTCATGATCCGCCCACCTCGGCCTCCCAAAGTGCTGGGATTACAGGCGTGAGCCACCATGCCTGGCCGAGACCCTTTTGAAAGGTGAAGTTGGGGGCCAGGAACACTGGGATCCTCCTGACACTTGACTTGTACCCTTTACTCCCAACCATAGACCCCAGCAAATAAACCAGCAGCCTATTCTAGATGAATGGGGAGCCTAGAGGTAGCATGTGGGCATTTTTTTAGCCCTTTTATGAATATAAATATTTAGTGCATGGTGTTTTGCAGAATTAAATCTCTGAGTCTAGCCTGGTAATATCATTATGTAGATGCCAGGGATGAGATACCTGTGACTGCTGTGTGTCTTCTCATTCAACCATGCCTGTGATGACTTGATGCACTTTAATTTGCCAGGGCAATCATTAATTGCATATGAAACAGTTGGTGTTTGGCTTTAAGGGAAGCTGATTGGGTCAGTCACTGAGTGTTTGGCTCAATGATCTACAGCTGGCTCTTTGCTCCTGCACTCCTGCTTTCTTTTCAAAAGCATTCCCACTCAGTGTTTTTGGGACCCCCTGAGGAAGAGGCCGTGAAACATTGGGGGTTTTCATCTGTGTTTTCCTTTGGGCATTATAGCTCTAATTTTAATATTTTGGATAATAAAGAATGATTTTAAATTAAATTTGCAAGGCTGCCATCTGTGATTCTTTGGACATTTTCCTCCTCTCTGGCGGTTCTTTGACTTAATTTTTTCTGCACATTAGCAAAAGTGGGTTGAGGGCAGGAGGGGCAAGGGGCAGCAGAAGAACAGGTCAGCCCGAGAACTGAGAGAAATGGGGCAAGGCTTCGATCCCTGGCCTTTGGCCCTGGAGGGTGGTGTAAAAGCTTGATGCCCAGAGTCAACATCACAAAAGTCAACTCAGAAGTAATTGCAGCTGCCTGTCATGACCTCCTGATTTGAAGTTTAGAAAGGAGTTTCCTAAGATTATACCTCAGTTTGCCCATCCGTTAAATAGAGAAGTGACTTTAAATAGAGAAGTAACCCCCTGAGTGCCATTACACTTTTGATACAGTTCTTCATCCAAGGACAGCCTACTCAAACCCAGCGTATTTTCATTATCCACTGAAGGCTAAAGGGTCTGAGGGCATATGTGTGTTTCCAGATCTAGAGCTAAATCTGAGAAATCTCTCCCTAAAAATGTGTTCCCTGTGTTGTCAGTGAAATCCAAGAAGCAGAATTTTCTACCCTTCGGAGAGAAGTGAGGACACATCATCATCACCACTGCAGACCATGGCATTAATGAGTCAGACAGACAGCGCCACTGAGCACACAAATGCTGAGTGAATGCCAGAATAAAATGAAAAAGCACCTGCCAGCAGAGGGGCTGGTATGATGAGTGGGTTAGCTAGGGAAGACAAGAGTGTGAGGCTTGCACAGCAAAGCAAGTAAGTCTCCCTTCTCTATTTAGTAGAAGGAGGCTTCTGGGAGAGGTCAGATTTTGCATTTTGGGAGAGGGAGAGAGTCTGAGGAGCTTGCCCTGGCAGAGCATGGGTCCATCTGAGAAAAAGCCTAAAGACAAGAAAGTGAGATGATGAGGGAGGCTAAGAGGGTGAGTGGAAGGAGACAGACCAGGGAGGGAGATAAAACGGAGGATGAGCAATGCCACATTAAATGCTTTCTGAAAGAAGAATGGGTCAGACACAGAATACCAGGTAGCTGCTGGAGGCCTTAAGTTGTGTGTAGGTAGGAAGCTTTGCTAGCATCAGAGCAGTTTCCTTTGCAACTGCTGATTTTCCCACCTTCCCCCCTCCCTCACCCCAAGTCCTGCTTTTATCAAATCCAGGTGGGGCTCTCCCAGCCACCTTCCTACACAGAGAAGGACCAAATTCATTGTTCCACAGGTCAGAAGGCAAAGGTTCATCAAATGACCTTGAAGGTCAGAGAGGCAATATTCATGGCTCTGGGCAGGATCAAAGCTCAGGTACACAACAAGTATTTATCATATTTTTAAGAACTCACAATAGCATCCTTTGTCCCACATGACTAAGAGATAAGCTTGCAATCTCAATCAATCTGTCTCTCCCTCTCTTTCTTCTCTTTCTTCCCCCCACAACACACACACACACACACACACACACACACACACACAGAGAGAGAAAGAGAGAGAGAGATTCTCTCTCTCTTGCCTCTTTTTCCTCTTTAAAATCCCTGGTTCTCCTAAATACAACCTTGGTATCCCCCCAACAGTAGAAAACAACCCCAACAAGTGCCTATGAAAAAAGCCTTTAAGACTCATGAATATTTAGCTCGTCCTCATGTAAAATATATGACTTTGTGTAAGGATCAGGCGAACGAGGTGCATGATTTTTTTCTGATTTATGGGCCTAGAGACGGATTATTCATAGCAGAGCAGCTGTGTGGAAAGATTCATCCGCTGCAAAATGTGATTGTACATCAGGCAGTGTGTGGGAACGGAGCTATGACTAATGACTGCTTTACATATAAATGAGAAGGTTTGTGCTAGGAACTGTAAAAAAATACAATCACTCAGCTGACGAGCAGGCTCCTTATCGTGGGTACACGAGAGGGACCACAGGAAAGGTAGGCAAATGAATGCTTCGCCCCACTCTGAAAAGCTGAGCCAGGTGGTGGTGAGAGTCAGGGAGCAGGAGAGAGAGAGAAGGGGGAATGTTTGGAGATACAGCCGATTCTCCCGATCTGGCCATAGTCAGTTTCTGTATTTATAACTCCATCTTCCAGGCCCCACTGTGACCTCTGAGAATCTGTTGGGGCAGAGATACGGCCCAAGAGAAGACGCTGCATTGCCATCACATCCAGGGGTGATGACCAGGCCCCAAACCCTCCAGAGCTTGCCATTGGGCTGCTGATAATTCGGGTCAATTTTAGAAGCCAGCACAGCAAGCCTTTGGGTAAACCTCTGAAGAGAAAAATTGTATGAATCTGAGACTTCTCTGCCACTCTTCATATCTCCCTCGCTTTCCCTCATTTGTCTCTCTTCTCTCTTGTAGCTGAGACAGGCTGTCTAGACATTGCAGATGTGGACAGATGTTGGGTCTGTAATTTATAACAACGGCCTCCAGAAGGCAATTCCAATTTGTTTCGGTAAGGCTTTGAGTTACAGGCAGAAAAAATATCCTGTAAATACTGTTGACTTACATGGTAACTACACCAAGGGTTTACTTAGTGAACAATCACTAACTACAGCATAATTACATATCCCTGCAGATTACCAGAAAATTTAGTGGCACCGAGCAGGCAATGACCACTAAATTAAGCTTCTGGCTTTAGGAGGGCCTGGAGAGCAAGGGATTTGACCCACACTTAACAAATTTATGCCTATTTCTTCAAATCATCTATTAGTCTCCATTTTGAGGGGCCTTTCAGTTTTATCTATATACTAGACATCCCCTCACCATCATACTGAACTCCAACCAGGGTGAATGCTGGTTGTTGCTTTTCACCAATGGAGTTTTAAACCATGCGGTATCTGTAGGTACTCCCAAAATCTGCAGACAGCCCAGGATCCTAGAAAATTATCTTTGCTGTTATCATAATGGGTCATGCACTGAGTGGCAGGGCTGAGCTGCACTGATCCATCCTCACTTTCTCCTGGTGACCGATGACTAAACAGCTGTCCAGGCCAGCAGTAAAGCTGACTGGCCCACCCAAGATCATGTTAATCCTCTTGAGGACTATATTCTGATCTGGTAATGATAGTGAGAAATATAAAGGTGAATTTCTAGAATAGTATTCCACGAAGTTTAGAATGCTTCTTGCTATTATCTGGGGTGGTGTGTGTGGAGGGGGAGCAGGAGGCTGATACTAAGGCCAATACACAGAGAAGTTCAGCCATCTGACCATGACCAGAGACTGTTGGTAGCAGAGGCCCAATCTGCACTGGGGTCTGCCATCCCTGAGAACTCTGACCAGCTGGTCTCTTTGGGATTAGGGGATCAGAGTTGGGTGGCAGCTGGGGAGCTCAGGCTTCCCTAGATATATAGGGTTGCAACTGAAATAGCCATCAAGGTATCATTTATGTCAGTCTGGGCATGGGGAAAGGGGAGTGGGAATAAAGGGGGTAGGAAAATGTGAAAATCAAATAAACACATCAACAGGGTTGGATTCCAATTTCTAATCCATCACCAACCTCTTCTAGTTTATTCATTCCATATAATCTTCCTTAACCCTCTTGCTTATCCAAAGACAATCAAATAAAACTTAATCTTAATACACTTCTAGGCACAGACCCCTGGGTTTATGCAGATCCTGCAAAAAAAAAAAATGTCTTATGCCAATTTCAGGACAGATACTGTCTGGAGAATCCTGATTTTTTTGCAATGATTGGTTGTGTTATCTCTCTTCTTTCCCCTCTCCCCTGTACCTGCTTACTGAATGCTCTGTATCTGTCCAACTTGAATGATATCTTGCTTCACTTGAAGAAGCAGGTTTGGTTTGGAATGTCAGCTCCTGGCAGAGCCAAAGAACCTATCATTAGCTAGGAGGATAGGCCACTTGGGCCAAAGGAAAGGAATTAGGATTATCAAGTGTGTATTAGTCCATTTTCACGCTGCTAATAAAGACATACCTGAGACTGGGAAGAAAAAGAGGTTTAATTGGACTTACAGTTCCACATGGCTTGGGAGGCCTCAGAATCTATGGCAGGAGATGAAAGGCACTTCTTACATGGTGGCAGCAAGAAAATGAGGAGGAAGCAAAAGTGGAAACCCCTGATAAGCCCATCAGATCTCATGAGACTTATTCACTATCATGAGAATAGCATGGGAAAGACTGGCCCCCATGATTCAATTACCTCCCCATGGGTCCCTCCCACAGCACATGGGAATCCTGGGAGATAAAATTCAAGTTGAGATTTGAATGGGGACACAGACAAACCATATCATTCTGCCCCAGCCCCTCCAAATTTCATGTCCTCACATTTCAAAATCAATCATGCCTTCCCAACAGTCCCCCAAAGTCTTAACTCATTTCAGTATTAACCCAAAAGTCCATAGTCCAAAGTCTCGCCTGAGACAAGGCAAGTCCCTTCTGCCTATGAGCCTGTAAAATCAAAAGCAAGCTAGTTACTTCCTAGATGCAATGGGGGTGCGGGTATTGGGTAAATACAGCCATTCCAAGTGGGATAAATTGGCCAAAACAGAGGAGTTACAGGGCCCATGCAAGTCCAAAATCAGTGGGGCAGTCAAATTTTAAAGCTCCAAAACGATCTCCTTTGACTTCAGGTCTCACATCCAGGTCATGCTGATGTAAGAGGTGGGTTCCCAAGGTCTTGGGCAGCTCCGCCTCTGTGGCTTTGCAGGGTACAGCCTCCCTTCTGGCTACTTTCACGGGCTGGCATTGAGTGTCTGTGTCTTTTCTGGGAGCACAGTGCAAGCTGTTGGTGTATCTACCATTCTGGGGTCTGGAGGATGATGGCCCTCTCCTCAGAGCTCCATTAGGCAGTGCCCCAGTAGGGATTCTGTGTGGGGGCTCTAACCCCACATTTCCCTTCTGCACTGCCTTAGCAGAGGTTCTTCATGAGGGCCCTGCCCCTGCAGCAAACTTTTGCCTGGACATCCAGGCATTTCCATAAATCTTCTGAAATCTAGGCAGAGGTTCTCGAACCTCAATTCTTGACTTCTGTGCACCCACAGGCTGAACACCACATGGAAGTTGCCAAGGCTTGGGGTTTCCACCCTCTGAAGCCATAGCCTGAGCTGTACATTGGCCCCTTTGAGCCATGGCTGGAGCAGATGGGACACAGGGCACCAAATCCCTAGTCTGCACACAGCATGGGGACCCTGGGCCCAGCCCACGAAACCACTTTTTCCTCCTGGGCCTCCTAGCCTGTGATGGGAGGGGCTGCCATGAAGGTCTCTGACATTGCCTGGAGACATTTTTCTCATGAGGATTAACATTAGGCTCCTTGCTACTTATGCAAATGTCTGCAGCTGACTTGAATTTTTCCCCAGAAAATGGGTTTTTCTTTTCTACTGCATCATCATGCTGCAAATTTTCTGAACTTTTATGCTCCATTTCCCTTTTAAAATGGAATGCTTTTAACAGCACCTGAGTCACCTTTTGAATGCTTTGCTGCTTAGAAATTTCTTTTGCCAGCTACCCTAAATCATCTTTCTCAAGTTCAAAGTTCTAGAAATCTCCAGGGCAGGGGCAAAATGCCGCTAGTCTGTTTGATAAAACATAACAAGAGTACCTTTGCTCCAGTTCCCAACAAGTTCCTCATCTCCACCTGAGATCACCTCAGACTGGACCTTATTATTCATATCACTATCAGCATTTTTGTCAAACCCATTCAACTAGTCTCTAGGAGGTTCCAAATTTTCCCACATTTTCCTGTCTTCTTCTGAGCCCTCCAGACTCTTCCAACCTCTGTCTGATACCCAGTTCCAAAGTTGCTTCCACATTTTTGGGTATCTTTTCAGCAATGACCCATTCTACTGGTACCAATATACTATATTAGTCCGTTTTCATGCTGCTGATAAAGACATACCTGAGACTGGGAAGAAAAAGAGGTTTAATTGGACTTATAGTTCCACATGGCTGGGGGAGGCCTCAGAATCATTGTGAGAGGCAAAAAGCACTTCTTCCATGGTGGTGGCAAGAGAAAATGAGGAGGAAGCAAAAGCAGAAATACCTGATAAACCCATCAGATCTCGTGAGACTTATTCACTATCATGAGAATAGCATGGGAAAGACCAGCCCCCGTGATGCAGTTACCTCCCCCTGGGTCCCTCCCACAACACGTGGGAATTCTGGGAGATATAATTCAAGTTGAGATTTGAATGAGGACACAGCCAAACCATATCAAAGTGCCATGACTGAAACTATAGTTCTCTGGTAGACATTGGCCAGTGTGTCTGGTCTCAGGTCTCACCTAGAAAAAATGTCAGCTGCAGAAGGATGGGTTTAGGAAACAATCTGTGTCTTAGAAATTTAAGGTTTTGGATACAATGTCTACAGAAACCCCTGAGACTTATTTTATAGAGACTTTAAAAAATATGAGTGAGTCCTGCCTGACAGGGATGTGTGAGATTTTCATCCTACTGAGAGATATGGATGACAATGGCTGGGAGCCATCTAACCAGAGGAGACCTTTACAAGCGCACCAAGCCTCACATAGCTCCCTGGCAGGTGTAGCTATGGGTAATTGTACTTCCAGACCTAGCAGGGCTATGATAGAAGGAGGGACGCCCTCTGGTCAGGGAGGACAAATGAGCTATAATAATGTTAATAGCTAACGTGAATTGAGAGGTTACTGTGTGCCAGGCATATATTATTTCTTTGTTGATACATCTATGCATTAGCATTTTGATAAAGAAAAAGTTAACTACTGCCAGGGAGTAGAACTTTCCTCAAAATAAGAGGAAGCAAATAGCACTGTATCCCACTCTGTGGCCCGTGAGCATTAGCTGGAAGGTCACATACAGTTTCTAGGAGTGGAGGATAGAAGCAAAGAGAAAAGGCAGGTCCAGGAACACCTGTCCATGGATGTCTGTGGGGAGGGAACCTCAGGGTGCAGACATGGGGTCTGCATACACAGATAGTAGATACCATTGAACTATAGGAGAACTAATGAAAGGATGGATTTACTAACACATATGTATACATACATGAACACATGTCTACACACAACATGCACACACAACTATGTATCATCTGGTGAGTAAACATCTCTGAGTTAATGAGAAATGGTCACATAGCTTGGGCACAAGGGACATGGGTTGATTCTACCCATGCAGGAGTGATGGTCCATCTCCCAGACAAGTGTCTTGCTCAGTCCTTTTGATAAGTTAACCCAAGTTTGGGGCATTGAAGGAAGACTGGACAGGATGGGGGAGGGTTCATCTTATGGACATCTTCCAGAGGGCTTAAGTTCTGGTCTTCTCTAGACCTAAACTTCCTGCTCTGGCCAGGCCTGGTGTCTGGGGTGCCATGTGCAGCTGTGGGAAGGCTGTGGATCCCAGATGAGAGAAAGCACAGATCCAGAGCCCAACATCAGATTATTTTTCTAATACTGACTCTGAGAGTTCAAAACTAATTGCTTGGAATAAAGAGTAGAAAGAGATAAGGGCTTTGGAGCCAGAAAGTCTAGGTTTGAGTCCTGGCCTTTCTGCTTATTAGCTTCTCATTCATTCATTCACTCAGTAGATATTTAACAAGTATCCACTGTATGCCAGTTGTGTGACCTTTTGGGGGGCAAGCTATTTAAACTCAGTTTCAGTTTCCTCATCGCCAAAACAAAAATAATATACCTAGATATCACAGTTGTGAGAATGACATGAGATGAGGTGCTCAGCACATAGTAGATACTCACTAAATGCTTCACTAGGAGGAGAAATCTAGTTATCGCTCTTCAACAAAGTTTCTTCCATCTGTTGGTATTTTTACCCCACAAGTAGCTAAGCTATGTATTGGGGAAGTTCAAGGAGAATTCTCTATGGTCCCAGAGAATCAGCCACATTTTGTAGGTGACTGTGCCAGTGGGCAAGGATGTGGCTCTTCTCTGGAGTAAGGAAGCACAGGACAGGTTTAGCCCCATGGCTGTCTGTCTCCCTCCCCTCATGAGCTCCTCATGGGCAGGGACTGTATCTTCACTTGTTTAGCACTGCAGCTACTGTGCCTCTGACAGTGCCTGGCACTCAGAAAGCATTCAGTAGATGTTTGTGGAAAGAAAGAACAAAGAAAGGAAGGAAGAAAGAAGGGAAGGAAGGGAGGGAGGGAGGGAGGGAGGGAGGGAGGAAGGAAGGAAGGAAGGTAGGTTCTCGCCTTGTAATGGTTGTGCATGCCCCTAATTTCTTCATTCAACACATTTTTTTTTTCCATCAGCTGCTTCCACATGGCATCAACAAGTATTTATTTATTTATTTATTTATTTAGAGGTGGAGTCTTTGCTCTGTCGCCCAGGCTGGACTGCAGTGGCACAATCTCGGCTCACTGAAAACTCTGCCTCCCAGGTTCACACCATTCTCCTGCCTCAGCCTCCCGAGTAGCTGGGACTACAGGCGCCTGCCACCTTGCCCGGCTAATTTTTTTGTATTTTTTAATAGAGACGGGGTTTTACCGTGTTAGTCAGGATGGTCTCGATCTCCTGACCTCGTGATCCGCCTGCCTCGGCCTCCCATAGTGCTGGGATTACAGGTGAGAGCCACCACGCCCGGCCCATCAACAAGTATTTATTTAGCACCTACAATGTCCCCAGGTACTGTGCCAGGGGCTGGGGATATAATGGTGAGTAAAACAGGCATGGTCCCTGCCCTCATGGAGTGCAGAGTCCAGTGGGAGAATCCAGGCTATAATGAAACAGTCACAAAAAGAAGTAAATGATGCCAAGAAAGTGTATAAAAGAGGAGAGAGCTACATGAGTGAGTAGTCATAGAAGGCTTCCCCTGAGGTGCAAGGCTTCAGCTGGCATCTGAAGTGGGAGTAGGAGTTAAGACCATGCTGGACAGGGTCTGGTGATGCTGCCACTGCCAAGGGGAGTCTTCCAAGAAGGAAAGGCGTGTGCACAGCCCCCATGGCTTCTTAGAACACAGCACCTTATTCAGACTATGGGAAAAGGCCAATATGGCTGGAGCACTGTTGTGACTGGGAGCATGGGACAAAGAAGCTGAAGAGGTAGGGTCTTAGGGGACAGCCTGCAATGGTATCCCCTAAGAGCAAGGGGGCACCATTGCAGGGTTTTAAGCTGAGAGATGGTAGTGATGACATGATCACTACCTGGCTGAGTAGAGGGAGAAAGAGGGGCCAGAGGGGGCAAGAGGGCTCATGGAGAGATCAGTCAGGAGGGTACTTAGGTATCTAGGCAACAGATGGCAATGACTTTGGACTGGGATGGGGGCAGGGTGCTGATGGGTGGAGAGGAAAGAATGGAAGAGAAGAACATTTTCAAGTGGCGTTGAAAGGGCTTGCAGATGGCCGGTTGGGTCATGCAATTGCTGAGGGTGGGGGAGTAGCCATGGAGAACTCCTAGGTTTATGAAACTTGCTCCTTGTGTCTGTCTGCTCCTTGTTCACTTTTATAAATGGGCTTCTTTCTTGTTCACTGGAGAGTTTTGTTCTGATAGTCTTCAGAGGTGGCTGGGTTTCTACTTCCAGAGGATGGAAGAGACTGTCAGGGGCCCTGCAGTAACTGGGATGCACCCAGAGGGTCATTTCCCCAACCAACCCCTGGCCACTTAGGCACTCACATTCATCCTCCCAAACTCACCCAAACCCACAGACTTCCAAACATTCCCTCCAGACTACTTCAACCTACCGTTATTCATCCTCACCTCCCCAAAGCCCTCTGTGCCCCTCCCTTACCCTCTCTCCTCCTGACCCCCGCCCAGCCCCTACCTCCCTCTGCCTCCACTTCACCCTATTAAGAAACAACAACCCCACAGAAACCCCTGCCCCCGGCTGCTACTCCCTGAGCCCCGCCTGCCCTCCCTCCTCCTGCTCCTCTCCCTGACAGATGCCTCAGAGCCCCGGGCCGCAGTTAAGGTGACGAGATGCAGCAATTCTTTATGAACATTTCATTCCTGCTCGCTACACGACGTAAATTAGATGGTGTGTTACATTCGGGCAATAAGAGAGATATGTCACCACGACGCTGGCCCATTGGATGGAGAGGGTAATCCTGCCGTGAATTTCATTACTGCTTTTATATAGACAGAATTAGCTCGGTGACAGCGAGCCTGATTGTCTTTCACTAGGGGTTTGGCGAAGAGCTGAAAGGATTTCACCCTGATGTGCACACTACTGAGTGACCCCGCTCACCAGCGGCTCCGCTGATTGCTTTGCACCTTGCAGACGCCGCAATTGGCTCAGCCTCTCTGCCCCCCTTGACTCCCTCCCTGGTCCCCAGCCCTCCCCGCCTGGCTTTTTCTTGAATCAAGAAGAAAGGAGACCTAATGGAGTCACAAGGTCATGAAGGGAAATGGGGTGGGGTGGGGAGGAAGGTAGCAGAGTGAAAAAACACCACCTAAAGCAATCCCTTTCTGATAGGGGTCTCCAAGACAGAGGCTGTGGCCACTCACTCTTTTGCCCCAGAAAAGGGCAAGAAGGACCCTGTGTTCCTGTGATCAGGGGATGGTCTATTCCTGTGAGTCTCCCTGTAGAGACTCCAGAGCTGTCATGTTCCTGTTCCTTTGCCTCTTGCATGTCTGGGTCCTCTCCTTGTGACAGCTCAGGCTTCCTTTCTCATCTCCTAGTCAGCGAGAGTTGAGAATAAAAAGATCAGGAGGCCGGGCACGGTGGCTCATGCCTGTAATCCCAGCACTTTGGGAGGCTAAGGTGGGCAGATCACCTGGGGTCGGGGGCTCAAGACCAGCCTGACCAACGTGGAGAAACCCCGTCTCTACTAAAAATACAAAATTAGCCTCGCGTGGTGGCACATGCCTGTAATCCCAGCTACTCAGGAGGCTGAGGCAGGAGAATCACTTGAAGCCGGGAGGTAGAGGTAGCGGTGAGCCGAGATCGTGCCATTGCACTCCAGCCTGGGCGACAACAATGAAACTCCTCAAAAAAAAAAAAAAAAAAAAAAAAAAAAAAGCAGGAATAGCAGTCCCTCCTAGCCTGTGCTGTGGACCCAGTGGTTCCAGTGTGAAAGCGGTGGACTCAGGCAGACTCCCTTCACTCCATTCCCCACACACATCTGATGGTGGCACTGCCTCCACCCCAGCCCCATCACACACACACACACACACACACACACACACACACACACACACCCCGCTCTTCAGTGACCTTCCAAATCCTTAATAGACCCCGATGCCTGGCCCCAGCAGCCCGAAAACAAGCCCAGACAAGGGTCTCTCTCCCCTGGGTCAGTTTCTGTGGGGGTGGCTGGTCCTGAGGGGGTCAGGCCCCTCCTGTTCCTTGGCCTCTGCCTCACTGACTCTCGCCTTCTGTCACCTTGTCCTCTCCCTCCCTCACCTCTGCTGACACCTTGGCAAATGCCTTCCGCCAGGCCTTTTGGAGGCAGCCTGGGGCTGGCCAGGGAAGCTGACCATTGCTGGGCCCCTGCTTAAAGCTCTGACCCTTTCTAGAAGCCACCAAGGATGCCCTCTGAGCTTCCATTTCTTGAGGCTTAGGGGCCAAGTATCGAGCAGACAGCATAATCTCCGCAAAGCCCCTTTTGGTCTTTTGGTCAATCCGACACATCTGTCAGGAAAGCTTCTCCTGTGGCCTGGAGCAGCCAGCACTGTGCCTCTGTGATGGGAAGGATTAAGATCACAGTCTCTACTTTCCAGTGGGGGAGGAGGCTCCCTGGACCTCAGCAGAGCTCAGCAGGCCCTCTGAAGGCCTGGCACAGGGTCTCTGCACCCTGACTCTTCGGCCTGGGGGAAAGCACACTGAGTTCCTTCTCCCAGCCCCTCAGTCAGGGCACCCTCAGCTCCAACTGCCTGTCCTGCATGGAGCTCAGGGAGAGGGCGTTTCCTCAGCAGTTGACTCCTGTGGTTATACTGGAGGAATTTTACACTGAAAGCCCTTCTTGATGCTACAGCCACACTCCAACCTTGCCAGTATGATAGCTGCATAATATGGTAGGTCATTACATCTCTCTGAACTTCAGTTTCCTCACCTCCAATATGAGAGTGGTAATTGCTATAGTAGGTGCCATGGTGTCAGGCCGCATTCCCCTTCCATACTGAAGGACGGTCCCCTAAGCTGCCACCCTTGCCTGTCAGCCTTCCTTGGATTTGCCTCTGCTGAAGAGTGCTGCCCTGCCTAAGGTCATGCCCCTTTTCTGGGGCAGCCTGCATCCAGTGACTGGTCACCAGGGGTGTGTGAAGGCCCAGCTGCCTCTCTCCTACTCAGGATGGTTCTGAAGGGCCGTCCAACTTCAGAGCCCCCTGCAGTCAGTCAAGGCCTTTTTTGAGACTGCAGCACAACCCCACTTCTCCATTGCCCAGTCCTGCACTTCTAGCACCTTCCCAGAGCACTCTCCAGTGAAGCTCCTGCACAGTACTTGCCATCTCCAAGTCTGCTTCCAGAACCACACCTGGGGACAATTCCGGCCCTACTTATCAAAAGAGCTACCACGACAATAAAGGTATTTGGTAAAGTACAGTGCCATGAAAAATATAGCTGCTATTTATCATTGTCAGCATCATCATTTTCATCGTCTTCACAGCAGGGCCTACCCAGCTGGTGTGGAGGCTTATCATAGTTTGGCCAGGAAGTTCAACAAGTGAATGCCCAGTATTCTCATTGTACCCTAAGGACAAGGTCCTTTGCATTCTGCCTTTTATCTTCTGATTAGAATGACCTTCCCAAATTGGCCAGACTTGTCCCTTGGGAAGCCTAACATGATCTCAAGGATCTAGGGGTTCAAATTGCTGCAGTTTTGTTACTCACATCTCATTCTCTGCTCCAAGAAAGAATCTGTGAGCTACCGCTCATTGGATTGTCTCCGCTACACTCTCCAAATGCATTCCTTGTTGGCTTCCTACTCTTATTTAAAGTGTATACTTTCCTCTCATAAACCAAAACATACATCCTTTCCAGGGGGCAGACAGAAAGGTCTCAAGTGAGGCCTGAGAGCAGCATCTCCTCCCCTTTGAGCCAAGACTTCCTTCCTTCTGGGCCTTGTTTACAGGTCCCCCAAAGAAAGAAAGCCTAAGATCTCTCCCTCCTAGGCGACAGGGAGGAGCATGGGCAGTGGTCCCCAACTACTGTTACCCTTCTAGTATGCCTACACTGTCTCACTGCTGGACCCACAGGCTTATCAGCATTTTGGAATGCGGTAGCAGGTAGGGACACTGCCAGATGAATCAGATCTCCAACATAGTCCCTATTCCTGAGCCCTGACCCAGAAGTGTACTCTCAGGAGGGCAATGCCCTCTGTCTTTTCCTCTTTTCAGAAGTGTTCCCTTCAAGGCTGCAGAGACTGAGCTGGGAGCTAGGGATATGGGGGATGGCAGTTTCTCCACCCACCCCCTATCCTTGCCTGACGTCACAGCCCTCACTTTCTGACTCTAATTGGTTGCCTTGGAAACAAGTTCCTTAAAGTACATGATGACTTGAGCTGGTGGGAGGGAGAGCCACAGGAGCCAGGCCTGCCATCAAGAGCTTCAGATTCTTTGTCATTCATTCAGCAAGTACTTGCAAGCCTCTGCTATGTTGTAGACCCTGTGCCAGACTCTAGGGATATATCCAGGAGTTGGCAGGGCCCTGTTCTTACAGAGTTCACAATTAACATCTTATACCACCTTCTTGTACACTCACATGTTCATCCCGTGACTAAGTATCTCTGAATTTTCTTCTTGCATTCTGGTTCTCCAAACCTTGAGAGCTCACTGGTTTGGTAGGTGGGGTGCAACTTACATGTTATCCCTTCTACTCATGGGCTTTCCAAGAGTTCAGAACCTTGATCCTGTTAATGCACATCCTTGCTTGGCACTAAACCCCAAGATTTGGGGCTCTTCAAGCTCCCTTGTCACCCCATTGGTTTCTTTTTTTCTTTTTTCTTTCTTTTCCTTTTTTTTTTTTTTTTTTTTGAGACAGGGTCTTCTCACTCTGCTGCCCAAACTGGAGTGCAGTGGCACAATCTCGGCTCACCGCAACCTGCACCTCCTAGGCTCAAGCGATTCTCCTGCCTCAGCCTCCCGAGTAGCTGGGATTACAGGTGCGCACCACCACCTCCCGGCTAATTTTTGTATTTTTAGTAGAGATGGGGTTTCACCATCTTGGCCAGGCTGGTCTCAAACTCCTGACCTCAAATGATCCACCCACCTCGGCCTGCCAAAGTGCTGGGATTACAGGCATGAGCCACTGCACCCAGCCCCTATTGGTTTCTAACTCCAAATTACAGGAAACAGCTCCCAGTGCCAGCCTTCCAAGGATGCTGGATCCTTTCGTTCCCTTTCAAAGCCAAGGAGCAGAAGAATGGTTGGAACTTGAGAATGAGAAAAGAAAGGTGTCCCTGCTGTGTGTCCACTGGAGTTCATGCACGGGCCAGACACACAGCCATGCTTCGACACACCTGTGTCCTGCCATCACATGTGTATTTTGTTGGCTAGTACCAGTATCTGTGACTTCTCTCAAATTGGCCAGTGCAGGGGTGTGAACGTGTGTGTGATTCGACTTATGAGCATGAATGAGCATGTGTTCACAGGAAGGGGAATTTAGGGGGATGTCTCTATGTGTGTTTTTTCCAAATGCTTGGCTTTTTTCAAAATGGCTTAGAGCACTACTGTCATTTATGGGGTTTAAAATGTCAGAACAGGGCCCGCGGGGAGGCAGGGGAGATTAAACTGCAAACAGTGAAGGTTATAGATGACGTTTCTGATAGGCTGACAGGCGGACTCAAATGATGCTACACTTTAACAATCATTTAAACACACACACACACACACACACACACACACAAACACACACACCAGATCATCTTTCCATATTTTAATGGCATATTCTGAAGGCTAAAAACATAAAAGACCATGACTAGAAAACCACAGTTCTGCTTTCAAAATCCAACCAGCAACTCTCTGTGAGGTGTGTGTGTGTGTGTACTCACTCAAGTGCCTCTACCTGTGCAAAATGAACACAAGTGCTTATTTGTCCTTTTGTCTGTCTGAGTTAATTCCACCTACTTTCACACAGTACCCTACATAATTAACAAAGTATATCACATCCAAGTCTACCTCAGCATCATAACAATCTGTTTAAGGTAGGCATGGTGGACATTACTATGCCCATTTTACAGAAATGAGTAAGAGAGGCTCAAAGACGTCTAATGGGTTGCCCAAGACCACCCAGCTAGGAAGTGATAAAGTTGGAGTGTAGAACCGTGGTCTTTTTGTATTTATTCAGAGCTCTTTTCTCCAGGCTGCTGTTCTCAGCGCTGGCTACACATTAGAATCAGCTGGGGAACTTTTAAAAACCATCAGTGCCTGAGCTCCATTCCCAGAGATTCTGATCCAATTATTCTGGAGGTGGCACTTTTGGTATATTTTTAACACTCCCCTCTCCTTAATTCTAACAGTCAGGCTGGTTGAGAACCACTGCTCTGGGGCCTGGAGGCCGCACTTACATCACCTCTACTGTGAATGTAGATTCCAGTCTCTTTCCTCCTCAAAATCTTCCTGCATCACTTCTCAGGAGACTTAACTTCCCAGGAGGATCAGATCCTTTTCCCTCTGCACCCCTCTCCCAACCCCCCACCCTCCTAGACTCTGGAGACTTCAAAGGGTGCTTGCTCGCTCAGGCTGATGAATGCAGGCTCACTGTGGCCATCACCTAAGGGTGGACTTTGTTGTCCCTCCAAGAGTAAGGGAGGAGAACCAGCTCCACTTAGCCCAGTCACCAGGAGAAGGCCAGGGAGGTGAAAAAAGCTGCCTTAGGGACCTAGACTGAGAGGAAGGAAGGAAGGAAGGAAGGAAGCAAGGAAGGAAGGAAGGAAGGAAGGAAGGGAGGGAGGGAGGGAGGGAAGGAAAGAAGGGAGGGAGGGAAGAAAGGAAGGAAGGAAGGAGAGAAGAGAAGAGAAGAGAAAAGGAGAAGAGAAGAGAAAAGGAGAAGAGAGCTGGGCCGTTGGAAGGCTACACTGCTAAAAAGCACGAACGGTGTGCATGTCACTTGGCCCTCTGCAAGAGAGGTGGTGTAGCACACATTTGGTAGTGGCCTGCCTGGGCTTGAAGCCTGGTTTCTGCTTACTAGTTGTATGAGCTAGGGCAAGTACCTATGCCTCAGTTTTATTATGTTCAAAATGGCAATGATAATAATACTTGCCTCATAGGGTCTCAGGAAGACTCAGTGAATTCACGTAAAGCCAGGATAAGTACTGGGTAGGTGTTAACTACTATTATTCTCCATCATTTGATGCTTTTGAACTCTCCCTTCTTGAAACTTTGTCCTCTCTTTACTCCACAACACCCCTCTTTCCTGTTTCTCTTCCTATCATCCTGAACATTCCTTCTCAGTTTTCTTTGCTAGCCTGGGTCCTCTGCCCTCCCTCCAAGCCTTTTTCTTTTCTTTTCTTTTCTTTTTTTTTTTTTTTGAGGGAGGGTCTTGCTCTGTTGTCCAGGCTGGAATGCAGTGGTGAGATCTTCGCTCACTGCAACTTCTGCCTCCCAGGTTCAAGCGATTCTCACACCTCAGCCTCCTCAGTAGCTGGAACTACAGGCATGCAGCACTGTGCCTGACTAATTTTTTTATTTTTATTTTTATTTTTTATTTTTGGTAGACGGGGGTTTCACCATGTTGCCCAGGCTGGTCTCGAACTCCTGGGCCCAAGTGATCTGCCCGCCTTGGCTTCCCAAAGTGTTGGGATTACAGGCGTGAGCCACCGCCTCCTGCCTCCCTCCAAGTCTTTGATTCTCAACCCCAATGCCATGTTAGAATCACCTGAAGGACTTTTACAGCTCACTCCCAGAGATTCAGATTTAGTTGGCCTGGGGAGGGGCCCAGACACTGGTGTTTTTCTTTTTTGTTTTTTCTGAGATGGAGTCTCGCTCTGTCGCCCAGGCTGGAGTGCAGTGGTGCCATCTCGGCTCACTGCAAGCTCTGCCTCCCAGGTTCACGCCATTCTCCTGCCTCAGCCTCCCAAGTAGCTGGGACTATAGGCGCCCGCCACCACAACCAGCTAATTGTTTGTTATTTTTAGTAGAGATGGGGTTTCACCGTGTTAGCCAGGATGGTCTCGATCTCCTGACCTCGTGATCCACCTGCCTCAGCCTCCCAAAGTGCTGAGATTACAGGCGTGAGCCAACCGTGCCCAGCCGACACTGGTGTTTTTCAAGCTCCCCATTTCATCCAAATGTGCTACCAAGGTTGAAAATCACTCTTTTAAATGTACACATTTCCTAACACTCCACTCTTGGGCCTCTTCAAACTTGTCTTTCCCAAGTAAATAACCTCCTTCCCACGGCTTTAATTACCATCTATATGCTAGTAACCCTCAAATCCACATACTCTGACTAAACTCTTTTTTTTTTTTTTTTTTTTTTTTTTTTTTTTTTTGAGACAGAGTCTCACTCTGTCACCCAGGCTGGAGTGCAGTGGCGCGATCTCGGCTCACTGCAACCTCTGCCTCCCTGGTTCAAGCGATTCTCCTGCCTCAGCCTCCCCAGTAGCTGGAACTACAGGCATGCACCACCACACTCGGCTAATTTTTTTTTGTATTTTTAGTAGAGACAGAGTTTCACTATGTTGGCCAGGCTAGTCTTGAACTCCTGACTTCAAGTGATCCACTCGCCTTGGCCTCCCACAGTGCTGGGATTACAGGCATGAGCCACTGCACCCAGCCCAAAACTCTTTTGAATGCCACACATGTATTTCCAACTCCCTACCAGACTCCAGATATATGGAGATAAAGTTCTTCAATTCTCTTAATCTCCTGGATATCTTTATTGAGACATACCCCAGACTCTCAAAGTATGTGTCTCAATCAGATCTTAGTATTTTTGAACTCTCCTCAAAGCTATTCCATCACTTCTATTCTCCATCTCTGTCATCATCTCACCATTCACCCAAGGCAAGAACCTGGTTGCCATCTAGGAATCTTCCTCTCAGTCACCTCCCACATCCAATCAAGCACAAAATCCTGTCCATTCTTTGCCATGACTGGTGGCTCACGCCTGTAATCCCAGCACTTTGGGAGGCTGAAGTGGGTGGATCAGGAGGTCAGGAGATCGAGACCATCCTGGCTAACACAGTGAAACCCTGTGTCTACTAAAAATACAAAAAATTAGCCGGGTGTGGTGGTGGGCACCTGTAGTCCCAGCTACTCGGGAGGCTGAGGCAGGAGAATGGCATGAGCCTGGGAGGCAGAGCTTGCAGTGAGCAGAGATCGCGCCACTGCACTCCAGCCTGGATGATACAGCAAGACTCCATCTCAAAAAAAAAAAAAAAAAAAAAATCCCGTCCATTCTTTCAGAGGCCCTCTCTAGTCTGTCACTCCTCAGTGTCCCCACCACCACTGCCATAACTCGGGTCCTCCATGTCTCTTGCCCGCACAGTTGTAAGAACCTCCTCCCTCGGCAGGGCATGGTGGCTCATGCCTGTAATCCCAACACTTTGGGAGGCTGAGGGGGGTGGATCACCTGAGGTCAGGAGTTTGAGACCAGCCTGGCCAACATGGTGAAATCCCGTCTCTACTAAAAATACAAAAATTAGCCGGGTGTAGTGGCGCATGCCTGTCATCCCAGCTACTCAGGAGGCTGAGGCAGGAGAATCGCTTGAACTTAGGAGGCAGAGGTTGCAGTGAGCCAAGATCGTGCCACTGCACTCCAGCCTGGGCCAAAGAGCGAGACTCTGTCTCAAAAAAAAAAAAAGGCCAGGCATGGTGGCTTATGCCTGTAATCCCAGCACTCTGGGAGGCTGAGGCAGGTAGACCACCTGAGGTCAGGAGTTCGAGAGCAGCCTGGCCAACATGGTGAAACCCTGTTTCTACTAAAAATACAAAAAATTAGCCAGGTGTGGTGGTGGACGCCTGTAATTCCAGCTACTCGGGAGGCTGAGGGAGGAGAATATCTTAAACCCAGGAGGTGGAGGTTGCAGTGAGCTGAGATTGTACCATTGCACTCCAGCCTGGGGGTTGGGGGGAGCCTCCTCCCTGGTCTCCTGGTCTCCAATGTTTCCGGTTGCACCCTCCCCCCATTCTCTGTATCATCCTCAGAGTTATTTTTCTGAAATGCAAATCACTCCATGTGAAAGCCCGTCAGTGGGCCCCTGCTCACAGGGTGAGAGCCTAACTCCTTGGCACAGCCCTTTACTCTCTTTCTCCTTCTGCTGGCCTCTCTCCCAAAGTGCCCTCCCTATGCCCTCCCCTGTACTTCAGTGGAGTTCTCCAGATGTGCCAGGCTGTTCCACACCTTAAGGCTTTTGGATGTGCCATTCCCCCTGCTTGAATGCCTTTCCTTCTCTTTGCCCTCCCATTTTGCCTATATTTACGTTAGCTGGAGCACCATCTCCTCTATGAAGTGTCACCTGGCTCTTCAGACTGAACTTACCACTCTTTTTCTGCCCTGCTGCACCCTGCAGTTATCTCTATATGTGTCTCTCACTCTGTGCTTCCCTTCCATGTTCTCATGCCTGTCCCCCAATACTGGGCAATATCACCTGGAAGCCATGGACCCTGTCTGTGAGCAGTGGAGTTAGGCATAGGGAGGAGACCAGACTCCGCATTCTGTCATGAGTTTACAGGTGATTCAGTTCCCTTAGCTACAGCACTTGGTTAATAATGTGTTGCTTGGCTGGGCACGGTGGCTCACGCCTGTAATCCCAGCAGTTTTGGGGGCCCAGGTGGGTGGATCACCTGAGGTCAGGAGTTCGAGACCAGCCTGGCCAACATGGTGAAACATGGTCTCTACCAAAAATACAAAAATTATCTGGGCACGGTGGCACAAACCTGTAGTCCCAGCTACTCGGGAAGCTGAGGCAGGAGAATCACTTGAACCTGGGAGGCGGAGATTGCAGTGAGCCGAGATTGTACCACTGTACTCCAGGCTGGGTGGCAAAGCGAGAATCCATCTGAAAAAAAAAAAAAAAAGTGTTGGCTTATGGCTCTGGATTTTGAAGGGTAGCTTCTTTCCTCTTGGAGCCAGGGGAGAGAGGCTAAGTATTAAGGAAGAGACCCAAACCTGCCACTAGCCAGGCACTCTACCCCTAGCTTCCTCCCTGAGTCTGCCTCAGTGATACTGGCTCTCTAGGTCCCAGAGCTGGGAGCTCTCACTGCCATACTCCCGAGGCCCCTCCTGGCTCAGCTGAGGTGAGTAGAATCTTCTTTCCCCTCTTTCACATGAAATCAGCTTGGAATGGCTCCAAAGGAGCCTTCAGAGAGAAACCAAGAGAAACTAAAAGCAAGCAAGCAAACTGACCCCCAAACACTTAGAGCTACAGAAATGGACAGAATGAGGATGTCTGATTCTAATTTGTCTCCCCTGCCTAAGAGAGCAGATTCAAGGGTCACCTTCTCTCCTCAACCAGGAAAGGGGCTGGGCAGGAGTCCTAGCTCCAACCGCAGAAAGGAGGGCAACTGAAAAGGTGCAGTTCTTATAGCTAGGGAAATTGAAGCAAGTCCTCATCCTCCACAGGAGTGAAAAGACAAGGCCATTAATGGACACTTGCCTAGAAAAAGTCAAGGGCCCAGACAATAACCCACAGAGAGGGTGTGGTCTACAGGACAGCCAGGACAGTGTTGGCCTTACTCATGGCTGGATACACAGTGACCCTTGAGAATATTCAAGAGCTCTTGTCACATATCAACACTGTGCCAAGCACTAGATGAGCTTGAGTAACCCTCACGACAACCCTATGAAGTAGGGACTATTATTATTCCTGTTACAGATGGGGAAACTGAGTCTCAGAGAAGCTGTGACTTTTCCAAGACCACAAAGTTAATAAGCGTTAAGCCAGGATTCAAACTCAGATCATCTGTCTCCAAACCCCAGGCTCCTAACCTCCATGGTGCCCTGTGTCAAAGACATAGCAGATGATTATTCAATAATTGCTGATAGTAATAATTGCTAGCATTTATTGAACATTTAACAATGTGCTGAGCACAGTGTGAAGCACTTCACATACATTATTTTATTCAGTAGGTATATTATTATGCCCGTTTTATAGATGAGGACACTGAGGCTTAGGGAAGATAAGAGCACTGTCCATGATCCCAACGCTAGTTTAAAAGAACTGGCATACAAACTCAGGGGGGATAGACACATGAGTGACCAGAGGCACAGAAAATTCCCCCGCCAGAACCACTACCAACCTGGAGAATGTCCATGAAGGAAAGAGAAGCCCTTTCCAGGAGCTCCGACAAAGTGGCTGACACCTTGATCAAGGATCTGCGGGCCTTTATCACATGTCCTGGCAAAGGCAGCTACAGCCTGGACTGCCGTCAGGCTCAGGACCGAGCCGTACTCAGAAGTGTCTCTAGGAGGCTGGGCCAGTTTCCTCTCTTTTCTGCAGGCGTCTCCAGAGCACCCTCTCACCAGCTGTATCTACTCACAATCGTCTGGCATTTGGAATCTGGTTGAGTTTGGGTCCCTCAATACCCAGAAAAATCAGAGCCTCCAGGACCCGCCCCTAAGCAGGAATTTTTCAGATCTCCCTTCTGGGTCCTTTGGTCCCTAAGTCTCTGGCTTTGGCATTCCTGGTGGGAATCCTTGCAGAGAGCCATCCTGGTACCTAAGGAAAGAGGGAGAGAAAAGCGAAGGAGCTGAGTCCGCTCCAAGCTCCTCACCCTCTCGGAAAGCCTAGCTGGCCACCCCACCCCCACTCCGCAGTTTCTCACCTTCAGGCAAAGGCAGATGATGGCAGAGCTGGGGAGCAGAACTTAACTGAGCCATGGGGCACAGCAAATCCCTGCCATTAGTATTTAGGGAATGTGAGTCCCAGAGGATGAGGGGGAGAAAGAGGCAGTGGGAGAGGAAGGCGGAGGTGCTCAGAGACTCAGAGATCACCAGGAGGGGTTGCAGAGAGACAGAAGAGGAGGGTGTGAAGGAGGAAAAGAAAGACTGAAGTGGGTGGGAGAGAGGCAGAGAAAGGGGGGAGGGAAGAGAGAGAGAGAAAGAGCCAGTTGCTTTATTCATGGCTGGTGATATTATAGACTGAGTGAAAATCACATTATCGTAATGGGAAAGTTAGAGTTGCTGAGATGATGCCCTGAAGCCTCTGCGCTGATTGGGGTGTGATTGCTATCTGTATTTATATGTAGAAAGCAAAGTTCACTGCCAGTTCAAGATGGTGGCGGCTGCTTTATGCAACATAATTCTTCAGTAGGGAGACGCCCCGAGCAAGCTGAGCACACCGGGCGGGGAGTGGGAACGGGAGCCAGATCGGGAGCCAGCGATGGAGCAGGCGACAGAGCAGGCGATAGAGCCTGGGGTGGAGCCGAGCGGGGCTCAGCTGCGGAGGACGGAGGCCAGGAACCAGAGAGGGAGCCGGGGCAGCGCCTGGGGCCCGAGCCCAGCCCGAGGCCTGACGCGGGTCGGGCAGCGGGGGGCTGGAGAGCTTGGGGACTTAGGGGTCAGAAGGAGCCCCTCCCACCATCTGCCCCCTCTCAGGCCCGCCCAGAGTTAGACTCCCCGGAAGGGAAAAGAAGAGAAGCTGGTGCCCCAAATGCAGGGCTGGGCTAGACCTTTCTAAACCTTGAGCAGATTGACTCCAACCTCACCCGCACGGTCTAATTCAGTGCTAAATCGTACAGTGAATGCCAGGAAGGTTTCATCCTTTCCCATGCGGACAGCTTGAAATTTTTTTTTCCTTTTTTTTTTTTTTTTTTTAATTGAGATGGAGTTTCGCTCTTTTTGCCCAGGATGGAATGCAATAGATCTCAGCTCACTGCAACCTCCGCCTCCTGGGTTCAAGTGATTCTCCTGCCTCAGCCTCCTGATTAGCTGAGATTAAAGGCGCACGCCACCACACCCGGCTAATTTTGTATTTTTAGTAGAGACAGATCTCCTGACCTCAGGTGATCCGCCTGCCTCAGCCTCCCAAAGTGTTGGGATTACAGGCGTGAGCCACCGCGCCCAGCCAAATGTCTTGATTTTTTTCTTTAATTTTTCATTTCTTTTTCGGAGATCCCTGCTGTGCTGGTGCACCACTTGTGGTTTGCTTGGTCTGTTGAGCAGCCTAGTACTGGGATGAAAAATCCCTTTTGATTGATTGGTAAATGGGTGTGATCTCTGACGTCCTCAGCACAGAGCCTGGGAGGCTGGACAGGGTAGCCTAGACTCCAAGCCCTGCCTTTTCCTAGCCACACTCAAGAAGGGAGAAAAGGGCTGTCAGCCCAGCCTGCACAATCTAATTGAGCTCAGACCATCCCTTACTTGAGGCCTGTACCCCTCAGGACTTTCTTAGGAAACGGGGGCAGAGCTGGGCCAGGCTGTCACCCCACTTCCCGCCAAGAAGTGCCAGATAAAATACAGGACACCTGATTAAATTTGAATTTCAGACAGACAATAAATTTTTAGTATAAGTATATCCCATGCACTATTTGGGATATACTTAAGTATTTGTTGTTTGTCTGAAATTCAAATTTAATTGGGCATCCTGTATTTTTATTTGCTAAATCTGGTAACCCTACCCTACCCCCCACCTTGCCCATTGACCTCAGGTTTTGTATTGATTGAGGAAGGGAGTGCCCTTGAGTGGAAACAGCCAGATTCCCCAGTTAATAGCTGTGTTGTTCTGGACTGGTTTTTAACCTCTTAGATTCTCAATCTCCTTATCTGAGCAATAGGAGATAATATCACTTACCTCACCGGATGGTTATAAACATTTAATGAAATAAAGTAAGTAAAAGGCTCAGTTCACTGTCTGACACAAAATAAATGACCAAAAAAACTCAAAAAAAAAAAAAAACCAAAATCTAACACTCAGTAAACAGCAGCTATAAAAGATCAGCTCCCTTACAAAGTTCACCCTTTCTTACATTCCCATTGCCATCCTAAGCTTCTTAGAAGCCAAATAAAAGGCTTATATCAAGATTCTTGTCTTAGAAGCTGCTGCCTACATGGGGGCATCCCAGGGATAGATATGGTCTTAGTATGGGTCCCCTGTGGTAGAGCCTGACCGTATAAGCTCCACTGAGAGTTCTGGAAAGCTGATTGCAAGGATGAAGCAGATACTAAGAGCCAGCCCTGTCCCCAGCCTCAAACCAAGCCCCACATGTTTCCAGCTACTCTTCCAAGCTTCCAAAACAAAATAGAATTGATCCTCCTTCGGGCCTCCAAACTTCCTTTTCTCCCAGGGAGATGGGGGATGGGGCAGTTTGGTGATATGACACTGGGCAGGAAGGAGGGCTCTGCCTACCTGAGAGGCTACACAATGGACTGAGCAAGCAGTCTACCCAATGCCCATCCCAGCAGCATGTCAGGCCAAATCCCTTTCCATCCTCTGGCAGAGGCCCATGTCCAGGACACACCAGTTGGAAACAAGTGTGTCCCTCAGGGTCTCTGGGCTTATTCTCCTTCTAGCTCTCATATCTCAGCCTCAGCTCAAACCCACTTGACGAAGGCAAGAGGCAGTGTGCAAAATAGAGGTTTTGGAGTCCCACAGAGGCAACCTGGAGTCTAGTATCACTGTATGATCTTGGACCCCTCTCTCGTAGAAGGTTGGGACTTGTTTGCTTCTCTTATACAGATGTCTTTGACTCAAGAAAAAAAGTGGCTTCCAGTACCTTTAGTCCCAGAGAAGCTGGTGGCTGGACCCCAGCCATTATCTCTGAGGGAAGCTAATGACTCAGAAGCCAACTGATGGGCAAGTAGGGGCCTATCTCCTTTTCTTCAAGAGATCACAGAGTCAAGGCTTTAGTGCTAGGCAGATTATATAAGTGACGCAAGTAGTGAAATGCAGTAGAGTGGCAGGGTCTATGGCTGCACCTGAGAAGCACATGTTTTCCTACAGGTATTCAATTTCATGTTTGTTTTAAACACTGTGCTCATCAAACCAAACACCCAAGTGCTCTATGGGCAACCCCTAGTTTCTTGTTCTTCACACAGGTATCCTCAGCCACATGGTCACCAAGCATTATCACAGAGTAGAGAGATACCACATGTGCAGATACACTGACCTATGAGGATGTGCAGAGCAAATACCATACTCCAAATGAGTAGAGCATCTGTAAGGAAAGCACGAGGACACTCACAAGGGAGTGGCCCATCTCCAGGCAGCCTGCCTTCCTGTCCACCTCCTGCCAGCCTCCCACCTCTTGCCTCCTCTTCCTTGTTTGCTCACTGGCACCCAAGTCTGCTACTCACACCATCTCATCCCCTCACCCCTCTCTCTGGGAGTGGAACTCTCTCTTGCACCCTGGTGATGCACCATTCCTGGAGGTCCTGCAATACCAGGTTGATGCATAGGAGTGGATGAAGCAAGCTCCTTTTCCATCCCCCTGCTCAAAAAACCCATTTAATATATTGTCCTCAGATAGAGGATGTATCAGATGTTAAGCTGGTAAAAACATACTACATTTGATCTTAGCCAAAAGACCGAGAGGTGATAGGAGTGGAACTCTATAGAACCCAAAGGGTGTGAATGGAAATGGTGGGGGTGGGGGTGCTCTGCACAGCTGACCCCTGTAGTAGCAGCATCACACATGCATCTGGGGACCTCAGGACATACCCTCCTGCTCTTTTGATCCTCACAACAAGCCTGTACTGGGGCTTCAGGGGAAAATTGATTCCCCTTTCCCCTCTTTAAGGCACACCTTTCACTCTGGAGCTCTGGAGTGGAACTTAGCTCCTCTACTCAGTCACCAGCTACAAATTCAGAAATTCTACAAAAGCTCCTAAAATCTCAGGGTTCTAGAAATGGTCACTGAAAGTTCATCTCTGCCATTCTCCTGCCTCCAGGCAAGGGTGGTCCTCTTCATGGAGACACGTGGCACGGAGAGTCTACACACTCCCTTGGCCCTACTTAGCCTTGATATCAGGAAGTTGAACTCTAGTCCCAGTGATTTAATCCATGTTTGTTAATAACTCCACCAGGATATGTGAAGCTCCTCTCCCAAGGAATACCTAGGCATCCGCAAGACCTCCTGGGTTCCTCCCCGGGGGACCATGCCATAAATCAGAAGCCCCAGGTACTCAGGCCATTGACCCCAGAAGGATCCCAAGAGGGGATGTAGAGTCTGGGGTTTTTCCATGCTCTTTCTGGTACACTTCCTCTTTGGCCATCAGTGCTAGAACCTAAGCAACCTCTTCCTAGGCTTAGTCATTTCAGCAAAACAGAAGTAGATCAATCAGTTGCAATAAATAAAAGAAAATAAATTGAAATCCAAGACTCTTGCAAAGATCCTGATAACTGATTTCCGAATGATTCACTGGAGTTTTCTGTGCTCCTGTCCCTTTCCTTTTCATGATTATAAATAATGTCGATCATCACCAGCATCTTTTTGAAGCTGGGATGTCACCACGTTAGAGAATGAGTACCCAATCACATGGGGGTGGGCCAGGAGGCAGTAGAGGGCCCAACAAATAAGGTTTTGTCATCTTAGAGGTGAGGAGAAAGTCCAAGGACCTCTGTCTTGTCTTGGAGATGTGAGTCTTTGAGGATGAAAGTGAACTATCTCCAAGGGCAAGAGGTTTGTCCGGCAGCTCATTTATTCAGATTCCTCTGAGGTTCCTATTTTATGTCCCATTTGGGCTGTGTCAGTGCAGCTATGTTTGGGGACTGTGTATGTGTCCCTGATGCCTAGAGTGACCCAGCAAGAGGAATTGAGGTTTGACGGAGAATATACTGCTGTGGTAGAGGAAAGATGAGGCACCTGCCCCAGAACCACCCCCAACTCCCCTCATTGGCCAGAGAAGAGAGAAAAGAATATAGCCCCGTGCCCCTGGGACAGAGAAAGGCTAATCTACTCAAAAGCTGGAGGCTGGATAAAATGACCCCTGCCTGGGATGGATGTCAAAGGAATGTCTCTGAGGAAATGTCATTCTACTCCCCCAGAGGGCCCTGGAGGTGGTTGGTAATCCACCCGTGCTCCCCCCACTCGAGTCCCCCCAACAACCCACTCCCCTGCAACACACGCACAGGTATGTGCACTTACACACACACGCATACACATAAATCTTAATTGTGTCCAGGGCTTTTTACAGCGTTAATTAATCATATTTAGGGCTGTTTCCAGCTGTTGCTGAGGGAAAGAAGGTCCCACACGCCTGTGACTTAGGGTAAATCCAATCAGACGGAGGAATTCTTTGATTTTGGAGAAGCCAAGCATGGGAAAGACACTGCTAATCCCAGAGCCTCTTCGACCCCTGCCTGCCACCTCCCCATTGCTGCCTTTGGAAACTGATCCAAGCTGAGGAAGGGGACGGGAGGGGGATGCAGAAGTGGGCACAGGGTTTTGCTGAGCTGAGCTGACTGCCTGGAGCCCTGCTTCAGATGAGAGGAGGGTTGATGGGAAGGAGGGGTTAGGGCTTCGGTGCTGACCAGGAGCTTCTGCCCCTGTACTTAGGCCATTTAGTGAGCTCGGGAGAGCCCCTGATTCCTGAATAGCTACTGGCTGGGCCCAAGAGTTATTACAGGAGGCTGGGCCTGGAATAGCAGACCAGTGGGTGGGCAGAACTGACCTAATTACAGCTCTGCACAGTCCGTGTGGTCTGAGAGGGAGCCTTGCCCAAGCCGTTCTTCTTGCCTGTGACTTCTCCCGAAGCCCCAGCGGCAACACTCTCGGCTCCCTCAGGCTCTGATGTGTGTCTCATGTGTCAGCTGGGCCTGCTTTATCTCTCTCTTCCTAGGGCTCTGCAGCTGGATTTCTGACTCTTCTACTGATCTCTGAAATCCTGGGGCACCACCTCTCACCTTCATGGAGACAGATGAACCTTCAGACAGGGGTGTCTTCAGGGGAGGGGCAGCCCGGCAGGTGCTAATGACCTCTTCTTTGGTTTATGCCAGTGGCCCATTGGGTACTCATGTGGAGCAAATATGGGATGGAAGGGGAGAGAGCTGCTGCTGAGGATGGGGGCAGGAAGGGACTGTCTTGCTCCTTAGAGACCTACATGTGTGTGAGGTGGGGAAGGGGGTCCCAGGGTGGAAAGTGAGAGGGTAGAGGGCTATAAGGCCAAACAGGGACCAGGTAGTTGCTGCCCTATCCTCCCCTCTACAATGACTCCACCCCAGCATATCCCCTTGTCAAGGCTTTCTGGGTCCTGGCCTACCTGGGCCTAAATAATTGAGGAGCCCATTATAGCCTTGCTGTTTCCTCACTGTCAAGTGTAAACGCTGCACTGGTCGGGTGGGGAAATGGGGCTAATTTGAATTGATAATAGGAAACGCGGGGAAAAGTCATCTATGGTGAGTGAGGAGCGAGCGATCCCTGAGCAGATGCTAAATCTTGTATAATGAAAGAATCTGCCGATGTCAATTATGTACGAGCGTCTTTGCAGTGGTTGGAGGCGGTGGGCGGGTGAGGGAATGGAGGGACGGGTGCATCCCATAAACCCAAACACCCATCAAAGGCTCATACATATGGAGCGGTGGAGATTACAGCATAAATTTGAATGTTATGAATGTGGATGAGGGACAGGCAGGAAGCCCACCTCATAAGGGGGCTGTTTTCAGCGCACATGTACAAGGGAGCTTTTGTCCTCTTGGTTCCTCAGCTGTGTTTCCTCCATGTCAGCTGTGCTCCCTCTGCAACCAGTTGTGTCTCAGGATGAGAAAGAAAGTCAGGATATGGGGGTGCTGGGACAGGGTAAGATCAGCTGTTCTTCTGGGGCTTGGATGTGAGTCCCTTGGGAGCTCTGGGCCCAAACTGCCCTTGACCCATTCAGAGTGCTGCCAGGATGTTTAGCTGGGCATGGTGGTGCACGCCTTTAGTCCCAGCTACTTGGGGGAGCTGAGGCAGGAGGATCGCTTAAGCCTAGGAGGTTGAGGCCGCAGTGAGCCAAGATCGTGCCACTGCACCCCATCCTGGGCAACAGAGTGAGACCCTGTCTCAAAAAAAGAGGGCTGCCAGGATGAGATCTAGAGATCAATGTGACCAAAGATCCAGGGGGATATCCTGAAATATCTCTGATGTGACCACAGCTTTCCCTCCCCACTGATGGAAGAGACGGGAAAGAGCAATGTAGACCATGATGCCAACCACAGATTGGGCAGGGAGATCCTGGAAGACAGCCTGGAGGAAGAGGTCAAAAACTGTGCTTATAAAGGGGGCTAACAACTCAGAAGGACAATATCAGCAGCACATCTTTCCATTCCTAAGTACAAATCCTCATCACACATGGGATCGGGTGTTTGTGAGTATACACATGCATGCACACCCTGTAACAGGGCCCAGACCCCTCCATCAGTTCCCAACCTGCAGCCTCTCCCTGAGCAGACTTTGTGATTTGTGGTGCAGACCACCCAGGGACTTTAATCTTCACCGTGACAAATGCAATAAAAGGAACAATTTGGAGATCACAGCTAAGGAAGACACATTTACAAACCCTTCCCCAAAGGTTGGATGTGGCTGTCACCATGTGATTTGTGCTGGAGATGAAGCAGGGAGGGGGAGAGGGGGAGACAGAGAGCTGGAGAAGGAGGGCTGGGGAAAAGGAAGCATCCCCAGCTCTCTCCTCCTCACCCTCTCTGCTGGATCACAGTGGAAGGGGCTAAGCTAGCAGAAGGATGACTGGACCCACCGGCAGCCACTGCCACCCTCCCCCATCATGACTAGGGAGCACAACTCAATTACCAGGAACACAGCCCAGAACCACAAAGCTGCAGAGATTCATCTCAGCAGTTCTGGGGCTCTATCTAGAGAAGGGATGGCAGGTGGGGGTGGAGGGGGTAGGGTTTGGAGAAGAGCGAGAGAAAGGGAGAGGCAGAGTGGAAAAGACATTTTAATAGAAAGACAGTGACATCTCAAGTTGCAAAGGGAGCGCCCTAAGAAGCTATATTCTGAGACAGGGAAGGGGAGGGGAAATTTTCCAATCAGGGCTCCTCCATCAGGCCTATCTGGAGGGGTCCAAACATAGAGCAACAATGTGGGTGGAGGGGAAACTTAATCTAGGGACAAATCCATTGGGCAGGCAGGTAAGCCTGGAGTTCCACAGGATGAGGTCAAACTGAGATCTTATAACTAAGCTAATAGATGACTTGAGATGGTGGGTGGTACAGTCAGGCACCTTCCTATCCCCTCTGAGTCTTCTTTTCTCTATCTATAAAATGAGTCCTAGGCCAGATGATCTGTAAGGTAGCTGCCTACCTTGCATCTTGGACTCTCTGAGACCCAGATGTCTTGGAGTCAATGACAGGAGACTGGATAAGAGAGACCAGTAGTAATCCACCACTCCCTGACCCTGACTTTCTCGTGGCTTATAGTGGTTATTAACACATGGGCTCCTTTCTGTTGGGATCTCAGCTGTGCCCCCCAGGGTTCAGGTCTACAGCTCTCTCAGCCACTCCCATCCCAGTAAGAGTTCAGAAGGAACCCATTGGCCCTCTTTGGTCTCAAAAAAGCTGGTCACTCTTAGCTTCCTTTTTGATAAGATCATCCTCAAACCAAGGCCATTCTGTCCCTGGCTCCCTCTACCCGATGCACAGGAGATGTTCTCTCTGCTCCAGGATTTAACTTTGAAGCCTCTAGGTTGCTTCCAGTTTTTGAGCTTTGAAAAAATTAGATATTTGTTCCCTTGACCTGTGCCCTCCCACCCCATTCCCCACCTTCCATCTACCTGTGCCCCCCAACTCCTCACCACCCCACTTCCAACCAGGCTGAGGGACCACAGAGGTGCCATGTTGGCAGGGAGGGGAATGTTACTAGGCTATGAGGCACTGGTTTTTCATCGCACTCAAGGCCACACCTCAGAACTCCTCCACCTAGCTGCTGCCCCTATGCTAGCCTGGTCCCCAGCACAGGACCATCTCCCTGTGCACTTCCAGGGCCAGACCTGGTCCTCATATCCAGGAAGTAGGCCTGGTGAGTGACTAAATGGGGGTAGGGAAAAGAAGACATTAGGAGTATGGGCCCTCACTGGAAACTCCCTAGGGATGATGGGGGTCAGATGCTAACAATGTCTAGTTGTCACAGTCATGGCTCAGCATGGCCACAGGGCAGAGATACGGGCCTCTCCAGGGCAGTGAATCTGGGCTGGATCATGGCCTCCAAGGGCGTGTAGGAGGTAGGGAGCTGGGGAGGTTGAGAAATGTAAGGAGGTGGGGAGTGGACAAAAGTATGTTCTCTAAGTTCTAGACACAAAGGAGAGAAGCCTCTACATAGGAATGAAGAGAGGAGCTTGGGAGGGACTAAATCAGGGCTGACTTTCCCAAGGCATCTCTCCTTGGGGCAGGGACTAAAAGTGTAAAAACATTCAAACAAGGTGAGTCCCTAGATATGGGCTCCATGGTAGACAGTGAAGCAAGGGGAACTGAACTGCTAATGCTGGATGGGGCAATTCCCATGGTCCTCTGCTGCCTCCCTCTGGAGAGGGCATAACGGTGAGCTCTGCTCTGCTGCCAGCCCCTCTGCAGGTCCTCCTGGCTTCTCTTCACTGCACCTCACCTCCATCTAGGTCCTCGATTTCTCCCCAGGTCCTCATACACTGTATTAGTCAGGGTTTTCCAGAGAAACAGACCAAGAAAGAGAGAAAGAGAGAAAGAAAGAAAGAAAGAAAGAGGAGGAAAGAAGGAGAGAGAGAAAGAGAGAGATAGAGATAGAAAGAAAGAGTGAAAGAAAGAGGAGAAAGAAAAAAAGAAAGAAAGAAAAGAAGAAAGGGAGAAAGAAGCAGACAAGGAGAGAAGGTGAGAAAGAGAGGAAGAGAAAGAGAGAGAGAAAGAGAGAGATAGAGAAAGAAAGGAAAAAGAAAGAAAGAAAGAAAGGAAAGGAAAGAAGAAAGAAGGAAGGTAGGAAGGAAGAAGGTAGATAAAGGGACTTATTATGAATGATTGAGTCACCCAATTATGGAGGCCAAAAAGTCCCATGATGTGCTGACTGCAAGCTAGAGGCCCAGGAAAGTGAGTGGTATAGTTCCAGTCCAAGCCCAAAGGCCTGATAACTGTGGGGGCCGGGGAGGGGCTGGTGTATAAGTCCTGGTCCAAGTCTTAAGTCCCCAAAACCAGCAATGTCAAATCATAAGACAAGAGGAGATGGATGGCCTAGATCAAGCAGAAAGCAAATTCACCCTCCCTCTGCCTTTTTCTTCTATTCAGGCCATCAACAGATTGAATGATGCCCACCCACAGTGATGAGTGTGAGTCTTCCTCACTCAGCCTACTGATTCCAGAAACTCCCTCCACAGACACACCCAGAAATAATGTTTTCCCAGCTATCTGGGCATCCCTTAGCCCAGTCAAGTTGGCATATAAAGTTAAGTATTCCAGGCTAAGCGAGGTGGCTCACGCCTGTAATCCCAGCACTTTGGGAGGCCGAGGCAGGTGGATCACCTGAGGTCAGGAGTTTGAGACCAGCCTGGCCAACATGGTGAAACCCCATCTCTACTAAAAATACAGAAATTAGCTGAGTGTGGTGGTGCATGCCTGTAATCCCAGCTACTCAGGAGGCTGAGGCAGGAGAATCGCTTGAATCCAGGAGGCGGAGGTTGCAGTGAGCTGAGATAGTGCCATTGCGCTCCAGCCTGGGCGACAGAGCAAGACTGTCTCAAAACAAATAATAATAAATAAAATAAGCATCCCAGACACCATCTTCACATCTGACAATGCCTCCTGATACCCCCTCTCCCACCACAGAGAAAGCACTAGATAAAAAATACACTATGAGACCGGTGTAGTGGCTTATGCCTGTAAGCTGAGTACTTTGGGAGGCTGAGGTGGGCAGATTGCTTGAGGCCACGAGTTCAAGACCAGCCAGATCAACATAGTGAGATCCTGTTTCTACAAAAAAAAAGAAAAAAATAGCCAAATGTGGTGGTGCATGCCTGTAGTTCTAGCTAGTCAAAAGGCTCAGGCAGAAGGATTGCTTGAGCACAGGAGGCAGAGGCTGCAGTGAGCTATGATCATGCTGCTGCACTGTAGACTCTAGCCTGGGTGACAGAGTGAGAACCTGTCTCAAAAAAAAAAAAAAAAAAAAAAGAGAAGACTAGTAGGTGGCAAAAGGGGCTCTGTGACATCTTCTCTATTCTCTGTCTCTCTTCTTAGAGAAGGGACTTTGACTTGGCTTACTCATTTGCATCCCTGTCCCCAAGGATAGGCTGGGCTGGGACGGTAGGAGAGAGGAGTAGACCAAGAATTGGTTCATTCCTTGTGGCCTCCGCCTTTCCCTATATGACTTTACCCAAGGCCGAGACCAAGCCCAAAGCCAGATGGGAGTCTCTGTTGACTGAGTGCCCTCCCCTGCCAGAGGACCAATCCCAACTGAGCAATCCCTGACCCTCAGCTCTGTCTGCCTCTCACCAGGCTTAGTCTAGTGGTGAGGGGTTTGAGACCCCAGATGGTGGAGGTCGGGGAGGGGGGCTGTAAAAGAGGGTCAGAAGTGGCCAGTGGGTCACATGGACTCTAAGAGCGACATTTCCCTCCCTAAGTCCTTAGACTTAGTCCAGCAGACTGGAGGTTGATGGGAAAACAACAAAAAAGTCAAGGAGAAAGCCATTCTGGGTTCCCCCCTCCTTCATGTTCAAAACTGTTTGGCACATTCTTACACATGCAGCCACAAACATGCATGCACGTGCACACAGACACACACACACATGCACACACAGAGCTGAGCTACATATGACACATCGTGGAGTGGGGACCAGTGTGGTGGGCTTGAGGGGAAGAGCAGAGCAGGAGGCTGTAATAGTCAGCTGAGGGCACAGGTGCAAAGCAAGGGGCACTTTGTGGGGAGCGGTAACGTGAGTACACATGGCGGGCTGGAGGTCCAGAGAAAATAGAAAGGGAGATGAATTGAAGCAGAGGGTCAGCCAGAGGCTGAGGAGAGGGTGCCTCTAAAGGGAAGGATCTGGCCTATGAGCAGTGCTAGCAGAATTCCATGGTGACTGGGCACCCAGGCATTGGGTAAACCAGTGCACCCTGTTCTGAATAAGAGGTGAGCCATTCAGGCCTCCAAAGGCACCCCCAGAAGGAAGCCAGAGGCCAGGAGTGCTCCAGGTCTCATTCTTCTTCCCCTCTGCTGTTAAGTGGATGGGGTAGGTGGGAGTTGGGCTGCTGATCCCAATTTCCCCTCTCCCTCGAAAGCCTGGACTCACCCACTCTCTCCAAATTCAATTGTCCTTGATGAGATCCACTCTCCCACACTGAGCTTCCCTACCCCCTCCCAAAAGGGGCCAGGGAGACTAAAACAGGTTCTCTCTGTTTTGCTCTATTGTTTTTCTTCTTTTCCCCCACCATGTTCCAGGACCCAGGACATGCTCTGCCTTGCTCTAAATCCTAAACTGGACAAGCTTAGGGTAGGAAGAGTCAGCGGCGACTGTGGCTTCCTACCCATTTTCTTATTTGCGTGAGCCTGGCCTTTCAACCTGTTGTGAGGAGGTAGGATGTCAGGACAGTGGGGGTGGGAGACTGAGTATTTTGACCTTGCGAGGCCTGCCCCTGTCTTTACCCATTCCCCGCCAGCCCTCAGTGCCCTTTGAAGGTTTATAGTCATATAAATCGCAGAGTCCCATGCCAGGCTTGGAATTTGCAACTATAAATAGGCAGGAGGTAAACAAGGTGGCAGATGCAGGGGCTTGGGACAAGACGGAAAATCTGCCCCTCTTTGCCTGGGCAGGGGCCAAGGCACATCCGTGGAAAGGGATATCTTCCCTCCCTTCTCACCTCTCCTCCCCTGCCTGCTGCCTGCTGGCTGCCTGTGCTCTGGGCTTCTAGTCTTTTCCCTCTAGGCATTTATCCTCCAAGGCAGCTTTCTGCTCCAACTCTCCCTGGCCACCTGCCCTGTTTCATCTTGCCCTGAGTCAAAACAGGGCGGAGGGATTGCCTCCATTAGGCTCTGTGCCCCTCGGCCTCCCTCCAGCTGCTTCACACTTTATCCCGTGCTCCTCTAGTGAAGTCTTAAGGAGGTGCCGCTTCTGCCAACCACCAGCCTCCACCACTAGGGGCGCCCTGATCCCCTCTCCATCCAGCCAAGGTGATGCTAACATTTCTCAAGCAGGAAACCGTATTAGGAAACTCTGGGGAAACAAAGCAAAGACCCTCACCTCCCACTCATTCCCTTCTAAAGCACAGAACGTGAGAGTGCACAGATTTTATGTTGCTTAGGCTGATGGACACCTGCCTGGCCACTTGGAGTTTCTACCCATGATCTCTGGGCTGTATGAGCCAGATTCTGAGCAAAGAGTCTGAGTTTGAAACAATTTAGGTAGCATGCTTTCTAGATCCATCCCTGCCTTCTCTCTGCCCCAGGGTCGGGCTGATTTTATGCTCTGTTTTGTCCTGGCCCTGGCAGGTTCCCAGCCACCAACAGTCCTCTGATGAATGTCAGGCCCCGCTGGCCCTGCAATTACCTCTGTTCATCCCTCTTGTAAGAATCTGGATCTTCAGCCCTGAAATTCCTTCTTTCATCCTAAACCTGGGCTCTCCAATCACACTCACCCATCGGTTTAGAATCACAGAAACTAGAACGGAAAGAAATCTTATTTTTTCTCATTTTACAGATGAGGAACCTGAAGCCCAGAGTGGTGAAGTGACTTTCACCTCAGTTACACAGCTCAGATTGGCTTTGTTGCTAAAGTTGGAAACACTCCTCTGCCAAGCTTGGCTTCTCCACCTAGACCTTAACTTCCCAGCTCCTGCTGGCTTCCTTGGCCCCCCAGAAGCAGAGTAGCCACCTTTCAAAGGTTCATTCTCCTTTGCACCCTACATCTACCTGGCCTCTACATGGGGAGAGAGAAAGGACAGATTCCAAATCTCAAGAAATGGTTGAATTATATGTGGCTCCGTTTTCCAGTACCTTCAACCCCCCATTTCCCTGAGTCCTCTCTGATGGCTTATCGGGCAGATGTTCCTGGAGGAATGACTTCCCAGAAGCCCATCTTCATAAAGCCTTGAGGAGCATCCTTCCTGCTGTGGGAAGCCACTTCCCTGGCTGCTCCTTTATTTTTCTAACGAATGTCAATTTCCTAAATTGGATGGCAAGGTGAGACCGAGTGCGGTTCCTTGAATGGTGTCACTTATTCCCTGGGTTTGCAATGCTCAAGGGAGCACATGTGCATGCACACACATGTATATGCATGCACTCATGTTCTCATCGCCATCCTGTTCAAGGGGTCTGTCTTTTTTTTTTTTTTTTTTGAGTCAGAGTCTTGCTCTGTTGCCCAGGATGGAGTGCAGTGACACGATCTTGGCTTACTGCAAGCTCCGCCTCCCAGGTTCACGCCATTCTCCTGCCTCAGCCTCCTGAGTAGCTGGGACTACAGGCACCTGCCCGTTAAATTTTTATATTTTTAGTAGAGACGGGGTTTCACCGTGTTAGCCAGGATGGTCTTGATCTCCTGACCTCGTGATCTGCCCATCTCGGCCTCCCAAAGTGCTGGGATTACAGGTGTGAGCCACCGTGCCCAGCCAAGGGGTCTGTCTTAATCTATTTCTGCAGCCATAACAAAATACCTGACACTGGGTAATTTATAAATAATAGAAATTCAGGCCAGGCATGGTGACTCATGCTTGTAATCCCAGTACTTTGGGAGGCCAAGGTGGGAGGATTGCTTGAGCCCAGGAATTTGAGGCCAGTCTGAGCAACATGGTGAAGCCCCATCTCTACAAAAAATACAAAAAAATTAGCTGGGTGTAGTAGCAGGTGCCTGTAGTCCCAGCTGCTTGGGAGGCTGAGGTGGAAGTATCGATTGAGGCCAGGAGGTGGAGGGTGCAGTGAATTGAGACTACGCCGCCGCACTCCAGCCTGGGTTACAGAGTGAGACTCTATAATAATAATAATAATAATAGTAATAATAGGAATTTGTTCTTCACAGTTCTGGAGGTGGAAAGTCCAAGATCAAGGGGCCAGGAGATTTGGTGTCGGGTAAAGGATATCTCTCTGCTTCATACGTGGCACCTCTTGCTGCATTCTCACACGGCAGAAGGGGGAAAAGTGGCAAACAACTCCCTCAAGCCCTTTTATAAGGGCACTAATATTGTTTGTGAGGGCACGACCTAAGCATCTCCTAAAGGCCCCACCTCTTAATGCTATTGCGTTGGGGATTCAGTTTCAACATGAATTTTGGAGGGAAACAAACACCACAGCAGGGTCTTAAGCTAGGAGCAAGACCAGAATCTCTGCATCCATGTTTCAAATGAGTCACAAGGAAAGGAAGACAAATACAGGAGTTGATCTGGGAGACAGATAGGACATGAGTTCCTGTGGTTCACTGAGGGCAAAGGGAAGGAGGTGGCACAGGTAACTAAGGTAAGTGGGAGTGTTCTGGCTCCCTGATGGGTGGAAAGGGGCTCCCTTTCCACTGGGCTGTCAGGATGAATGAAATCTGTAGGTGAGAGGGAAGATGCTGATGGCAGTCAGACAGGGAGAGTTCTGAGAGGGAGTCCAGTTACCGCAGAATACTCCCATCCTACAGCTGGACTGGAGTTCCCAGTGTGCCATCTGGGAGTGCCTGGGATGTGTGTGGGGCAGCTGGAGGGATGGCCATCATCTATCCAGCACCTGTCCTGCCCCCAAAGCGGATGATGTAACAGTATAACAATGTGGCAGAGGACAAGGGGGGTTTTGTAATGTTTCTCTGGGGGAGGAACAGTCCAGCTTTCAGCGATATGGCTGGGATAAGGCAGCTGTTGTCTGTGCTGTGAGCTCAGAAGAAGCCCCTATCCCTTCAGTGAGCAGTCTGAGCCTGGGTCCGCTCATCTTCATTCCAGTCCTTTAATCATGGGATGGCTCATGACTCTCCTTCCAAGGAACAGAAATGATTTGCGCTGCACCTGTCAGCCACATAGACTCTAATCAGAGATCAAACAGGGCACAGAAAAGACCCTGCCCAGGAATGAAATGTAGACCTTCCTATGGGGTAGGGGACATTCAGGCCCTGGAAGAATCTTTTTTTTTTTTTTTTCCTTTTGAGATGGAGTTTCGCTCCGTCTTGTGCCCAAGCTGGACTGCAATGGCACGATCTCAGCTCACTGCAACCTCTGCCTCCCAGGTTCAAGCGATTCTCCTGCCTCAACCTCCTGAGTAGCTGGGATTACAGGTGTGCACCACCATGCCTGGCTAATTTGTTGTATTTTTAGTAGAAATGGGGTTTCACCATGTAAGCCAGGCTCGTCTCGAACCCCTGATGTCAGGTGATCCACTCTCCTCGGCCTCCCAAAGTGCTGGGATTACAGGCGTAAGCCACCATGCCCGGCCAAAAGAATCTTTATCCTAGGTCCCCAGGCATTGCCTCCTCCCGCTCCACACCCACATCCCATCTCCCTGGTCTTCTGATGCCCCTCATTTGCCCAAGTGCCTTCAATTTAGGCCTCCCGCAAAGGTCCTCTTCCCACCTTCTACCTGGTCTCTCTGGAGGGCCTCACCTTGGTCTTCAATGATCCTTCATCTTGGCCCTCCAGAGAATCTCACCAGGATTCCTTGCAAACACTTTGGATGTGATCTTGCCTATAGATTCATTGTCCACCATTGTCCAAGTTCCCTAGATGCTTTGCTAACCAGGCTCAGAGAGCAGACTGGAGAGTTAGGTCCTTTATCGCCCCAATCCGACCACTTTCCCTCCTGCCTCTTCATTCAAGCTCCCCAGCTGGTCATGCCCTAGAAAAGCAATCTCAGCATCTGCTTTCTCACTCTCCCTTTCCTTATCCATAACCAGAAACCCTAGATGGGAGGCTGAGACAAGAAGATCGCTTGGGACCAGGAGTTCAAGTCCAGCCTGGGCAACATAGTGAGACCCTCATCTCTGAAAAAAAAAAAAAAAAAAAAAAAAAAGGAAACCCCCAGTGTCATTCTCCAAACTATTAGACTGTTCTTGAAGGCAGCAGCCATAACTTACTCACTCCTGTGCCTCAAACTCAATACTTCAAAAGTTAAAGGTTCAATAGATATTTATTGAAAGAATCAGTCCTCGGCCGGGCACTGTGACTCATACCTGTAATCCCAGCACTTTGGGAGGCTGAAGCGGGCGGATCACCTGAGGTTGGGCGTTCCAGACCAGCCTGATCAACATGGAGAAACCCCGTCTCTACTAAAAATACAAAATTAACCAAGTGTGGTGGCACATGCCTGTAATCCCAGCTACTCGGGAGGCTGAGGCAGGAGAATCACTTGAACCCGGGAGGCGGAGGTTGCAGTGAGCTGACACCATGCCATTGCACTCCAGCCTGAACAACAAGAGCGAAACTCTGTCTCAAAAAATAAAAAAGAAAAAAGAAAAGAAAAGAAAAAGAAAAAAAAGAAAGAAAAAGAATCAGTCCTCAAACTTCTCCAGTATATTTCCTTCTTTTCTCAGTATACTGTCCTGTCAAGTTCTCAACAACTACACTCTTTTATTCCCAAGGCAGCTTTTGAGGAGCTGTTCAGAAGCATTAACCTCTTTCAGTCCCAGATCATGAGGGGGAATGCGCTGATATCCAGGTCTGGGACCGGGAGCTGAGCACATGGCCCGCCTGCCTCGCCTGAGCCTGGAGGCCCCAGGCGGGATTGTCTGTCCTCACTCATCCTTGCCGCCAAGGCCTCCTCGCCTGTATTTATATACACTAAAGCCTCTGCTCGAATAAAACATCCATGTAAAATCCAATTTCCTCAGAATCTCTTTTGGAGCCTGGGCCTGAGATGGAGTAGGTAACCCCGGCGGTAACTGCCTGAACCACTCCTGCCGGCTGCAAAGGTGAGGCCCATTTTTCAATTATCTATCTGCTGTGACAGCAGCGGTCCAGCCACCGAGCCAAGGCAGGGGGAGGGGAGAGGCAGAGCTGGGGAGGAGGGACAAAGAGGGCAAGGGCACGGTGGGGGAGAGGGGGAGGGAGAAACCTAGGGAGAGGAGGCACAGGGAGAGACCCTTGCGCCTGGCACCCAGTAGGTGCTCAAGAATTATTTGGAAAATGAGTGATCAAAGAGTGTATAGGGAGGGTGGGGGTGAGATCTCCTCCTCGGAGAGGGGGAGAGCTGGAGAGACACAGGGTGGGTGGAGACAGAGAGAGGGCGGGAGAGGTAGGGGGAGGGGAGGCGAGCGTGGATGGAGCCAACAAGAGGCTCCTGTGTCAATCCGTGGAAACGGGAGGCAGAGTGATGCGGTCACAGCTCCTGCCATCAATATCCTCTAATATAAATGTCAGTGATGCTATTTTCCGCGCAGTCATTTCGCACACTGCTGATTACATTAACGTATAATGGAGGGGCGCCGGCTCCACTGCTTTCTCCCCTAACCCTCCCCCCGGTGATGTGTCAATAGCCGCCTCCATGAACAAGTCAATTTTCTGCAGGCTTGGCAGCGGAATAAATCTGCCCGGCTATGGGGAGAGCTGGAGATATTTATATACCCGGCGCCTGCCTTCCGTGTGCGCGCGTGCGTGTGCGCGGCGGGCGCGGGCGCGGCCGCGGGCCGGAGCGGGGGTAGGGGGTGGTTCTGGGGCGCGCCGCCGAGCTGAATGATTTCCAGCCCCTACTCAATAAGAGGAGAATTTAGAGCGGTCCCTGAGCTGGGCTCCCAGAAACAGCCTTACACGTTTATTTTCCTTAGCTGAACAGGAAAGAGGAGAATTATATGTGGATTTATAGGACAGGCGCAGCTCAACCCAAATGCTCCCGCTCCAGGGGGCGGGGACGAGGGGGAGGGAGGTGGCAGGCCGGGCGCCGGCCGCTGGGACCCTCGCTCGTGCCTGCGTTGGTGGGGGCACACCCCCCTCGCCGGTCGCTTTAATTACATTTGTTCTCGTCCTTCGTGAGGGCGAGACTTCGGCGCGGCCCGCGTGGGGGGCGGGAGGAGGCGCAGGCCAGGACTGCCTGGAGGGGGGCGCGGGGAATGGGAACGTGGGGAGCCCGGGAGGGGGTGCTGTCAGCTTTTGCTCAGAAGCGGATCAATAGTACGAGATCTAATGGGCTAACTGCCAAGCGGGTGCACCGAGGCGCTGCCCCGCGGGGGCGGGAGGCGGTGGGCGAAGGACGAGAGAAAGGAATGGGGGTGGGAGAGGGAGTGAGGACGGGGAGGGGGGAAGGGCAGGAAGAGTGGAAGAGGTGGGGGGAGGAGGAAGAGAGAAAATAAAGAAGGGGAGAGAAGGCGAGCGGGAGCGGGAGGGCAGGGACAGGACAGGACAGTCTTCGTAGGGGCGTTTCTTCACAAGGGGGATCCTTTCCTGGAGCTGCCAGACGCCGCAGTCGCCAGCCGCCGGGCCTCAACTCTGTCATTGAGCCGCCAGGGGGCGGCGCGACCCTGTGCTCTCCCCGCGGATCTCAGGGTCTCCTCGCTGGGGCGCGAGTGACCGGTCGCCGCCGATGATTGGTCCCTGCCCGGCGCCCTCTGCCCTCTCCCGGAGGCCTCCCGCGTGGCAGGGTGGGCGTACGGCGACTCCCCCCAACTCCTGCCCCAAAGGAAGGAACCTTCTGGCTTTCCTGGTGTTGGCCCTGGCGCCCTGGGACCCTAGAGCCCCGGGGAAGCGCCCAAAGGCTAGGTCACCGGCCCAGGGCTGGCCACTGTCCCCGGAAGACCCCCAAGGCCGCGGCCGACGCGGCATGGAGGCGCTGGGAGATCTGGGCCTTCGCAGCCCGGCTAGGGAGCGTGGACGAGTCTCCGGGACATCCTGCGCGAAGGGTCCTTCTGTGCGTGCTGCGCGGGCGCTAACGAGGCCAGCCAGAGTCACCAGGGATGAAGGCTATAGGGCCCGGTTTTAACTCATTCGGTTCCTGGCCATTGACTGTCCTTTTTTCAGTTCTGGGGCCTCATCCCTTCCCAAACTGAGAAAATAAAATACAGCCCAACACCCTCAATGGCAAGTTTAGCCACCCTGGAGAGGGGAGCCTGGTGGTGACGGCTCAGTGTTCTCGACCTGGCAGGATAGCAGAATTACTTGAGGGAGATTTTTAACATAAGCGTGTTTACCCGCACGCATGCATTGTAAGAAGCTTGTATGTAGAGGCAGGGCTTCCTGGAAGCATGCCCGGTGTCAGAGCTCCCCCAGATAACGCTGATACAGAGTCCCACATGAGCATTACCTGAAGAAACTGCCTGGAGGTGCGGCACTGGGAATGGGAACATGGGGAGACCAGGAGTGGGGCACTGTCAGCTTTGGCTCCAAGCAGATCAATAATAGTACAAGATATAATGGGCTACCTGCCAAGTGGGTACACTGAAAAATGTCACATATTTTTTCATGTTGGATGTGGTAGCTCGGCCTGGGCTATTTGCCCTCATGGATGTGTCTGTGTGTCGCTGCATGTGTATGTTGCTGGGTACCTGCACCACTGGGTAAGCATTGCTTTATGCATCTTTTTATGTATCCTCTGTGTGCGGATGTCACTGGGTATGCATCATCCCGTGTATCACTGGTGTTATCATCAGCGTTTACTGAGAGCACCTATTGTGTGTGTGTTGTCGTACATGCCTGTCCTGATGAGAGTGAGTGCGGATCCTGGGGTGTGTTTGTGTTGTATCGAGCACATCTCTGTGGGCTCCATTGTGGGGCACAGCCATTGTCTCCATGTCATTGAGAGTGTGTGCTGGCAAGAGCTCGTGACACAAATGGAACGAAGCTGATCTGCCCTAGAAGCAAAGGAGGCAATGACCTTCTTTTTCCAATTATATCCTGGTCAGAGGTGAGCGACCTCTCTCCACCGAGGCCACTTCTTGTCATGCAAACTGAGCAGAAGGATGGAGATTAGAGGAATGTGACCGAGTCACGTGTGAAAACAATCAGCTATCAATGGGCCCCGATCAATGCCCCAGATTATAGATGAGCCCAGGGCAAGCAGTCACTTTGGAGTTTTTCCTGAGGAGGCAAAAATACACAGCACACAGCCATACACGTCACACGTCCCGAGAGACCCACAGCCTGGGGACAGGTAGGAAGTGGGTTGGGGAGAGCTGGGCAAGTGAATGGCCACCCACTTTGAAGTGGTCGGCAACTATTATTATTAGTAGGTGGTTATGTTGTTTTTGTTAAAGATGCAACCTTTATTCCGCTGGTAGCGGGAAGTGTAAAAGCTTGTGTTTGGTGTTTTCTATTTTAAGTCCAGAGAGTTAGGTCTCTTAAGTGGGTCACAGGAGACAGTGTGGGGATTTGGAGGAAACTTATATCAGGAACGGGAGCAATAGAGGGCTTGTATTGAGAGAGTGGCAAAGGAAAGTCTTTGGTCAGCTGTGGGCAGGGGGCAGGTGTGAAGCAGAGTGGCTCCTGGGGCCAGGGCACATGTCCTTAGGACAACTTGAAACCAGGCTGTGGGGTGAGAGGGCTGAGCTTCTGAAAGGCAGGGCCAGCCCTAACCACAAATATGCTCCACGATAGCAGGAGAGTGCCGGGCTTGGGGAGTAGTGGCCTCTGAAGGGCATGACCATGAGGGCCCTCATGAAGTGTGACTAGTCTTTGGAGACAGGTGGTGCAGGCCCTTGAGGGGCTATAAGGATGAGCTGAGGGGGCCAGGACTGGGTCAGAACCTATAGGGTCAAGGGAGACCAATGAGAAGATGGAAGAGTTCTGGAAAGGCTAGAGGACCTCATCAGACCTGGCTCTGGATTCAGCTAAGCCTGCTTGTGGCCAGCAGTCAGTGTGGCTGAGTCTAGCACCCATGCTAGCCATGGCTGAGGCAAGGGGAAGGATCATGTCCTCTGTGCCCACTGGGGTGTGTCAGGCAGTCCTTGGAGGCCTTTAGTTGTCTTGGAATCCCTTTGGTGCACATTTATGGTTGTCCCACTTTGCCTCACCCTGTGGGAATGCCATGATGGGCAAGAAAGCCCTTAGAGAGCCTACAGTCTAATGTGGAATAAAGAACTTAAATAAAGACTTAAATTTTTTTTTTTTTTTTTTTTGCTTTGGAAAAAGTAGTGTTGCATAAGCATATACCGCCTGGATCAAAATCCCAGCTGTGCCATTCACCAGCTAAAGTTTGTGAATTCTCAGGCCCTCCTTTCCTCCGTCTGTAGGATAGGGGTACCTATCTCTTAGGATTGTTGTGCAAATCTTAGGAAAAGTCCTTAGAACAGGGCCTGGCCATGGTAACATAAGTGTTGGCTCTCCTAGTCTTTCCTTCAGTTTTGTAGTACAGAGCCTTTGGAAAAGTCTCCCTCTTGGTGTTAGCAGAATTAAGGTAAACAAGGACTTATTCACACCTTGGACAAGATAAGGGGGTGGTTAGAAGACCCTGAGAGGTTGGAGTGTGGTGTGGAGTAGAGGCAGGGAAGGGGCCAGCTTGGGGGTGTGGGAATCCTGGTGTGGGACCGATGGAGCAGTGAGATAGGTTCTTTCTAGGTAGAGCTGAGGGGGCGTACGACAGAAAGGCCCTCTGCAGAGCCCAGCACACTTAGGACAGTTCAGTGCTGCTAGCTCTGCCCCCTCTCCCTGGAGGGACAGCCTCTGCTGGAGCTGCTAGCCCATAGATGTCCAGGGGGGCTGCACGGGAAGATGTCCACCACTACAGGATAATCTCCCTGGAGGGACACCCCCTGCTGGAGCTGCTAGCCCATAGATGTCCGGGGAGGCTGCATGGGTAGGTGCCCACCACTACAGGATAATCAGCACCTCCGCTCTCCTGAGATGGGCCTCTCTAAGCTTCCCTCTCCCACCACTTGACCTCAGGACAGTAGCCCCCTCTGCTGGCCTCCACAGAGCTAGACTGGGCTTGCCTTGACCCATGTCCTTTCTTTCCAGCTGGCTCGCTGGCTCTGATATGAGCCAACTTCATGCTGTGGCAGGACTGAAAGCCTCTAGGGGTCTTAGCCCTTGACTATGGACTTCTGGGGACCTCACTGTCCCCGGTTTGTTTATTCAAATCCCATTGCACCAAATGACTGAGCAGCTGCCAGAAGCTGCCGCTTCTTTATGGGACTGGGTGGGAGGGATGAAATGGGGAAACCTTGGTTACTGTCCAGGGAACAAAGGGTTAAGGCAGGTGAAGGGTGCTGGCATGGGAGTGGGTCACCCCCTCCCCTTCCAGTGATTATTCTCCTCTCCAGGTGTTTTTGTGGCTTTTTTCCCCTCCCTTGGGGTGGGAGTGGGGGCTGCTGGGTCCACTTCGGGCTTAGTTATTGTTTTAATTTTGGTGCTGGCTCCCTGGTGCCTGGAGTGGATAATGAAAGAGGAAAAGAGAGGTCAGGGTGGTGCCCAGGCAGCAGATTTCTGCCCGTCAGCCTGGGCTAGGGCGGGTGGGGAAGTGGCGGGCGGGGGAGTGTTAAGTTAATATCAATAAAGCAACTGGAGTCTCAGAAGTGAGGAGCTGCAGAGCCAAGCACAATGTCTTCATGCTAAGGGAGCCTGAAGGGGCACTTTTCCTGTCCACGATGAATTCTTAAAATGGGGCTGGACAGGGGGCAGGAGTCCAGTGAGCGCACAGGCTGGGTGGGCGCAGCTCAGTGGCAAAGGAGTGACAATGAAACCAGGGAGGAGCTGAGCAGAGAATAAGTCTCGGCTCGGTCTCACGCTCAGGCCGCTTGTCAGCTTTTCCTTCTGCATTGCCCTGTATCTGTTCAACCCCACACAGGGCGGATTTGAGGGGGCCATGCTGTGGGGTTACTGGAGATGGTGATAGATAGAAAAAGGAGGCAGGAAAGTATAGGGGTTGAGATGACAAGCTTTGCTGTCAGACAGACTTGGGTTCCTGGCCAAGTTCTGCTTATTGGCTGTGTGACCTTGGGCAAGTTACTGAACCTTTCTGGGCCTCAGATTCCTGTTCTGTAAGATGACACTAATAGTGATGCCAGCTTCGCAGGGTCATTAACATTGTACTCACCGCAGGGTCATTAACATTGTACTCGCCGGGTGCGGAGGCTCATGCCTGTAATCCCAGCACTTTGGGAGGCCAAGGCAGGTGGATCACCTGAGGTTGGGAGTTCAAGACCAGCCTGACCAACATGGAGAGACCCCTTCTCTACTAAAAATACAAAATTAGCCAGGTGTGGTGGCACATGCCTGTAATCCCAGCTACTAGGGAGGCTGAAGCAGGAGAATCGCTTGAACCCGGGAGGCGGAGGTTGCAGTGAGCCAAGATCGCACCATTGCACTCCAGCTTGGGCAACAAGAGCAAAACTCCGTCTCAAAAAAACAAAACAAAAAAACAAACAAACAAGAAAACATTGTACTAAGTGAATTCAGCACAGCGCTTGGCATGCAGTGAGCACTCAATACATGCTAGCTACCCTGTGAAGCCTGTTTCCTCAGCTGTAAAATGGGGATATCCGTTGTAACTTCCCCATAGGGGTCTTATGGGGAGCAAATTAGATAAAGCCTGTAAAGTGCTTAGCACAATTCCTAGTACATAAATAAGCCCTCAATACATGTTAGCTGTCGTTATTATATTATTTTTATCTTTATTATTCCCTGCTGTCTTGGAACTGGTGATTTAGTTGAGGAGACTGAGGCCAGGCCACTCCCTTGGCCATCTGAGGTATTTGGCTTATATCAAAAGGGCTTTCTGAAGCCCAACCCAACTTGGAGAATACTTCTAGTATTTCTTTCATAATCCTGTGGACAGACAGAAAGTCCCCAGGAGCTGAGATGACTGCTGGATGTGCAGGAGAAAGAGACCCACTTGCGTGACCACATTTGGCCCCAGGCGAAGCGTGCCCGCAACATGGCTGTCCATGGGCAGGCCAAGGGCCTCACTCTGGCCCCCACCCCAAAGTTGAAGACCGTGGGCTGGATGAGGACGCTCACCTGTTTTCCTGTGGGGAGGCTCAGTGGGCATGTCAGAGAGAATGTGGGTCTCAGAAAACCCCCACCCTTATCCCATTCCTTCTCCTCCAATTCCTTTTCTTCTCTCCAGTCTGGGGGTGGGGGTGGGGGCTGAGCAGATAGGAAAAAGAGGGTAGTTAATGCTTCCCACTTGACCTTTCTTTCCCCCACCCCCCACCCCCACCCCCAGCGGGCGGGCAGGCTGAGGAGATGAATGGGGTAGAGGGCACGATTTTCACATTAATGGCAGCATATGTTGTGTTTATTGACACTGCAGCGTCGGTGCTTGTGGTGGTTGTGGTAGGGGGGTGCCTAGGAGGCCACAGGCAGGAGGGGGCAAGGGAAAGAGGAGGCAGAGGGGAAGGTTGCCGGCGGGCGGGGAGGGGGAGAGGGAAGGGAGCCTGGGGCCTGGGGGGAGGGAGGCAGGAACAATATTGTTGCAGGAGCACACCAGGTGCTCGCTGTCAGCCCGAACAAAAAGGAAGAGTCAGCAACTCTTGAGGGGGGTGGTGAAGAGGCGGGAGCCACCGCCTGCTCCAGCCTCGCAGCTCCAGCCTTGCAGCCTCTCCCTGTTAACCCCTGCTCTGCCATGCAGCTGAAGAGGGGAGCGACATCTGGGGCTCTCCCCGAGGCCAGGAGCTCCCCCCACTGAGCCCAGGAGCTCCCCCCACTGAGCCCAGGAGCTCCCCACAGTCCTGGTCTCCTCAGAACCATCACTTGCCTTTAGTCACCTGGAAGATGCGGCCGTCTCTGGAGTGGGCAGTGGCAGGAATTGCCTTTGCCTTCCCCAAAGCCGAAGGAAAAGAAGCCCCTCTCTCTGGTCCACCCTTTCCATAACAGTTGGGCCTATGTGGTCCTTGAGGAGTTGGCAAACCAGAGTGGCAGGGCCAATGACCTTGGGCTTCTGAAGGCAGCTGTGGGTGGAGGGATGTGAAGAGGGGATGAAAATGGAGGATGGGTTCTCTGCTGGAGGTGGTCTGTACAGACCCCCACAGCTCCTCTCTCTCTGACCTGGCTACAGACTCCTTGCTTCCTGGATGTCTTCCCAGAGTCCTCTTGCCTGGGGCATGGGGAGGAGGAGGAGTTGGCCACATGGTCTGTTCTGTAGACATGTCTCTCAGTTGACTAAGAAGACTGGGCTCGCTGAGTTAGCCTGGAAAGCGCTGGAGGCCCATCCTAAAATATTCAGGTGTGGGGAGGATAGATGGCAAATGAGTTGCCCACCCCAGAACCCCATTCTGGGGGTCTGGGAGGGCCTCCTGGGTTCCTGGCCGGGGAGCAGAGCTGCAGGTGATGTCTACAGCTGTCACCGTACCCTTCCCTGCCTCCCTTCCTCTTCCTGCAAAGCCCTGCATGGAAGCAAGGTACTTAGGACTGCTTGGATGAGCTTCTCCAATTCGCTTTTCTTGTAGCTCCTCTAGGGCTGAGAGGTTACTATGTAGGGGAGGATGGGTGGGAGAGTCCTCCCAGGAGGGGTGACTGGTCTCCTTTCAATCCAAAGAGTCAAGAGGCTTCTACCTCCAACCCTGAAGGCTGGTCTTCTCGTCTGTGATCTGACATTCTGGAGCCGTCAACTCTTGTGTTGGCTATTCTACAGTACATGTCTTGGTCACGCTAGACGCTGGACGAGGGTGCTAGTTCCCCACCCTTGCACAGCGGGCGGGGCCCATAGAGGGGAAGGGTGTCCTTTCCGTATACCCGCCTCCCGCCCCAACTCTGTCTGGCCACCTGAGTTTAGGCGCAGAGGCCTCCGTGGATCTCCTTACCCCGGGCTGGAGGCGAGGCAGGCACGCTGGCCTGGAACCCTCCTCGACACCCTCATCCTGCAGACAGTCAGGGCCAACTCGCGGTACTTCGACCCGCGGCGCAGTGCGAAACCCCGGGGCAGACCCAGCCGCGCAGTGCCCCTCGCCGCTCGCCTCCCGGCTCCTCCCCGGGGTCCGGCCCCGGTTCGCACCCCCCTTCCGCGGCCCTCTCGCCGGGCTCCAGCTGCGCGCGGAGCGGTCCCCGGCTCGGCTCCAGCTCCTCAATGGCCCTGCTCCCCCATTACCCTGATGTCGGCCCTTCTCCCCCTCGGCTTTATCGGCTCTCAGCCGGCTCCGCCAGGGTAATGAGGGCCCTCCTAATTACCATTGCAGAAACTCCACTTACATTAACAGCTCCATCCGAGGAGCGGCAACATCTGCTGTGCGCAGGCAGGCGCCCCTCCCCCGCCCCTCGCTCCCCGCTCCCCTCTTTCCCGGTCCTTTCCCCCGACCTTCCTTTCCATCCTCTCTGGCCCTTCTCTCCCATCCTCCCCTTCTAATCTCTTCCCTTTTCATGCCCTCCCTACCACCGTGGCAGCCAGGTCCTTTTCCACTTCAGCATCCCAGGATGAGAGAGATCCACATGGGGACAGGGCCCCAGAGATACTGAGAGGAGGAGACACTCAGAGGGGCTGGGCCAGAACTCCAAGAGACCCATAATACTCAGGATCCCAGAAACACAGCCAGACAACCCAGGAACAAATAGAAAGTGGTAGCAGCAGAGACTGGGAAGGAGATGGGCTGTGGAATGGGGCAAACTGCCTGTGTGTGTGTGTGTGTGTGTGTGTGTGTGTGTGTGTGTGTGTGTGGTGGTGGGGGCTCTGACGTCTATCGATGTGCAAAGGTATGCGTAGCGTGCATATGTGTGTATGCACTTGTATCATGGACTTTGCATGCTCATTTATTTAAGCATCATGCATACGTGTGCATGTCAGTGTATCTTTACTTGCATATGTATCTTGTGTACATATGCGAATACATCTATTATGCATTTGCATCATGGGTGCAATAATATATATTTATCGATATGTATCTGTGTGTTTGCATTTTGCAAATCTGTATCTGTGTATATGCATATACTTGTCTTTCATATATGTAATTTTGTAGGTGTATCATTCAAGTGTGACTTGTGTACATGTATGACCCAGGTTCAACGTTATGTGTGCACCACGTGTGGATGCATATGTGCCTCTGGGTGTGTTTGCATCTCTGTATGCATGCCTATGCATGTGTGTATCATCTGTGTAATTATTTGATGAGAGAGGGAGCATGTGTGTGTTCCTGCTCCATGGGGGATGACAGGCAGTTGGGAAGACGCTGAGCCCATTTTATCTGAGGTTAACAGGGGTCACATTTCACTCCTGGAAGTCCCCCACCCTCCTCCCCACTGCATACAATTAAGCCTCAGTGTGGTGGAAAGACAGCCAGTAGACATTAAGAAAGGTCAACAGTATTATCGGCTCCTAATCCAATTAGTTACTGTTTATTTGGGAATCCAGCTCCAGGTCAGCTTCTAGGGAGGAGGCCTGGGAGAAAGGAGGGCATTTGATGGGATGAACTGAAAGAAACTAAGATGGCCAGGGCTGTGGATGGCGGGAGCTGTCCCCAAAGCATCGCCAGTTAATGCACCTCCCACTGGCTATTTTGAAGCTGGGTAGGGGTGGGGATGGGCCTGTGCTTCACAGGAGGGGCTGAGACCTGGGGTTTCATCTCTAGAGATTGGAGTATAAAGGAAGGGGAGTTCTCTCCCTCACCTTGAGAGACTTCCTGCCTCTTTCCACCCTAGCAGGTGGACTGAGAGCTGGGCAGCCTGCTTTGGGGGTGTGGGCAGGTTCCCTTGGGATGGGAGAGTCAGAGGAGGAGATGTTGGGAAATGCACTATTAGTTTTTGAAGCCACTTCATTAATCCTGCCCTCTATTTTATTTCCCTTTTTCTCTTCCCACATCCTTTTCTGAGCCCTAGCCCTCTACTCACTCCCACCTCCATGCCAGGACATGCAGGGACCCTAGCTTAGTCCCATAGAGTCCCCCTTACTGAGTATAAAGAGTGGAAGAGACCTAGAACTTGGCCTTGTGGCCTTGGATAGAGAGTGGCCCAGGAACTGAGGTCTCTGGGCAGAGGGGAATTGGTGGGTTGGTCTTTGCCATGCTCTAACCTCTCAGAGATGGACAGTACCCTGGGATACCCAGGTTATGGGGGAAAGTACTAACAGGAGGAAGAGAGTTGGCTGATGGACTCTCAGGCCAGATCCCAGGGGGCTCTTCATGAGCTCAGCAGTTACGGGTCTGCAGGAACTGACCATCCCCACAAGCAGACCATCCCTACATGCAAATCAGAGTGACAGGATTAGCCATGCTCCTCATGGAGCTCAGTGGGGCCACTTTCGCTTGTTTCTTATGGTTAAGTGCATAGGCCTGAGCCCCTAGGAATCAGACTGCTTGTTCTTCCTGGTTCCAGTAGCTTCCTCTCAAGACAGAAACCCCTCATAATCTGCTTTCTTCTCATTGCCTTTTCCAAGCACATATTCATGAAAACACATACACACACACTTATGAACCTGCCTCTGAAACCCCAGGCCAGAGATGACCAGGGAGCGAAGACAGTGACAGTGGTCCTTATTTAAGGACTTACAATGGATCTAGGTGTTTATAGACTTCTCTAAAGGGTGTTTCCCCACTTTCATCCTCCAAAAGATAACTACAGTGATGATCATACTGAAACAATAATGATGATCATACACATTTTTACCCCAGCTGTTCTCACCATTAGCTGAGCATTGAAATCACCCAGAGAAGCTTTTTAAAAATGTACATACCCAGGCCCCACCCTAGATCATGCCAATCTGGATCTTCAGGGCTGGGTCCCTGGAATCCATATATTTTAGAAAGTTCCACAGATGGTGGCTATGGTTAAATAATTCTATCAATTTACAAATTAAAATTTACAAACGGTAAAGCACTGCCTCTCATTCTCTCATTAGCCAGGGCAATATTATTATCTCCATTTTACACAAGAGGAAACTGAGGCCCAATTGATTAATAGCGGCGTTTTGGCTGGGTGCAGTGGCTCACGCCTGTAATCCCAGCACTCTGGGAGGCCGACGTGGGCAGGTCACCTGAACTCAAGAGTTCAAGGCCAGCGTGGCTAACATGGCGAAAACCCAACTCTACTAAAAATACAAAAATTAGCCGGGTATGGTGGCGGGTGGCTGTAATCCCAGCTACTCAGGAGGCTAAGGCAAGAGAATGGCTTGAACCTGGGAGGTGGAGGTTGCAGTGAGCTGAGATTGAGCTACTGCACTCCAGCCTGGGCGACAGAGCAAGACTCCATCTCAAAACAAACAAACAGACAAACAAACAGTGGTGTTTCCTTCCTTCCTTCCTTCCTTCTTTCCTTCCTTCCTTCTTTCCTTCCTTCCTTCCCTCCTTTCTTTCCTTCTTTCGTCTCTTCCCTCCTTCTTTCCTTCCTTCTTTCCAAAAACAAGATCTCCTGATTGCAACTAAATCTAGTCAGTGACTGGAATTTATTTACTTATTTATTTTAAAATCTATTTATTATAATTCAGCGCTCTACATATTCAGAGAAACTTATCTAGTAATGAACTAAAGAAATGATCCCTGAAAGTACAGTCTTAGTCGCTGGAATTTAGAGCACCTGGATGGGCCTGCCCTGATGCAAGAGCACAGCCTCTTCATGGACACCAATTCATTTAATATAACAAGCCTTCTTAAGCTCTTACTTAAGCACTGTGGAGCATCTCAGAGGAGAAAGACAAGGCTCTTGCTCCCTACTGTGTGGCAGGCAAGGGGCAAACAGGCTTTTGTTGTCAGAGGATTCTGCATTGGTGTTCTGGTTCTATGACTTACATCCATGTCACCTTGTTCAACTATTAGTCACCCAGAGCCTCGCTTGTAAAATGGAGATAAAAATATCTACTTTCTAGAGTTGTTAATATTAAAGGCAATGGATGCTAAATTTCTAGTGCCAATAGGTGGTAAATATTATTAATATTAATATTATTTTAAAATATAAATAAATCATGATCACATCTGCTGAAATGGTTAAAATTAAAAAGGCTAGGTGGGGGCTGGGCATAGTGGCTCATACCTGTAATCCCAGCACTTTGGGAGGCCAAGGCAGGCAGATCACCTGAGGTCAGGAGTTTGAGACCAGCCTGACCAACATGGAGAAACCCCATCTCTACTAAAAATACAAAATTAGCCGGGCGTGGTGGTGCATGCCTGTAATCCCTGCTACTCCGGAGGCTAAGGCAGGAGAATCGCTTGAACCTGGGAGGCAGAGGTTGTGGTGAGCCGAGATCACACCATTGCACTCCAGCCTGGACAATAAGAGTGAAACTTCATCTCAAAAAAAAAAAAAAAACAGGGGGCTGGATGGGACATGGTGGCTCATGCCTGTAATCCCAGCATTTTGGGAGGCCAAGGAGGGTGGATCACTTGAGGCCAAGCCTTCAAGACCAGCCTGGCCAACATGGCCAAACCCCATCTCACTAAAAAATACAAAAATTAACTGGGTGTGGTGGCGCATGTCTGTAATCCCAGCTACTTGGGAGGCTTAGGCAGGAGAATTGCTTGAACTCAGAAGGCGGAGGTTGTAGTGAGCCAAGATTGTGCCACTGCACTCCAGCAGCCTGGGCGACAGAGCAAGACTCTCTCTCAGAATAAATAAATAAATAAAAATAAATAATAAAAAGACTGGCTGGGCATGGTAGCTCATGCCTGTAATCCCAGCACTTTGGGAGGCCAAAGTGGGATCATCTGAGGTCAGGAGTTTGAGAGCAGCCTGGCCAACATGGCGAAACCCCATCTCTACTAAAAATACAAAAGTTAGCCGGGTGTGGTAGCATATGCCTGTGATCCCAGCTACTCGGGAGGCTGAGGCACAAGAATCACTTGAACCTGGGAGGCGGAGGTTTCAGTAAGCCAAGATTGTGCCACTGCACTCCAGCCTGGGTGACACAGTGAGAATCTATCTCAAAAAATAAATAAATAATAAAAAGACTGAAAATATTGGAGCAACTATAACTCACATACATTGCTGGTAGTGTAAGTTGGTAGCATCTCTGGAAAACTCTTTGGAAGTAACCACTAAAGCTAACATATGTGTATTCTACAACTCAGCAAATCTACTCCTGCATATATATGCTCATGAGAATGAATACTTATGTTCAGCAAAAGTCAAGTACAAAAATGGTCACAGCAGCTGATTTTGTACTAACCCCAAATTGGGACAACCCAAATGTCTATCAATAATAGAATGGGTAAGTACATTTTGGTATATTTCCACAGTGGAATTCTACAAAGCAAGGAAAGACAACGGACTATTGGAAAATGCAATAATGTAGGTAAATCTCAGAGATACAATGTTACATGAAATAAGTTGGACACAAAAGAGTGTATATTGTATGCTTCATTTATCTAAGTTTCAATAACAAGGCCCTATATGGTAGCTCACACCTGTAATCCCAGCACTTTGGGAGGCTGAGGCAGGCAGATTGCTTGAGCCCTGGAGTTTGATACCAGCCTGGACAACATGGTGAAACCTCATCTCTACAAAAAAAATAAAACACAGAAAAATTAGCTGGGCATGGTGGTATACACCTGTAGTCCCAGCTACTTGGGGAGGCAGAGGTGGGAGGATCACTTGAGCCCAGGAGGTCAAGGCTGCAATGAGCTGCGATTATACCACTGCACTCCAGCCTGGGCAACAGAATGAGACCTTGTCTCAAAAAAAAAAAAGCTTCAATAACAAGGAAAAAATATATATATTTTTCAAGACAGAGTCTTACTCTATTGCCCAGACTGGAGTGCAGTGGCATGATCTTGGCTCACTGCAACCTCTGCCTCCTGGGTTCAAGTAATTCTCATGCCCCAGCCTCCTAAGTAGTTGGGATTACAGGCCTGTGCCACCACGCCTGGCTAATTTTTGTATACTTTGTAGGGATGGGGTTTTGCCATGTTACCCAGGCTGGTATCCAACTTCTGAGCTCAAGCGATCCGCCTGCCTCAGCAACCCAAAGTGCTGGAATTACAGGCGTGAGCCACTGTGCCTGGCCCAATAACAAGGAAAATTAATCTATGATGATATAAATTAGAATAGGAGGTACTGGAGGCGGGGCGTGGTGGCTCACGCCTGTAATCCTAGCACTTTGGGAGGACGAGGTGGGCAGATCACTAGGTCAGGAGATCGAGACCATCCTGGCTAACACAGTGAAACCCCGTCTCCACTAAAAATACAAACAAAAATTAGCCTGGAGTGGTGGCGGCGCTTGTAGTCCTAGCTACTTGGGAGGCTAAGGCAGGAGAATGGTGTGAACCCGAGAGGCAGAGCTTGCAGTGAGCCGAGGTCACACCGCTGCACTCCAGCCTGGGCGATAGAGTGAGACTCTGTCTCAAAAAAAAAAAAAAAAAAAAAAAAAAAAATAGGAGGTACTGGATTTTCCAATGAAGGATTTATTAAGGCATAAAAACTTATTTTAGCAATTGCTCATGCCTGTAATCTCAGCATTTTGGGAGACCAAGGTGAGTGGATTGCTTGAGCCTAGGAGTTCAAGACTAGCCTGGGCAACATGGTGGAACTCTGTGACTACATGTGGCATGCGCCTGTAGTCGTAACTAATGGGGAGGTTGAGGTGGGAGGATGAGCTGACCAGGGAGGTCGAGGCTATGGTGAGCTGTGATTGCGCCACTGCACTCCAGCCTGAGTGACAGAATGAAACGGCGTCTCAAGTAAATAAAGAAATACATATTTAAAAATAAAAGTTATTTCAAAAAAAGAATAGGAGATCCTGGGGAAAGAGGCAAAAGGATCCTTCTGGGACGCTAGAAATGTGCTGTATCTTCATCTGGTTAGAAGTTACAGTGTGTGTATAAAAATTCATTTAAAATTCACTTAAGGGCTGGGTATGGTGGCTCACGCCTGTAATCCCAGTACTTTGGGAGGCTGAGGCAGGCAGATCACCTGAGGTCAGGAGTTTGAGACTAGCTTGGGTAACATGGTGAAATCCCATCTCCACCAAAAATACAAAAATTAGCCGGGCATGGTGGCGTGCGCCTGTAGTCCCAGCTACTCGGGAGGCTGAGGCAGGAGAATTGCTTGAACTCAGGGGGTGGAGGTTATAGTGAGCTGAGATCATGCCACTGCACTCCAGCCTGGACCACAGAGCAAGACTCCATCTTAAAAAAAAAATTCACTTAAGATTATTGTACTTTACTGTACATGTTATACCTCAATTAAAAAATAATTATGCTACAACCTGACAGATAAAAAACATTATGCTATCAGGCAGCCTAAGATTAGTGCCCAGGAAGGAGTATAAAGGACTATGGACCTCAAAGGAAGAGATATGCCTGGTGGTCATTGTGCTTGGGGAGGATGTTCAGGAAAGATTTTGTAGGAAGAGCCATTTCCTATAGGACTTGAAGGAAAGGTGGGGTGTTAATAAGGAAGAGCTGTTGAGAAGGAGTTTTCCAGTTGGGGTGTAATTGTGAGCTGGTGGGCAGCAGAAAGAAGGCTGCAAAGGCAGTTTGAGTTTAGATCAGCAAGACCCTCTCTGAATGCCAGCCAGCTGAGAAGTTCTTACTTAACTGAGTGCCATTGCTTTTGAGCAGAACAGGGACAAAATGGAGTCAGCTTTAGGTGATTCATATGGTCACTGGTGGATTGGCTGGATGGAGGGCAGAAAGGCATTTTGGCTGCTACAATGATCCTGAGAATGAGCTTGCAGGCCTGCTGCAGCCCCAGGGCTGTGGGATCCAGGGTCTCAGGTCCTTTGGGTATCAGGGCCATGCCCCAGGAAGAGATAGAATGCAGTGATGGGAGTTGGTGGGAGAAGTGGGCATTAGGTGAGGGCTCAGCTGAGAGTAGAATCCTCAGGGAACCTCCTTCCCAAGCCCCTGCTGGCAGCATCTCTTGCTGCTTCTTCTGCATTGATTTATCCCTGGGCAATAATTTTGTTCTCTGGTCCTTGCTCTAAAGGACTGCTGGCAGCTGGGCCCTGGAAAGCTTCTCTGTAGCTGCCTCCTGCCTCCCAGCAGGGCCCAGCAAGATGCCCAAGACAGAGGAGGTGAGCAATAAATATTTGTAAAGTAAAGGCTAGAGATCTGGCTCAACTAAGACAGCAAGAGGCTATAGGAAGCCAGCAGGAAAGTCCTCAGAAGACAGAATAGCTAAAAGACCGGAAGGAAAGTGGAATTTGCCCAAGTCACATCCTTCTTATATCACTTACTAGCTGTATGATCTTGGGCAAGGTACCTTCCATGCTTCAGCTTCTATTAAGTGGGGATAATCATGGTACCAGTTTCCCTGGGTTATTGTGAGGATGAAATGAAATAAAGCATCCGAAGCATTTGGATACAAAACTTGATACAAAGTGGCACTGAAGAAATGTTAGCAATTTTTATAATTGCCTCTGAGTGGTGGGATTAAAGGTTTTCTTTCTCCTGCTTCTTTACACTTATTTTCTACTTGGCTAAGCAGGAAAAAATAAAGTAAAAGAGAGAAGAAAAAAGAAACTGGTGATAGAAACATGCTTGGAGGGGCAGCCAGAGAAACAGACACCGTTATTCAGAAACATTTCTCCAGCCCCAGAGCAGGGAGAAGGAGCTGTACCCACAAGCCTGGGTAGGAACAGGCTGGGTTTTAATCTTACAGGGTGGGAGAGGTGTAGATTGATTGGCAGGTAGATGATGTAGATCTACGAACAGATTCAATGTCTTTTTTTTGAGACAGAGTTTCACTCTTGTCACTTGGGCTGGAGTGCAATGGTGAGGCCTCGGCTCACTGCAACCTCTGCTTTCGGGGTTCAAGCGATTCTCCTGCCTCAGCCTCCCGAGTAGCTGGGATTACAGGCATGCGCCACCACACCCAGCAACTTTTGTATTTTTAGTAGAGACAGGGTTTCACCATGTTGGCCAGGCTGGTCTCAAACTCCTGACGTCAGGTGATCCGCCCCCCTTGGCCTCCCAAAGTGCTGGGATTACAAGCATGAGTCACCGTGCCCAGCCTTTTTTTTCTTTTTTTGAGACAGAGTCTCTGTCTCCCAGGCTGGAGTGCAGTGATGCAATCTCAGCTCACTGCAGCCTCGACCTCCAGGGCTCAAGCGACCCTCCCACCTCAGCCTCCTGAGTAACAGACTACAGGCGCACACCACCATGCCCGGCTAATTTATGTATTATTATTATTGAGATGGAGTTTCACTCTTGTTGCTCCGGCAGGAGTGCAATGGTGCAATCTTGGCTCGCTGTAACCTCCGCCTCTGCGATTCAAGTGATTCCCCTGCCTCAGCCTCCCAAGTAGCTGGGATTACAGGCACCCACCACCATGCCCAGCTAATTTTGTAATTTTTAGTAGAGTTGGAGTTTCACCATGTTGGTCAGGCTAGTCTCGAACTCCTGACCTTAAGTGATCCACCTGCCTCGGCCTCCCAAAGTGTTGGGATTACAGGTGTGAGCCACCATGCCTGGCCTATAATTATTATTATTATTATTATTATTATTATTTTGTAGAGACAGGGTTTTACCATGTTGCCCAGGCTGGTCTTGAACTCCTGGACTCCGGCAATCTGCCTGTCTCAGCCTCCCAAAGTAGATCCAATATCTTTAATAAAACATCATCATTCATTGAGTGCTTCCAAGGTGCCAAAGTTTTTATATGTTACTACTGATCACCACAACCCTGCAAAGTAAATATTATTACTCCAATTATTGCACTACTCTGAGAAGTAACTTGCCCAAGGTCCTACTGCAGAGCTGAGATTTGAACTCAACACTGAGATGACTTATTTCCACTAAACTTCAGGGCCATTTTCCACATATGAGATGCACGAAATATATGGACCTCATATATAAGGGTCCATATATGAGACCCCTAAAAGAAGAGAGGCTGTGCAGCCACGCCCTCAGGCCCGAACTCCCTGCCCCAGGCAGGACTGAGCTGTATTGGGCATTCCCTCTCCCCATCCCTTTTCTTCTCTCAGGTTATTGCAGAGAACGGCCAGTTCCTGCACTTGTCCCCAGACCTCCTCTCTGAAAGTGGGCACCGGACACCGGTCCCTGCCCCCAGCCCAATCAAAATTCCCTCTTCTGTTCCCTCTCCACTGCTGGTGACACCTCTTCTCTCCCATGCCTGCCACCACCATCTATCAGCAGCACTTTAAGCTCTGCCACAGCCTCTCGAAGTTGCTAAATCCCCTATTTGGTTTAGTTCCACTCCAACTCCCCCTGCACAGAGGGAACCGATGGGACGCAGGGAAATTATACACATAATAAAGAGCCTGTTTGCTCCAATAATTCTGATAATGATACACACCTCACTCCTTCCCATGCACACACAGCTGTACACACATGCACATATCACACCCTATACCTCCCAATCCTCATGTCCACCAAAATACCTTCCAACCTGCTGACATGCAGCTCACATCCCAGAGGCGCCCCCCAGACCAGTGTCTATACTCATTCACTAAGGTACACACCCTGTTCTTGGGAAATTCTCTGGGTCACTTTGCCTGTTCCCAGCTCCCATAGTACATGGCATTCCCCCTTCACGGCATTTCCCAGCTATGTCCTCAGGGCCTGTCTTCTCTGGAGCTCATTAGATTGTGAGCAGTGATAGTGTCTATGTGGTTCACTGTTTAACCAAGTGCAGTGCTTGGGACATGGTGGCGCCTCCATAACCTGGTTGAGTGAATGATGGAATGAATGAATGCACACTTTACTACATTCATCCCCTTACAGACACACATCGCATCTTGGGGTATCCCCCATCCCCACCCACCCACACATCACCCCTCTGAATTGCATCTTACATAGATACACACACATCGTGGGTAATCACACACATTCCTGGAGATCCAGGACTATTGTGAACAGCTTCCTAGGATTCTCCTGGGTGTGTGTGTGTGGTTGGGGAGTGGCAGGGTAAGAGGGAACATGTGTTTAGGAGGGATGCCAGTATGAGTATGTGTGCGTGGCAAGGGAAGAGGCATGTGAATGAGGGCTGTGTGAGCATGTGTTCAAGAGGATGCGCGTGTGAATCAGTGAGTGCAGGTGTTCAAGTCAGCACAGGTCTATGTGGGTACCTGCATGCATGTGCGCCTGCGCACACGAGCCTCGGAGTCCACAAGCTTACCTTATTCCCCGCCTGCTTACAAATGTTGAAAAGCACGATGGGTGGCCAGGCGTGGTGGCTCACGCCTGTAATCCCAGCACTTTGGGAGGCCGAGGCAGGCGGATCACGAGGTCAGGAGATCGAGACCATCCTGGCTAACACGGTGAAACCCCGTCTCTACTAAAAATACAAAAAATTAGCCGGGCGTGGTGGCGGGCGCCTGTAGTCCCAGCTACTCGGGACGCTGAGGCAGGAGAATGGCGTGAACCCGGAAGGCGGAGCTTGCAGTGAGCCGAGATCTCGCCACTGCACTCCAACCTGGGCGACAGAGTGAGACTCTGTCTCAAAAAAAAAAAAAGAAAAAAAAAGAAAAGCACGATGGGGTTCCTGTTCAGGTTTCCTCTTCTCTTCTCCCTCCAGCCCCTAAAGTCTGGCTCCTTCTAGAGAGAAGTTTTCTTCTCAGTCTCCCTATTTTTCTAAAGCCCAGGGATGCTTAGAAAGAAAAGGGGGATGATGTAGGGGTCAAGTGAGGGGTCCTCACTTTCAGGTCAGCTTCGTTCCACCATCCTGGTCAGTGTTCTCCCACCGGCCTCCACCAACCTCTACTACCACTGTCTCGCCCGTTATACCCAGGAGAAGGTGAAAACAAAGCATGGTGTCTGCCCCCTGCAGACTTGGGGGTTGGACTTGCGGAGCCTCCAGGCTTGCCAATCACCCAGGTGGCTGTCCCTTCTCCGTCCCCACTTACAAACCCTGTCACTGCAGCTCTGTGCTCTTCCTGGTCCCCTTCCTGCTCCTAACCTGGTGTCTTTGCTCGGTCCATCCCCTTCCAGCTTGCCCTCAACCACTGTCCCTGGCTCCTTTTCCTCCAAGCATGCCAGGAGTTCCCCAAGGCCTCGTCCTTGGACATCTTTTCTCCAGGGGACCTCAGAGACCATTTGAGTCATTCAGACGTAGCCATTTTGCCAAGGTGGAGCCCTCTCCTGGGCAAACTTAGTTACTGCCGCAGCTTTGTGCCTCTGGGAGTGACTCCAGCCCTGCCTTCTCTTCCAGGCTCCAGCCTCTGCCCGCACTGCTTGCAGTACCCTACTCATGTGTCCTCTTCATGTGCCCCTCCCCGGTCATATGGGTCCCTTCTGGCCCCTGCCCAGCTTATACTCTGTCCGATCCTCACAGTCACCCTGTCCCCTTTGCTTTTCTTTGCTGCCACTGCAGGCCCACCTCAGCCTCCTGCACACTCTCTTCAGATCAGCCTCCCAATCTCCAGCGTCTGGAGTGTTCTGGGGCTGCCTGAGAGAGAGACATGAATACATGTCACCCTGCCTTCCTCACATGTACCAGAAGGTTTGATTTTTTTTTTTTTTTTTGACTGAGTCTTGCTCTGTCACCAAGCTGGAGTGCAGTGGCACGCTCGGCTCACTGCAACCTCCACCTCCCGGGTTGCAGCGATTCTCCTGCCTCAGCCTCCCGAGTAGCTGGGATTACAGGCATGCACCAGCATGCCCAGCTAATTTTTGTATTTTTAGTAGAGACAGGGTTTCACCATGTTGGCCAGGATGGTTTTGATCTCTTAACCTCGTGATCCGCCCGCCTTGGCCTCTCAAAGTGCTGGAATTACAGGCGTGAGCCACCATGCCCGGCCCTGATTATTATTATTATTATTTTAAACAATAATCTGGGCCAGGCACAGTGGCTCACACCTGTAATCCCAACACTTTTTGGGAGGCTGAGGCAGGAGGATTATTGAGCCCAGGAATTTGAGACTAGCCTGAGCAACATAGTGAGACCCTGTCTCTACAAAAAGTAAAAAATTAGCCAGGCATGGTGGCACATGCCTGTAGTCCCAGCTACTCAGGAGGCTGAGATAGGAGGATCACTCGAGCCCAGGAGTAGAGGTTACAGTAAGCTGTGATCTGGTCACTGCACTCCAGCCTGGGCAACAGAGCAAGATGCTGTCTCGAAATGTAAATAAACACTGAACTGACCATGTCACAGCCCTTTCAATGGCACCTCTCTTCTAGGATAAACTCCCAAACCTTCCTAGAGCCTGCGGGGCTCCAGCCTCTCTTCACACCATGTTCCCTGATACCCAGCCACAATGACCTTTTCCCTGATCCCCTCCTGCCCTCCTGGGGCTCCTGATTCCCCCAGCTTTCCTCTGCAGGCCACAGGGCTTTGGGGCATGCCGCTTTCCCTGTCTGAAATGCTTTTCCCTCTTCTCTTCACCCATGTAATGCCTCTTATCCTTTCAATATCAGCTCAGCTGTGGCTTCCTCAGAACAGCCTTGCCCTGACTCCTAAGGCAGGTAAGCCTCCCCACTGCTATATGCACTCCTGGCATCAGGAGCACCTCTTTAGTTGGACTTATCGACACTTGGAATTTTATGTTTGCGTGGTTACTTCATTTAATGCCTGACTCACACACTAGAGGATTGTAGGATGAGGAGTATGTTTTTGTGCATCACTGAATTCACAGGGCAGTGCCTGGTACACGGGAAGCCTTTGATAAATATTTGAGAGATAAATGAACTAGTCAGCAGTCTCAGGCTGGACAAGGAGGAAATTTTCACCAAAAACCAAGTGGTACCTGCTCAAGATCTGAGTCCCTTCATCATGTCACTTACCTGCTCAAGAACTTTCCGTGACTCCCTATACCCTCACAACTAAGTCTAAAGTCCTCAGATTTTTTAGATTTTCCAAATTATTTTCTTTTCTTTTATTTTTTAGAAATGGGGTCTCACTATGTTACCGAGGCTGGTCTCAAGCTCCTACGCTCAAGTGATCCTCCCGCCTTGGCCTTACAGGTGTTAGCCACCATGCCCGGTGATTTCCTTTATTTTCTATCACTATCCTTTGCTTCCACCAGGCAAACTTATTAGCCCTTAAGCATACCTTGGTTAGTTTGACCTTCATGTTATTTTCTTTGCCTGGAAGAACTCTGATTTCGTCTTTATCTTCACTTAAATCCTACTCGTTCTTTAAGACCAAGATCATGTCCCACAAAGCCTTCCCTGTCCATGTTAGCACTTGCTGAGCTCCTATGACCTATACTGTCTGTACATCCAGAATATCAGACATTGTTAACCTTGGAAGGGTCTCAGAGATCACTGGTTCAACAAGAGTCTGAGCAACCTCTAAATTCATGTTTCCCAAACTTTCCACATTCGAGTACCAGTGTCACAATTCATGCCAAATCCATATTCTACCTAAAATGTTATTTACTTGATATTTTTCTTTAAATCAACTTACTATTTCTTACTCAAGTATGTTTATTGTTTTTTTAAAAAAGCCTTCTAGCACTACAGTAACTGCGAAACCACCCGTTACTTGCCAAAATAAAAAGTAATTATAAAAATAAGTAAAACAATAACAATGTGTTTCGATTCTAGTTGGACACCATTGCCTGCTGAAAGCTCTTGCAGTTGAATCTTCCTCTCTGTTAAAAAGGGAAAGAAGAGAAACACACGTTAGAGAGGTGTTAAAGACATACTAGCACCAAACTGAGACATTCTCTTCGAGGAAACTGGAAGAATCAAACAACCCAAATGCCCATTGATGGGAAAGATATGTTTTTGTTATTATAAAATATACATAACATAAAATTTTACAATTTTTAACCACTTTTTTTTTTGATAGGAGTCTCGCTTTCTCACCCAGGCTGGAATGCAGTGGCGTGATCTTGGCTCACTGAAACCTCTGCCTCCCGGGTTCAAGCAATTCTCCTGCCTCAGCCTCCGGAGTAGCTGGTACTACAGGTGAACGCTGCCACGCCTGGCTCATTTTTTGTATTTTAGTAGAGACGGAGTTTCACTGTGTTGCCCAGCCTGGTGGCGAGCTCCTGAGCTCAGGCAATCCGCCCGCCTTGGCCTCCCAAAGTGCTGGGATTACAGGCGTGAGCCACCGCGCCCGGCCCATTTTTAACTACTTTTAAGTGTACAGTTCAGTGGCATTAATTACATTCACATTGTTATGCAGCCATCACCATCATCCAACTCCAGAACTCTTCCCAAACTGAAACTCTGTACCTATCAAACGATAATCCCCATTCCTCTCCCCACCCCAGCTCCTGGCAACCACCATCCTACTCTCATCCCTGGGCATTTATTCTAGGCACCTGATGTAAGTGGAACCATACAGTATTTAACCTTTTGTGACTGGCTTATTTCACTTAGCATAATGTCCTCAAGGTTCATCAATGTTGCAGCATGTGTCAGAGTTTAAGGCTGAATAATATTCCATTGTATGTGTATATACTACATTTTTTTAAAGTTTTTTTTCAAGACAAAGTCTCATTCTGTTGCACAGGCTGGAATGCAGTGGCACGATCACGGCTCACTGCAGCTTTGACCACCAATGCTCAAGCAATCCTCTTACCTCAGACCCCTGAGTAGCTAGCACTGCAGGAGCACACCGCCCTGCCTGGCCAATTTTTTATTTTTTGTACAGACGAGGTTTCACTATGTTGCTCAGGCTGGTCTTGAACTTCTGGGCTTGAGGGATCCTCCTGCCCTGGCCTCCCAAAGTGTTGGGATTACAGGCATGAGCCACCTCACCTGGCTATTTTGTTTATTCATCTCTTGCTGGGCACTTGGATTGCTTCCAGCTTTTGGTGAGTGTGAATAATGCTGCTGTGCTCATGAGTGTAAGGAAAGTGATATCTTTATAATAGCCTGAGCTAATCTCACACAATGGAATATTATACTGTAGTCAAAACAAAGGAACTTAAGTGACATGCAATAATATGGATGACTCTTAGCAATATAATATTATGTGAAATACCAAGTCAAAAAAAGTTATATATAGCCTGATACTATTTTTTAATAAAGAACAGTTAAAATTTAAAATAAACTTTTAAGGAATAAATAAAAGTGCTATAAAACTATTAAAAGGAAAGCAAGGGAATGATGACTATGGGATTCAGGGTTGTGAGTTGGCTGAGATGGGAGGCAGAGAATGGGATGTGGTACCATTTGGTTAGTTGTCAGTTATTGTCAAGGTCTGAGATTTTGTTTTGGGTGATAAAGTCATGGATGCTTATGATAATATTTTAAACTAATTAAAAGAAAATCTAGGCTGGGCGCTGTGGCTCACACCTGTAATCCCAGCACTTTGGGAGGCCAAGGCAGGTGGATTGCTTGAGGCCAGGAGTTTGGGACCAGTGTGGCCAATGTGGTGAAACCTCATCTCTACTAAAAATACAAAATTAGCTAGGCAAGGTAGTGCACATCTGTAATCTCAGCTACTTGGGAGGCTGAGGCACGAGAATCGCTTGAACCCAGGAAGTAGAGGTTTCAGTGAGCCCAGATTGCGACACTGCACCCCAGCCTGGGCGAGAGTGAGACTGTCTTAAAAAATAACAATAATAAAAGAAAAAGAAAAGAAAACCATGCAATGACCAATGGTGAGAGTGTATCATGAAGCAAGGAATGTGATTAATCCAGTTCTGTAAACCCAAGTTCCAGTGGAAAAAAAACAGGGAAATAAAGAAAGAGAATTGACAAGGAAATAGCTTTCTCACTATGAAATTCAGAGTGATTTAATGTCTTGTCAATGCACCATTGAAAATCATCTGGCATTCTGTCAGAGGTCCAGGTCCCCCACTTGGGTAAGTAGTTCTAAAATATCTGTACCATGAGGCCTCCTGCTTCCTCTGCGGCCTTGCTTACCTCCAAAATGAGGGAACTCAGAACTTCTGGGGTACTTGCCTGGACAGATACTTGTGTCAGGAAATTTTTCCTTGCAGAGAGACAATTCAGCTTCTCCACAACTTCTGCCCTGCTGTCTTATTCTCGTCTTGGTGCCCGGCACAAGTTTGGGCGCACAGGAACCTGGAATTTACATATCAATTGCTTCATGCTTGACCCTGCAGCCCTGGAGCAGCAGCCAAGCCGGAATTTCTAACTGAAGACGAAAGGCCCCCAAGCTTGTCTGGGACACAGCCTTTTTGCCAAGTGTAATTCATTATTTCCTTCTGGGAGGAAATCAGCCTTGTTGTTAAAATGCTTAAGCAATTTTCCGATAAACTTTTAACAGGATTTAGATTTCTTCTCAGGAACCAGTTTCCTATCCACCCTGCCGTTTGGAAGAGTTTTATATATTTTATTCAGACATTATTTTTGTATGCCCATTTTAACAATGCTGCTAACCACTCTTCTTGCCTCTAAATGTATCTACCAAGAAGTCATCTTGAAGCGGCTGGCCTTTTATAGGTCTCTTCACTTGTAGCAAGATTGAAATAAAATTTTGACACATGCTCATAAATAAATAGTCTAAAAAGCCTTTTTTATGTGTGTGTGTGTGTGTGTGTGTGTGTGTGCGTGTGTGTGTGTGTGAGTTTTTCCTTGAACACAGCTGAATACTTGAAGGTGGGCTAGAATTTCTTAGCCATATTTTTACTAAACCCCAGCTGGGATTAACTGAGACTCCTTGGTCCAAAACCCTGGGCCCAACCCTGTAGGACCCCCTCCCAACTCTGATTAGTCATTCGTTCCCTGAGTCCACGGTCTTGGGAGGCCTGGGGTGAGAGAGGGAATGGGGCAAATCTAGGCCTAAACACAGCTCCATAAATCCTCACTGAGCCTCAGAACTGGGGATATGGCCATCTTCACCCCCTCTCCTGTATCTGTGGGCCAGAACCAGTCACCGGGGTAGTGGCTGGGGATCCTCTGGGCAGAAGCTGACTCTGAGGCCTCTGTCCTCTTTTTAGGCGCAGAGGCTGGGGAGGAGCTGTGAATACCGGTGCCCCAGGTTGCTGCTTGGCCCTAGACCTGGCCCCCATCCAGCTCGGAAATGAGCCCCCCACCTCCCATTGGACACGGATTGTCTCCAGGCACAGCTGACTCCCAGCTGGCGGGCCTCGGCCTCACGGGCTGCCCTAGAAGGGGCCAGCCAGGGATCCCCGAAGCAGACATAGGACTAGGCAGAGGGCCTGGGGTCTGCCAAAATTCTGGGTCTACTTTTAGGGTGTCAGCTTAATCCCAGAATTATCTTCTTAATCTTTTAAATAATTTCTTAATTATAAATGTAAATGTTGATGGTAGAAAATTTGGAAGCTATAGAGAAGTATACAGAAAATAATATCATATGAAGTCTTACCACCCAGAAATTATCACTGTCTGTATTTTGCTGGTTTTATTCCAGTAGTTAAAAAAAAAAAAAAAAAAAAAAAAAAAAAAGCTAGGCATGGTGGCTCATGCCTGTAATCCCAGCACTTTGGGAGGCCGAGGCGGGCAGATCACGAGGTGAGATTGAGACCATCCCGGCTAACACAGTGAGACCCCGTCTCTACTAAAAATACAAAAAATTAGCTGGGCGTGGTGGCAGGCGCCTGTAGTCCCAGCTACTCGGGAGGCTGAGGCAGGAGAATGGCGTGAACCCAGGAGACGGAGCTTGCAGTGAGCCAAGATCGTGCCACTGCACTCCAGCCTGGGCGACAGAGCGAAGACTCCGTCTCAAAAAAAATAAAAATAATAAAAAAAGTAAATATAAAAAAGGCTGGGTGTGGTGGCTCACGCCTGTAATCCCAGCATTTTGGGAGGCTGAGGTGGGCAAATCACCTGAGGTCGAGAGTTCAAGACCAGCCTAACCAACATGGAGAAACCCTGTCTCTAGTTAAAAAAAAAAAAAAAATATATATATATATATATATATATATATACACACACACATATATATACACACACACACAAAAAAAATTAGCCAGGTGTGGTGGCACATGCCTGTGATTCCAGCTACTCGGGAGGCTAAGGTGGGAGAGTCGCTTGAACTGGGGAGGCAGAGGTTGTGGTGAGCCGAGATCATGCCATTGGACTCCAGCCTGAGCAACAAGAGTGAAACTCTATCTCAAAAAAAAAAAAAAAAAAGCAAACTATAGGATTATTTTTGCTCCATAAATGGGATCATTCTATACCTAGTGCTTTGTATCATATTTTTAATTTTCTCTAAAAATGTTCCTGTGTGATTAAAAGTTTGAATTTTTAGTGGGCATTAAGGTGCACAAGCTCCCCTCTCTTCCAACTGCAATTCCCTCTCCCCCGACAATCCCCCAGCTTTCAAGGGCTCCTAGTACCTGGTCTATGGAGCTGTAGCTGCATACTCTTCCAGGGGTTTGGGATCTCTTTGGGGGCAAGAGGAGGACCAGAGCCAGGCCACAGGGACTCTCAAACTCATGGTGGGGGCAGACCTTTTAGCTCTGACTGGAGCCTGCTGCACCCACTCCCCATACCCAGGCACAGAGAAATTGGAGAGATTCTTTGCTTTGGGTTCATCTTCCCACCCTAGTCATGCAAGAAATATTACCCTGTCTCCTTTCACCTCCCATTTTCCTTGGGAATTGGGTCTCCAGGGTTTCTGAGGCTGCCCAGTAGCTCCAGGCCACTTTGAGCAGCCTCAGCCATTCCCCACTACCTCCCCACTTCCCCTTGGCTCTGGCAGCCCTGGGCTTGAGCTGACTTTCCTGGGAACCATTGGTGGGAACAGTTAAATGGAAGGAAATGGTGGGTAGGGGTCAGAAGACAAAAGGGGACTTAGGGCTAATGTTTGATGTTTGAGGTTAAAGAAAAACTCTCACCCCTCCCCTTCTGGGGAGCTGCTGGGAGCCTTAGAATGGCCCCTGCAATGACACAGGGTGGGATGGGGAGGGAGAATTGGTAAGACCTGGAAAGAAAGGGGGCACAGCTTTGGTGCCTTGACTTGGTTAAGCAGAGACAAGGGGCCCTTCCCTTCAAAAGCTCCTCCCCTCCCAAGCCCCCTTCCCAGCCCCCAGGCCCCTGTCCTTACTGTGCATGTCCACCAGCCCAAAGCCTTTCCTGGAGTCATCTCCACATTGTGGATCCTTTGCACATCTGGCAGCTGAGAGAAATGTGCAAATCCCTTTCTTATTCCATGAGGAATCTCTAAGCTCAGACTCCAGAGGCAGGCCAGTGACAGTCGCCCATCCTTGTCGTCCAGTTTAACCTGACCCAGAGAAATAATGGGGCTTTGAGAGTTGTTCCCAGAGCTCCTTCCTTCACCCAATTCAGTAATAATTTTATCCATAGCTCATCTTGTGCAGTACTTTATTTTATTATTATTAGTTTTTGAGACAGGGTCTCACTCTGTCATCCAGGCTGGAGTGCAGTGGCATGATCTCAGCTCATTGCCAACCTCCACCTCCTGGGTTCAAGTGATTCTCCTGCCTCAGCCTCCCAAGTAGCTGGGATTATAGGCGCCCGCCACCATGCCCAGCTAATTTTTGTATTTTCAGTAGAGAAGGGGTTTTGCCATATTGGCCAGGCTGATCTCGAACTCCTGACCTCAGGTGATCTGCCAGCCTCAGCCTCCCAAAGTGCTGGGATTACAAGCGTGAGTCACCGTGCCCAGCCTTGTGCAGTATTTTAAACCGCGTGTTCACATGTATCTTCTGACTTGATCTGCTAACCTTGCTCTCAGGTAAGTAGAACTGGTCTTATTTTCCTTATTTTATAGCTGAGAAACTGAGGTCTGAAGTCTGAAGTCAGACTGTTGGTAATGTCAAAACGTGGATCCCCTGATCCTCAGACCCCAACCCCAGCCCTCCTGCCTCTATACTCAGCTCTCCTGGACACTGAGAGGTCAAGTTACCTCTGTCTGTGGTTTCCATACCTGCAGATTTCAGAGTGAGACAGCCTCTGGCTCTTCCAAATCTAAATGCTGCTGAAATCTCCACCCAGAAAAACCTTTCTGTCTCCAGACATCTCTGTCTTAATCCGTTCCCCTTGGTGGATCGTGGCTGGGAGGAGGGAGGAGGAGCTCTCGTTGTGAAGCCTCTCCTAATTGATTTCTCTCTGATGAGGTGACATAATCCTTTCTGGCTGCCCTTACAGCTTCTCCAGTTTCTTGAAACAGCTCCATATTCTTTCTTCTGGCCTCCCACATATTCCTTGGGCTAGAAATCTCTTTCTTGATTTTAATCTTGGCAGCCACCCTCCATGACAGCCTTAGGTCTGCACATTCATCGAGAGAGCCTTGCTTCCTTCCCAGCACCCTGCACACGGGTGTACATGGGTACACATACATGCACACACACATGCACACACATATGCACACACATGTACACACATGCACGCGCACACACACACACACATATACACACACGCATCCTTTGTTAGGAGTGAGTTTACTACTACATTCTGGCCTGTCTCCCACGTTCGAGTCAGGCGAAGGGGAACAGCAGCTTTGAAGATGAATTTAACCAGTTCTTCCTGAGGTGAGGCCTTTCTTGCCAGATCTATCAATGGCTTGTTGGGGGTCAAGGGAAGGTTCGAGGGCTGCTGTTTGTTCTTTGCTCAGTCTTGGGACAGCTCGGGGAAACAGGCTTGCCTGGGCAGTCCTGACCCCACGGCTAGGAAAGTCGACACCATTCTCCTAGACCACTGGCTGCCTTTTCCTTCAAGACCCCCAATCCCTTTGCCAAGCCCCTCACCAGGAGGAGAGCCCCAGAGACCAGGTGGGCTGAAGCAGAGGCCTGTGGCCCCAGACCCTCTGAGCCAAGCTGGGTCAGAACTCAGGCCTCCCACCCTATCATTCTTGTCCCCCACTTTCATCCAGCCTGCTCTGGGGGAGGGAAGAAGGAGATTGGCTGGGTGCAGTGCAGTGTTTCTGGGGACTGGGGGGGCAGGGGAGTCCATTCAAATTGACAAAAATAGAACATCAGCCTCATATCATTTTTCTCAAAACAAGATTTATTGAAGTTCTGTCGGTGAAAATCGCTGCTGTGTGGAACGCTTAACTTATAGATTAGATTACTCAGTCGTGCCTTACTACATTTTTCATTAGAAAAATATTGGCTGGGAGACTTTGACCTCATAATCTCTGCATTTTAAACAATAACCAGAGGAAAACCAAATAGAAGGCACAAGTTAACGGTTTTCTCCCCCCAGCATTTCCCCCTGGGAGAGATCGGAGCGAGGGCCTGGGAAGGGAACAGGAGTGGAATCTGCTGTGTGAGCAATTCCCCATCTCCCGGCCCAGTCCCCAGAGGCTGCGGGAGGCGGCTGGGGGTGACAGCAGGCGGTGGGCTGCCCTGAGTCCTTGGGGCTTGGGCCCTGCCAGATCCCTGCCTCAAGTGGTCCAGAGCTCTGCAGGGCCCCAGCCCAAGGTAGGTTAGCGTACATGAGGGGAGGAGGGGCTGAAGCATCAGGAGGGAGAGGGCATTTTTTCTGTCCCCCAGGGAGAGCTCAGTCTAGGTAGGGACACAGGAGCCATAAAGATTCGGGTGAGTGTATCATATCCTCACATTGTACCCTGTGAATATGCTCAATCTTTATTTGACAATTAAGTACTAAAAAAAAAAAAAAAGTAAAGACCCAGAAGAATCCAGAATCCCAGGGCAACTCCGGAGCTCTATAGGAAGCTGCAGGAGTGGAGAAGTGAGGACAGAACTACCCCTTGCTCCTCCACCAGAGGGGGAGAAGTCTCCTTACAGGGGGATTTTATGAAGGAAGGAGCAACTCCAAGGTGAGGCTGAGCTGGTGCAGTCTAGGCTGGCCTAGGGCATTCTGACCATTCCTCTCAGCCCAGGGGCAAAGGTACCTAAGGCACCCTAGGCCTGAAGCCCCCAGGCTGAGCCTGCAGGTGCTGGCTGCTGGCTCCAGGGAAGGGAAGGGGGCCATCCAGGTGCAAGCAGATCCCGGGCCACTTTACGACTGCTGATCTGATTCCTTGGAGAGTGGAACCCCCACCCCCTACTCGGTTTCTACTTTCCGAGGCTTTGGTGATTTCCAAGTTCTGACACAGTCATTAGTTACAAAGAGCAATTATTTTTTCTTTGTCATTAAGTCATTTTTTAAATGGCTCCAGGCGACATCACAGAACAAAGAAACAAAATATCCATGAAAAGGCTTAATCACAAATTACTAATTATTTAACCCCCCCCACAAATCGTGAAATCTGAACCCCATGAAAAAAGAGAAGGTCTCCCGTCCTTAAGCTCGCCATGGCTCTTAGGCACCTAATCCATCATGATGGGGGGGGGCACTTCCTGGCCCCCTCTGAGCCCCGGGGGAGGGGGTGGTAGGGAGTCCCCCATTGCTGACCTTTGAAGTCACCTTCTGCCCATAGATACAGCCCTTCAGCCAATGGGGGGGCAGCTTGAAAATGAGTGGGGTACCCAGCCAGAGCCCCCGTACCTTGGGCTTGCGATGCCTCCACCCCTCCTCCCAGGCCAGCAGCCTCTGGCCGCGGCATTCCACTCTGGGCCCTTTGAAGCCTTTGGGCCACAAGCGGAGGAGCCGCCCCCTGCCGTGGGGCTCCTAGAATCTCCAGCTGGAAAACAAACCGGAGGAGGAAGTAATCCTGGAGGGGAAGCTCCAGGGTCCCCAGACGTGAGGAAATAAAATGTGTTTGACACCAAGATATATGGGAGGAGGGGGGACGTCCGGGGTTTGGGCCCCTCTATCGGCCAGGCTTTCTCCTAGGGCGGATTGCGGTCTCCTTATCTGACCCTTGCTGAGAGAGAAGGAGCAGCGTGGAGGAGGCGGCAGTCAGGGAAGCCTTGTCTCAGTCCAAGAGCAAAGGTGAGTCTGCCAGGGCAGTGGGTTCTGAGGGAGGGCCGGCCTCCGAGGAAATGCCCACACTTGCCTCACCTTTCTGCCCACTACCTCCAGTTTCCCTAGAGCAGCCTATCCCGAGCTTGAGAGACCAGCAGTCATGGAGAGAAAGAGCCTGGGAGGATGGGATTGAAGGTTCAGAAGCGGGCCATGGAAAAGGAGGGGTAGGTGGGAGGGCATGGTGGAGCCCCAACCTCAAAACCCACATAATCTCTCCTCACAGCTCAACCTCGAACCTGACTTCAGAGAAAGCCCACTCCTCTTCATTCATCTGTTCAGCAAACTCTTACCAAACGCTTGTTCTGTGCCAGGCAACAGGAATACATTGGTGGACACGATAGAGCTAGGTCCTGTCTTCATGGAGATCAACTTTACTTGAGTATTTTTTTGTTGAGATCTGGGTCAAAGAGAAAGTCAGAGCTATGCCCAGTGTGTCTGTCCCAGCCTTTGCCCACTGTGGCTGTCTGGATAGTTGTCTTTGGCTGTTTTCTGACTCCCAAGTCACACTACTCTCTTAAGTACAGGTCTTGTAGGTCTCCTGGGTTCACTTCTGTGCCTGTCCTGGGCACCTGATAGAGAGGTGGGGAAGGTCAAAAGTGGAAGGAAGAAGGTAGGCAAGCAGGAGTTTAATAAACAGAACCTACTTAACAAATGGTTGGAGCCATTGTTTCTATATCACATGACCTATGAAGACCTTGAGTATAAACGTCCGAAGTACTGGAATCACAGGCGTTGTCCCAGCAAGAGAGCTTACAACTCAAACAATAGTCCCCAGCCATGCACCGTCCTCATTCTCCCTCTTTCATTTTCTTGTCAAACTGTCTCCTTTCTTCCCTCTCTTAAAATCATGCTGATCAAGGAACATCTGAAAATATGCTGGGACTTGGGCTGTCTTTATTTATTTATTTATTTATTTATTTATTTATTTATTTTTTAAGATGGAATCTCACTCTGTTGCCCAGGCTGGAGTGCAGTGGCGCGATCTCAGCTCACTATTCATTTATTTTTATTTTATTTTATTATTTTTTTTTTTTAGATGAAGTTTCACTCTGTTGCCTAGGCTGGAGTGCAATGGCACGATGTCGGGTCACTGCAACCTCCGCCTCCCGAGTTCAAGTGATTCTCCTGCTTCAGCCTTACACGTAGCTGGGATTACAGGTGTGCACCTCCATGCTTGGCTAATTTTTGTATTTTTAGTAGAGATGGGGTTTCACCATGTTGGCCAGGCTGGTCTCGAACGCCTGACCTCAGGTGATCTGCCCTCCTCAGCCTCCCAAAGTGCTGGGATTATAGGTGTGAGCCACTGTGCCTGGCCTATGTATGTATGTATGTATGTATTTATTTATTTATTTATTTATTTATTCTGAGATGGAGTCTTGCTCTGTCGCCCAGGCTGGAGTGCAGTGGCACAATCTTGGCTCACTGCAACCTCCTCCACCCCGGTTCAAGTGATTCTCCTGCCTCAGCCTCCCGAGTAGCTGTGATTACAAATGTGCACCACCACGCCCAGCTAATTTTTGTATTTTTAGCAGAGACAGGGTTTCACTATGTTGGCCAGGCTGGTCTCCAACTCCTGATCTCAAGTGATCCACCTGCCTAGGCCTCCCAAAGTGCTGGGATTACAGGTGTGAGCCACCGCACCTGGCCTATTTATTTACTTTTTTTGAGAGAGCCTCACTCTGTTGCCCAGGCTGGAGTGCAGCGGTGTGATTTTGGCTCACTGACACATCCGCCTCCCAGATTCAAGCGATTCTCCTGCTTTAGCCTCCCACTAGCTGGGACTACGGGCTCAAGCCACCACCACACCTGACTAATTTTTGTATTTTTAGTAGAGATAGGGTTTCTCCATGTTGCCCAGGCTGGTCTTCAACCCCTGACCTCAGGTGATCCACCCGCCTTGGCCTCCCAAATTGCTGGGATTACAGGTGTGAGCCATGGTGCCAGCCCAGGCCATCTCTACTAAAAATACAAAAATTAGCCAGGCATGGAGGCAGGTGCCTGTAATCCCAGTTACTCAGGAGGCCAAGGCAGGGAGAATAGTTTGAATCCAGGAGGCAGAGGTTGCAGTGAGCTGAGCTTGCACCACCGCACTCCAATCTGGGCGACAGAGCAAGACTATGTCTCGAAAATAAATAAATAAATAAATAAATAAATAAATAAATAAATAAATAAAAATAAATCTCTTTAAACGGAACAGGCTTTTTCTTGGAGATTATCTGCTCCATCCTCCTGCTGCCAGTGATGGCAGCCACTCCTCAGACCTGTAGTAGGTATGAGCCTTGGGTAATAGCCCTCCTGTCCCCCAGCAGCCATTCTCCCTTTCTTCTTTTAATAATAAAATCCCCAAGTGTTAGCTGGAGCATGGCCACCTGGTTTAGGACTACATTTCCCAGACTCCCTTGCAGCTAGGTGTGTTTGGGTAACCAGATTCCAGCCAATGAGATGCAAGCAGAAGTAATGTGTGCTTCTGGACTCTGCCCATATGAAGGAGTTGACACCCTTTTCTCCCCTTTTCACTGAGTGTAAATGGTTATAGAAACTAGAGCAGTCATCTTAGACCTCAAGATGGAAGCCATGTGTTGAGAATGGTGAAAGCATAGTAAAGAGAGACCCTGGAGCCCTGACATTGGAATGGAGCTGCCACATCTGCCCTGCAGCACTTCTGCTTAGATTTTATGGTAAAGAGAAACAAACTTATTAGGTGCTTAACTTACTATAATTTTGGAATTTGCTTTATTTCTTTCCTTTTGTTTCTCTGAGCAAACGAAAAGCAAATGAGCTAAGGCAGCACCATCCGATATAATGTGAACCACATATGTATTTAAAATCATCTAGTAGACAGCACCACTGCATTCCAGCCTGGGCGACAGAGCAAGAACTTGTCTCAAAAAAAAAAAAAAAAATCTTCTAGTAGACACATTTAAAAAAAAAATAAAAAGAAACAGGTGAAATTAATTTATATTACATTTAACTCCATATTTTCAAAATATTACTTCAGCATGTGAACAATATAAAAATTTATATTAAAGAGATAAAGAGGTCCAGGCTCAAAGGCTCACACCTGTAATCTCAGCACTTTGAGAGGCCAAGGTGGGAGGACCACTTGAACCCAGGATTTTGAAACCAGCCTGGGCAACATAGCAAGACCCCGTTTCTACAAAAATTTTAAAAATTAGCTGGGTGTGGTGGTACGTGCCTATAATCCCAGCTACTCAGGAGGCTGTGGTGGGAGGATCACTTGAGCCCAGGAGTTTGAGGCTGCAATGAGTTACAATTGCACCACTGCGCCCCAGCCTGGGCGATAGAGGAAGACCATGTCTCAAAAAAAAAAAACCAAAAAACAAAAAAACAAAAACAAACAGAAAGAAAAAAGAGAGATAAAGAGTTTACATTCTTTTTTTCATGCTAAGTCTTCAAAATCCAATGTATATCTTACACTCACATCTGAATTGGACTAGCTGCATTTCAAATGCGCAATAGCCACATTTGGCTAGTAGCCAGCGCAGATTAAGGGAATTGCCAGAGGTTGAAACCAATTAGAGATTGAGGACCAGCCATGAGTTAAGAATAATAGTTACAGTAACCACTGTTCCTACTGCTGCAAGGGCCTTTTGGCAGCATTATTCCTTTTCCAGCCAGATGCTTGGCATACACAGAGTGCTCTGGCTTCAGCCCACGAGGAACAACTATGCCTTAGTTTACTATATTGGACCCTGGAGAAGGACTATCTTAGGAAGCAAGTAGGCCCCTAGGAAGATGGAGAAACAAAAGGAAAAGCTAGGGTATGGGTTACCCTCCAATCTCCACTTTGGCTTCAGTCAGAATGGAGTGGACCAGGAAAAACAGTGCAGGTCTGATCACAGAGGTGTTATGTTCAGGGAGACCCAGGGTCATGACATATGCCTCCTGAGCTCCTCTAAAGGATCAGGCTTATCTCATATATTATGTGGCTTAAAGAAAGAACAATGATACCACATGAAGAGTCCATATTTACCAATGTAATATTTATCACCTTATCACTCCCTCATCTGGATAACAAGTCAACTTCTCCACAACCATCACAATCACCTCTTCACTTGTGACCATAATTATTGTCACTATCATTCACTGATACTGCCATCACCCCTAAAATGATTGTTTCTGTTACTCTAGCTTCAATATCACCATGTCCTTCCCCATAACAATAGTTATCATCCTTACTCCTTTTATCCCCTTGGCAACAACCATTAACCATGGCAACACTATGACCACTCATCACCCCATTCCTGCTATTACCATAATTACTGCAATCTCTGTCACTATCAATCTCACTACAACAACAACTTCCACCATCACCATAATAATGAAATTAGGCCCTGCAGCATCTCCACCAGCTCAGTATTGTAAGGACACCCCCAGATCCCTTTTTCCTGTCTAGAAGTCTCCGAGTATACCCAAAATTTCCATCTGGTCAAAATAAGCTCTTGAACCGCTTGTCCCCTTGCAGCCCCCTCACTCAATCATTCTTGCCTCAGGCTCAAGTTTGCATTGCTGTTTGACCTTTTAGATTCTGGACTCCTTGCCTATCCTGACCACAGTCCATTGAAATCTGCACTGTCTTTCTGCCTGCTTGGATGCTCTGGCTTTGGGGCCCTTAGTTGATAACTAACTTGTGGCCACTTAGCTGTAGGCATTCTGCCATCAGTTATAGATGCCTGCCTGGCTGGGCCTGGGGAGCTCAGCAGTGCCTTGCCCTCTCAGGGGGACTAATATCCTGCCAACAGTTTTTCTTGGATTTTTGCTGAGCACAAACAGGCTGGGTTTGTCTAGTTGATCCCTGAAGGCAGGTTGGTCCCTGAAGCCCAAAGGAAGCAAGGAAAGGGTATTTCCTGGCAGGACTTACCAATATAGAAAACCTGTCCTTGTTAGTATAGTGGTGAGTAATAAAAAAGAAAGAAGGCCAGGTGCGGTGGCTCATGCCTGTAATCCCAGCACTTTGGGAGGCCGAGGCGGGCGGATCACAAGGTCGGGAGTTCGAGACCAGCCTGGCCAACATAGTGAAACCCCGTCTCTGCAAAAAAATACAAAAGTTAGCCAGGCATGGTGGCACATGCCTGTAGTCCCAGCTACTCGGGAGGCTGAGGCAAGAGAATCGCTTGAACCTGAGAGGCGGAAGTTGTGGTGAGTCGAGATCATGCTACTGTACTCCAGCCTGGGCAACAGAATGAGACTCCATCTCAAATAAAAAAAAAAAAAGAGAGAGAAAGAGAGTAAAGGAAAAAAAAAATCCTGATGCATGGAAAGTGCCACAGGAAGGAGAAGAGGTTAGGGGCAGGAGATAAGCTCTGCTCCCCTCCTGGCTTGTCCAGTGGAGATCACAATGGTCTTGTTCTGGCTTATGTATTTTCCAGAAAGGTTATCCCCAGAAAGAATGGAGATACGTTGCTCTTTTGTGGAAGGTGTGCTATAGAGAGAGACCTGGATATCCCACATCTCTTCCACGGACAGTGAGATCTTGGGCTCTGAAGCATTTGGGGAGAGGGACCTCCTCCAAGGTTAGCGATGGTAGTGACCATGTTAGAGGCAGCAGGAACTGTCACCTCTCCCCACCCCTGGACTCTGGCCAAAGCCCCTCCAGTCACTCTCTTGTCCTCTCAGGGATGCATAGGCACCTATGTTTTCTGCAAGCAGTCAACTCCTCCAGTTACACATGGTTTGAGTCCCTGCATGGGGAGAGAAAGGACCCAGTATATGCATCTGGATTGAGTTCAGATCCCAAAGCGCATCTCTTGACCTGATCATGTAATCCAAAAGGAATTGCTCTCCAATCCCCAGATCTGAATAAATTTTACCAGAGTGCTATGGCATGGAGGGGTGAAGTAGGAAGAAGGGAACTGGATTCTTGTTTGATGTTTTGAGGCCAGATTCCTTCTCAATGCCTGGCACAAGGCTCTGCCCAAGGCAGAGACTATCTACAGACAAAATCGGGTTGGAGGCTCCCTGGCATGTGCACAAGGCTGCTTACACTTTGAGGACAGCCCAAATGCTCAGTAGTTACCCCCTACCTCACCTCCAATGCTGGGCAAACGGATGATGGAGTGACCCTGGGAGGTGGCCAGGTGGGAGGGAAACTAGTAGCTTCCGCTTGCCACCACCAGAAGACATAATGACCATAGACATACCAGTTAATAAGCACAACCTCTCCCCACTTCCATCACCAGAGAAAAGGGATACAGTCCTCCCTTTCCCCCTCTTCCTTTCATTCATTTGTTCCATTTTTAATTTAGTGACTACCGTGTGCTGAGCACTGGAGCTTGGTGACCCAAAGATGAATAAGACTCGACTCTTATCCTTAAGGAGCCTGCAGTCTGATCAAGTCATTACTGAGAAGAGAGGAAGGAAAAGATACCCTTGGCCTTTCCAACTTGTCAAGGGTCAACTGAATTCCTGAGCCGGTCCCCCTGAGAGGGCAGTGGGCGAGATTCCAGCAGGTAATGGATGAGCACAGCTATGCCCTGACAGGGACATTGCCTGCAATTGGTTCCAGTCATATATGGAGCCAAACTGCTTTGAAAATTGGGGGGGATGGTGACAGAAGAGAGCAGGCCCACCCCTCCCCCATCCCCTAGGAGCCTAGGGCCCTGTCTTGATCCCCCTTCTGGGAGATGAAACGTGTGGTTTCCCAAAGCTAGGAGCAGAGCAAATATCTTCTGCCTCGGAGGGGTTGGTCTCTGCACAGGCTGGGAACCCCCAGGGAAGCAGCACTGAGGGCCCTAGGAGAGAGGGCAGAGGCCAGAGGCAGGGTACTGCCTGCTCAGAAGGTCAGATTCCAGAGCAAACAGCAAGCTGTCTGCCTTTTCAGACTCTGAAAGGATGGGGGTAGGGGCAGGAAGGGAGGGTGAAAGTTTAGAGCCCCTGTGGGTAGGGAAGGGGCCTCTAGGGTCTGACAGGCACCCCCAGGACACTGTGTCTGCCCAAGTGTTTGCTGAGAAAGTGGAGGCCAGTGCAGCCACCGGTTGAGTGCAGCCACTGGGTCAGCGCAGCGGCCGGGTGAGTGCAGCCCTCGGATTTTGCCCCAATAACCAGAGTCCCATTAGCACAGTCTGAGCAGGGGGCCTGGCAGAGCACTTCGCCCTCCTCTGTCATTTAGCGGGGAAACAGTTCACACAGGGACAACTACCATCTTGAGTCTCTTCTGTCAACTGCCCTGTGGTCTCTCTGGCCACACTGGGACAGAGCATCACTCCAGTAAACCCTCTGAGCTCATTTCCCTAGCTGAGCAGGTTCCCGCCTCTGTTCCTAGAGCACCAGCATGAGTGAGCCTCAGGAACCACCCCAGATTTTAGGAGTTAGGAGTGGGTCTAGCTGTGCTGATGGCCACCTGGGGCTCTGGTGAACTCTAGCCTCCTCCCATCCGCCCATCGAGGGCATCGTCAGGCCTCTGTGCTGAGCCATTTGCCTCCTGCTCTGCCCCAAACCTGTTCAGCCCCCAACATTCTCACTTTCCTGTCCCCTTCATGCTTCTTAGGTCATTTCTCTCTGCTTCTGCAAACCTCCCTGCCAAATGTTCCCCCACCCCAAACCGACCCTTTTCATCTCTATGTCCCCCCGTGTACACCTCTCTCAAAATGCAGGGCCACGGGGCCCTCCTTCTTAGGGACTAGGCCATGCCTAGGGGTAGGGCTGCTGTGGCATTAGTGACAAAAACTGCTATGTCTACCCACGTAAATCACATAAATATACAAGCAGGGGCCAGGCGTGGTGGCTCATGCCTATAATCCCAACACTTTGGGAGGCTGAGGCGGGTGGATAACTTGAGGCCAGGAGTTCAAGACCAGCCTGGCCAACATAGTGAAACCCCGTCTCTACTAAAAATACAAAAATTAGCTGGGGGGGTGGTGGTGCACGCCTGTAATCCCAGCTACTCAGGAGGCTGAGGCAGGAGAATCGCTTGAACCCAGGAGGTAGAGGTTACAGTGAGCCGAGATCTTGCCATTGCACTCCAGCCTGGGCAACAGAGTGAGACTCTGTCTCAAAAAAAAAAAAAAAAAAAAGCAAAAATTAGCCTAGCATGGTGGTGCAGGCCAGCTACTTGGGAGGGTAAGGCTGGAGAATTGCTTGAACCCGAGAGGCAGAGGCTGCAGTGAGCTGAGATTGCGCCACTACACTCAAGCCTGGGCGACAGAGTCAGACCCTGTCTCAAAAAAAAAAAAAAAAAGAAGCCGGATTGGTGGCGTGAACCCCAGTGTGGAGCAAAAAAAAAGGGCTGGCCCTGGGACAGGCCTGAAGAACATGGACCGGGTTCTCTCCTGAGAAGTGCTGCCAAGGCCTGTCTAATCGCAGGTGCCTGTGGCCCAGCTACTATCCAAGTGTGTCCCTTCCAAATTCATGTGGAACCCTAATCTCCACTGTGGTGGTAATAAGAGGTGTGGCCTTTGGGAGGTGATTAAGACTCGAGGGCTCTGCCTTCATGAGTGGGATTACTATCCTTAGAAAAGAGGCTGAAGGGAGCTCTCTAGCCCTTCCCCCGACATAAGGATGCAGCAAGGAGACATCAGGCTGGGCGCGCTGGCTCATGCCTGTAATCCCAGCATTTTGGGAGGTGGAGGTGGGCAGATCACTTGAGGTCAGGAGTTCAAGACCAGCCTGGCCAAAATGGTGAAACCCTGTCTCTACTAAAAATACAAAAATCAGCTGGGTGTGGTGGTGCGTGCCTGTAGTCTCAGCTGCTTGGGAGGCTGAGACACATGAATCGCTTGAACCTGGGAGGTGGAGGTTGCAGTGAGCCGAGATCTTGCTACTGCACTCCAGCCTGGGTTACAGAGTGAGACTCCGTCTCAACACAAAAACAAAAACAAAAAAGAAGAAGACATCATCTTTGAAGCAAGACCTTACCAGACACTGAATCTCTTGGCGCCTTGATCTTAGACTTCCCAGACTCCAGAACTGTAAGAAATAAATTTCCAGGCTGGATGCGGTGGCTCATACCTATAATCCCAGCACTTTAGAAGTCAGAGGTTGTACACATAGCTTAAGCCCAGGAGTTTGAGATCAGCCTGGGCAGCCTGTATCTCAGAGAAACCCCGTCTCTTAAAAAAAAATACAAAAATGAGCCAGGCATGCTGGCATATACCTGTAGTCCCAGCTACTTAGGAGGCTGAGGTGGGAGGATGGCTTGGGCCTGGGAGGCAGAGGTTGCAGGTGAGCTGAGATTGCACCACTGCACTCTAGCCTGGGTGACAGAGCAAGACCGTGTCTTAAAAAACAACAACAACAACAACAGCAACAACAAGAACAAAACAAAAAAAATTCCCTTGTTTCTAAATTACCCAGTTTAAGCTATTTTGTTAAAGCAGCAGGAGCAGATGAAGCTGTCTTCATCTGCTCCTCCCAATTCCCAGAACTCTTCTCAGGACCTCAAACAGGCCTGGACAATGAATCAGGAGAACATCTAGGGTGGAGTGGGGAAGGATTTGACCCCTTGCTGTTTCTCCAGCCAGTAAACCCAATCTCACTGCTCCTGCCACTCTTGCCCAAACACAGTGCAAAGAGGGAGCTGGTCTCCTTCTCAAATGTCCTCCTGTCTCCAGGCCATGTCTGTCTGTAGCCTATCTGGGGCTGAGGGCTTAGCAAATAGGAGAGGAGCTGGGCACAGTGATTCATGTCTGTAATCCCAGCACTTTGGGAGCCCAAGGTGGGAGGATCACTTGTGTCCAGGAGTTAGAGACCAGTGTGGGCAACATAGTGAGACCATGTCTCTACAAAAAAGAAAAAAGGCCAGCCATGGCGGCTCACACCTGTAATCCCAGCAATTTGAGAGGCTGAGGCAGGCGGATCACCTGAGGTCAGGAGTTCAAGACCAGCCTGGCCAACATGGCGAAACCCTGCCTCTACTAAAAATAGAGATTAGCCGGTCATGGTGGCATGTGCCTGTAATCTCAGCTACTTGGGAGGGAAACCCTGTCTCTACTAAAAATACACAAATTAGCCGGACATGGTGGCGTGTGCCTGTAATCTCAGCTACTCGGGAGGCTGAGGCTGCAGAATCACTTGAACCCAGGTGGCGGAGGTTGCAGTGAGCTGAGATAGCTCCACTGTACTCCAGCCTGGGCTACAGAGCAAGACACCATCAAAAAAAAAAAAATAAAATAAAAAAACTAGCCTGGCATGGTGGCATGTGCCTGTGTTCCCAGCTATTCCGGGGCTGAGGTGGGAGGAGGGAGGATCACTTGAACCCAGTGGGCAGTGAGCCATGATTGTGCCACTGCATCCCAGCCTGGGCAACAGAGTGAGACTGTCTCAGGAAAAAAAAAAAAAAAAAAAAAAAAAGGGAAACAGGAGAGGGAGGTCTTCTGGGAATGACAATGACACTCACTCACAGGCACACACATCCAGCGAATGCACACGGACGCCCTGGCTCAGGTCCACACTTCTATATGCCTGTGCACTCACACTTGTATGTGTGCACCCTGTCTTATCCATTCAGTCATCCAACAAATATTCATGGAGCAACCGCTCTGCCCCAGGCACCGGGCTAGGAGCCGGTGTGACAACAATGAACGAGACAGACCTAGACCAGTGGTCCCAGCCTCCATGGAGCTTACAGCCTAGCAGGAGAGAGATACATATATTAAATGAATATTTACACAAAATTGTTAAAGACAGTCAAATCATAATAAGGGTCATGGTAGAGAAAATTTCACTGGACTCTAAGAGAGCAGGGGCTCCACACAGGGTCTTCACTTAGAGTTACGCAGGCTGCACCACACAAGAGGGCTCCAGGAGAGCATGACCAGTGTCTGTGTCTTTGTGACAGAAGGGGTGCCTCTTTTTAACTCTCTCAAAGCCATCTCCTGCGCTGGCGGTGTCCTGAGGTGGCGGTGGCTAGCTTAGTCTGGGGGTCAGTTTCACATCTACTATCCCGCATGCTCAATCTCATAAGGTCTCAAGCCCAATTTCAGGATCAATCTTGCTTTCATACAGAGTATTGCAGAACACCCTATCGTACGCTCGCACAATCATCCACACTGCTCGACATCACACACAGGCTCCAACACCCTATTACAGACATAGCTTTCACATACACTTGAGGATGCTCACAATCACACGAAGATCCTCACACACGTACTGTCACATGCATACACAGCCTCGCGAAAGTCACACATAAGCCTTCATATCCCATCACACATGCGGTTCCTTACACACCACATCACCCGTATACCCTTTGCTTCATTACAGCCACACACAGTTCCTCACACTCTGTTACACACACACACATGCGCACACACAGTCTCTCGTACACGCAGACGGTCACGCTCCTGTTAGGCTTCTGGAGACAGGCATGTGCAGACCCTGATCACAGCTAAATGTCAGCGAGTCCCTCTCCTACCAGTTAGAGATGAATTGTTGCTCGGGAGATATTTCATCCTTAATGCCTCCTGCTTGAACTGGAGCATGCATCTCGGGGAGGTTACGTTTCTCCCGATCCGTCTGCTGTCCCCCGGCTGGCTCAGGGAGCTGCCCTCCTGCCTCTCAGCTTTCACGAGGGGAGAGGAGAGCTCCCCCTCTCCTTACAGCCTCTGCCCAACCCAACCCTTCCCTCCGGCCAGCTCAGCTCCAGGAAAAAGACCAAAGCCCAGGCAGCCGCCCAGTCCCCCTTCCCAGCTCCCAGCTTAGGAGATGTCCCCAGAGCCCAGGGGCCATAGCCTGGCCACACCCAACCCCTACCCCAGCTGCTAACTGCAGTCCGGGCCAATACAGACTCCGTGGCTTAGAGAAGAGTTGAGGATAGAGAGATAGGATGTGGTATCGAGAAGCCTGGCATTGAGAGACAGCCACTCTTAAGAGTTGGTCTGCACCCACATCCCTCCTTGTCATAAACAAAACCAACAAAAAGCATGATTGATGCCAATATGAGGGTAAATTAATACAACCTTTCAGGAGGAAAGTTGGGTAAGAAGTATCCCCAGCCTCCACAAAGTATACCCCCTTATCCCTAGCAATGTCTAGGACGGTATTGTAAGGAAATAAACAGGAATAGTCCAGACGATTTAACTTCAAGGGGCTCATTCCTGCCTTGTTTATAAGAGTGAAAAATTGGAAACAACCTAAACATCCCACAGTAGGGATTGGCAATGGTACAACCATCAACAGAATACCATGTAGCCATTAAAATGATGGCGTGGAAGAATGTTTAGCATCATTGAAAGACATTCACAATGTAACGTTGAGTAAAACAAGCAGGTTGCAGAACAGTATGTATACTAAATGCAATGTGGTAGCCTGGATTGGATCCTGGAATAAGAAAAGGACATTAGTGAGAAAACTACCGAAAGCCAAATAAAATCTGAAGTTCAGTCAATAATAACATACCAATGCTGATTTCTTAACTCTGATAAATATACCTTGGTAATGTAAGATGTTAACATTAGGGGAAAGTGCATAAGGGATGTATGGAAACCCTGTACTAGCTTTGCAAGTTTTCTGTATATCTAAAATTATTCCAAAATTACCAAAATTCCAAAATGGTTTATTTTTAAAACCATTATGTCTATATAATGTAATCCTCATTTTGGTTTTTAAAAAAGCATGTATAGCCCTTCCTCCATGTGAAGACACAGCTAGAAGCCTCCATCTCCGAGAAAAGGCCCCTCCCAGGCACAGTGGCTCATGCCTGTAACCCCAGCACTTTGGGAGGCCGAGGTGGGCAGATCACTTGAGGTCAGGAGTTTGAGACCAGCCTGGCCAACATGGTGAAACCCCGTCTCTACTAAAAATACAAAAATTAGCCGGGCATGGTGGCAGGCACCTGTAATCCCAGCTACTCAAGAGGCCGAGGCACGAGAATCACTTGAACCCAGGAGACAGAGGTTGCAGTGAGCTGAGATTGTGCCACTGCACTCCAGCCTGGGCAATAGAGCGACACTGTCTCAAAAAAATTAATAAATAAAAGAAAGAAAGAAAGAAAGAAACAAAGAAAGACAAAGGGCCCTCACACAACACCAAGTCTGCCAGTGCCTTGATTAGAAAGGATACCTGTATCAAGATCTGGGAGAGTATTCAACAACATATTACCATTGGTAATTTCTGAGGAGTAGGATTACGGGCCATTATTTTAATTATTTGAATGTTCTTTGTGTTTAATAAAGGGACATATACCACGTGCATGAATACAAAGGAAATCAAACCCGAATGTCACTAGGGATGCTGAGATTGGCTTCATGCCCAGCCACCCCAGCCAGCCTCCTTTGCCCCCCAGCATGGGGTTACTGAAGACCTGAAGGTCTTGAGCTATTCTGGACAGGATCTTTCACTTCCTGTCCAGCCACTAATTGGCATGACCCTCACTCCCTTCACTCCTTGGAAACTCCAGAATTTCAGGATCTGAACTTCTCTTATTTGAGCCCAATCCCTTATCTTCTCACCTCATTCATTCCTGTTGACTTGCTCTGTAGTCCCTGAAACTGTCTGCTTTCTCCCAGTCCCTCACCCCCATTCTGGCTTTACTTTCTCCCTTCTTACCCTGGTTCTGTATCAGCCACTTCAACCCTGTGCTTGCTTCCATCCTGCCCACCCTGCTCCAGCCCTAAGCAACACCATCAATTACTTTTCTGGCTCCCATTCCTGGGCACTCTAGAGCAGGTGAAAAAACTGACTCATTCATGCTGCCTCAACTAATTCCTTGTCACCATGTGGAAAACACTTTCTCTGCATCTGTAAGTGACTCCCTGTTACAATTCCACAACCACTACAGGCTTCCTCCATGAGCTTTCAACTCCCTGCTCTCCTCTCTTAGAGGACTGTCCCTCTTACTTGACCAAAAATATGGAGCCCATTCTTCAAACAATGTGCCCCACTCTACTTGTCCCCAAACCTGCCAGTCCACCTCAGAATCTCCCTGGATCATCACTTATCCTTTCTTCTCTCCTGTCTCTGAGGAGGAAGAGTTCCTTCTTCTTACCAAAGACTCAACATCTCGGGTGCCTTTCCAGAACTTTCTCCATCAAGCATCTTCTCCTATACCTTGTCACTCTTGGTTCTCCCTCCCTCCTTTCTCCTGGACTTTTTGTTTTTATTTATTTATTTTTTAATTTCAATTTTAACTTTTTCAGGCAGGGTCTCTCTCTGTCGCCCAGGCTGGAGTGCAATGGTGCCATCTGGGCTCACTGCAGCCTCCACCTCCTAGGCTCAAGTGATTCTTGTGCCTCAGCCTCCCAAGTAGCTGGGACTACAGGCACATGCCACCATGCCTGGCTAATTTTTTGTATTTTTGGTAGAGACGGGGTTTCACCATGTTGCCCAGGCTGGTCTCCAACTCCTGAACTCAAGTGATCCTTCCGCCTTGGCCTCCCAAAGTGCTGGGACTACAGGCATGAGCCACCACACCCGGCCTCTCCTGGACTTTTTGAATGAGTAATCGCCGTAATCACCTCTAGTTCTTTGCCATTCAACTCTTCATTCAATATCCCCACCACACTGTAGTCTCTTACAGTCGTCTGCGACCTCCAAATAACCACCCACTGGCCTATTACTCTGTCTTCCTCACTGATTGATCTGCACAATTTGATACTAATTCCCTCCTAAAAAACTTCTATTTGGGAGATTGAGGTGGGCGGATCACTTGAAGTCAGGAGTTTGAGACCAGCCTGGCCAACATGGTGAAACCCCGTCTCTACTAATAATACAAAAATTAGCCAGATATGGTGGTGTGCACCTGTAATCCCAGCTACTCAGGAGGCTGAGGCAGAAGAATTGCTTGAACCTGGGAGGCGGAGGTTGCAGTGAGCCAAGATCGCACCACTGCACTCCAGCCTGGGCAACAGAGCAAAACTGTGTCTCAAAAACAAAAACAAAAACACAAAAAACCCAAAACTGCCATGATCTCCAAGCCACTCACTCCCCTTCATTTCCTCCCTACTTCCCAACCACTCCTTTTTAGTCTCCTCTGACTTCTTTCCTTCCTCCAACTTCCTAAATATAGGGATCTCCCAGGATTCTGTTTCCAGTCTTGAACTACCATTCCCTCTCTCCAGCAAGCTCATCACTTCCCTGGTTTCAACGAGCTATCTGCTTGGAAGAATCTCTAACTGACAGCTTCTGACTTCCACTCTGGAATGTCCAACTTCCTGTTGGGCATGTGTGAGTGAACGTCCCTGGAGCACCTCAGACTCATCGTAAACATAATCATGATCTCTATCCCCTAACCCTAACAAGCCCTGCCTCCAGACTTCCACCTGCTTTCAAACAATCAAGCCTGGCCAGCCATGGTGGCTCATGCCTGTCATCCCAGCACTTTGGGAGGCTGAGGGAGGAGGATTGCTTGAGCCCAGGAGTTTGAGATCAGCCTGGGCAACATAGTGAGACCCTGTCTGTATTTAAACAAACAAACGAACAAACACACAAACAAACGAACAAAGAACAATCAAGTTTAACACCTAGGAGTCATTGGACTTCACCCTTCTCCTTCCTTATTTCCCAAGCCCATTCACCCACCAGGTCTGGCCAACTTTCCACTAGCCTCAGCTCTTGCCCACGCCCCTTTGTGTTCTGTCCTCTCTGCCTGCTCTGGTTCTGCCCTTCCTTACCTGAACTGTGGCAATACCCTCATCCATGACCCTCCTGCCTCCAATCTTGTCCCACTCATGCTATGTCCCACTCATGCTATTCCTACCATAGCAACAGCCCATAGCCCCTAAAGCTAGGGTGACCATATACTTTAGTATTCAAACCAGGAGGAGTGAAAGGAGGATCTGTAAAATAATAATAATTTAAAATAAAAAAACAATGTCAGAGGAACAGCAGGCATAAACTGGAACTACCTTGGGCATATGGTTATCCGAACTAAAGCATGTGCCTGATCACATCCCTCTCCAGCTCAGAGACCTTCCATGACCCCCACTGAATTCAGTTCAGACTCCTTGTGCTGGCATTCTAGTCCCACCTTTCCAGCTCTGTTCTACCTCTCTCTCCTAGTTTATACAGAGGCCTTTGAACATGACTCATGCAATCCTACTCTTGTGCCTGTGTTCATGCTGTTTCCTCCTTCAGAAACTCCTTGGCTCCAACTCTGCCCCTCAAATCCTATTCTTATTTCGAGACTCAAACCACAAACTATCCTCCATGAAGCCTCCTCTCATCCTCTTTTTGCACCTCACATTTCTTCCTGTAACCATTCGCATTTCCTCCTTACTGTATTATTTCTGTGCTTTGCTCTTTCAAAGATGCTGATTGGTGACTGCACATGGCTCCACTCCCAGCCAGCTCTTTGGCTGGGCAGCTGTTTACAATGTGTCCTGGCGTTAAAAGATGAGCTGGGCCAATCCGATTTCCTCTCCTGGGAATTTGAACTATGAAATACTGAGAGACTAGAGCAGTTAGCAGAGGTGATGTAGAGAGAGACTCAGAGAGGCCGGCTGGTCAAATGCAAGTCACGGTTATGAGAAATTATGAGGAAACCCAGGAAGCTCTCGGTGCTGCACGGGGGTCAGAAGCAGTTATGAGCTGGAGCTTGGGAGGCTGACCTGAGTGAGAATCCTTACTCTGCCACTTCCTGGCTTGAACCTGGAGCAGCTTACCTAACCTCCTTGAGCCTCGGTGTTCTCATATGTAAAATGGGGGTAATGATATTAACTAACTGCACGGTGTTCTAAAGAGGATTAATGGAGATAAGCATGGAAATCAATAGATCTGGCTCAGAATTTGTTAACAATTATTCTTCCTCCACTTATTATGATAATAATTATTAATTTCATTAATAATAATGAAGAAAGAGATAAAGAAGAAAGAGACCCTGTGGGGTTCCCTTCCACCTGACCAGGAGAGAGAAGTTGGTCCCCAGAGCTTCTTTGGTCCCTGCGTGCTTTCTGGGCCCAGTTCCAATGACAAGCCGTGTTTTTCAATACAAAAGGCCTTCCTTTTTCTTGTGATTACTCAAGTGAACCTCTGTTTCTTGCAAACAGAAGGACCCCTGCCCAGACCCCTGTCTTCCTCTCATGTCTGGACTTGAGCTTCTCGAAGTCCAGCACAATAGTCTGTCTACCTCAGTATCCTGCCTGGGCGTTGAAGACAGCTGATGCCCAATGCTTGGTAAATAAAAGAATGAATGAATGAATAAGGTTCCAAAGCCTTTGTGGGGAGCCTACAGAAATGCTGTTTTTAGGAGACTCAGAAGTCCATTGGGTAGACGGTTAGGGGAGAGTTCGTTGACAGCCCTGTCCCTCAACGCAGGACAGAAGGCAGGCCAGGACTGGAGCACTCTGGACCACTTGCCTACACCCTGCTAGGACTTTCCTTCCCTGTGGCACCAGGATAAGGGGCAGAAGGTGACAGAAGGGCCAACTGGGGGAAGACACCTGCTGGGTCAGGTTGCCAGCCTGCTGAAACAGGGTTAGGCCTGCCCCCTCCCCTGCCCAGCCTCATCCCCTCCACTCCTTCTCCCAAATCCCAGACCCCAGTTCCACTCACATCTTTTCAGACACTTCCCTTCACCATGTTTTCTTACCATGTCTTTGCTCATGCCATCCCTTCCCTTTCCGATGCCCTTCGCCCTCACCTCCCATGAAAACTCCTACCTGTCTTTTAAAACCCAGCTCAGAACCAGCCCCCTACTGGAATCTTCCTTGGATCTCTCAGGCAGTTAAATGCTCTTCTTCTGTGCTTCCGCAGTCTTTTTGGAGATTTTATGGGCCCCAGTTCATTGCTCCAATTACCCGTGTACTTGTCTGTCTTCCCCCAAAAAGGTCTCAAGGACAGGAATTGTGTCTTATTCATCATTGTGTCCTCAGTGCTTAATAAAAGTCTTAGCTCACAGTAGGCTTTCACTAAGTGTTTGTTGACTGTACAAATATAATAATAGATTAATCCACAGTTTCTCTCAGCTCTGGGATCCCTGGCTCCTGCTGTTTTCTCTTCTTCTTAGGCTGTCTTGGGCATTTCTTGAAGCCTTTCACAGTCCTGTGACTATTTCTCAATGGCATCACTACCCACCCCCAGTCCTGAGCAATGTCTGCTGTCCATAACACAGGACACTACAGGGCTATAGATCCAAAGCTTCTTGAAGCTAGAGATCTGGGAGTTAGGTCCTGAGCAAGGACCACAGGAGAATGAGGACACAGTGGAGTGAGTTGGCACCTTGATGTACTCATTGGCCATGTGGGGTCTGATGAGTGGTTTCAGGCTCTCCCTCCCAGGTAGGCCTCTGACCAGGCTCCAGGCATGGCTGCCACTTGCCTGACCTCCTACCTCCCCAGGCCGATGGCTGAGCGGCTGGCGGAGGCTGCACTGGGCCAGCCTGAGCAGACAGCCTTGCGCAATTGCTGGCTCCAGGCCTCCCAGCCCAGCTTGTAGCTCCCCCCAGAGTGACGGGATTGATTGGCTGCAGCCGGAATGGGCACCAGTCTCCCTGGCTTGGACAGAAACGGGGCCATCTGTTACACCTCTAGTTAAAAGTACATAAAGTTGAGCATTTGTGCGCCGACAATACCACCCCTGACACCCTCCACGCGGCACAGCGCTCCGGCTCCTTGGCAGGCTTGCGCCCCGCGACAGGCCGGCGCAGTAACGCCTACACGCTGGCTCGTTTGGCACTGCTGCAGGCACCATGGCTCCACCCTCCAGAGGCCTGCCCCAGCTGGGTCTAGCCTAAAATCTCAGATCCCACCTGTATTAGAGAATAAAAGGGAGGATTGAGGGGTGTGAAGGTGTATATTGGTAGGCAACACCTGTTCCAGCTCAGGGTGCTTGCTGGGCTGCAGATAATGCCAGGCTTCAGGCTGTGATTTGGGAGGACCCAAGACAGCTGCTCATGCCAGTCCTGGAGGGCAAGTCTCAGGCAGACCCAAGTTGCTCCTGTGCTTGGGTCAGATCTCTGGTTTCCTGGACTAAGCCAATTAGAAGAGTCCACTTTGTTTCCCAATAAGATCATGCCCCTTGAGTTTGGAGTCCCCAAGGCATCCTGTTACAGCAGCTAATGGGACTGCCCTAGACAAGACTGGGTCCTGAACTTTGCCCCTGCTTTCTGAGTTCTAGGCTTTGGTTTCTAGGCTCTAGGATGTGGATTCTGATTTCTGAACCCCATTTTCTGTTCTCTGGGTCTGGGCCTGGAGATTCAAGGCATTCCACAAATGCCTTTTCCTACTTGTCTTCTTCTGGTACTCTAGCCAGGCTAGCCTGCCTGCTCCCCAAAATGATTGTGGCCATTCCTGCCTCTGTCCCGTTGCTCTTGCTCCCCATCCAACCTAGGATGGTCTATTTCTTTTCTTCTTCTTCTTTTTTTTTTTTTTTTTTTGAGATGGAGTCTCACTCTGTTGCCTAGGCTGGAGTGCAGTGGTGCGATCTCGGCTCACTGCAACCTCTGCCTCCCTGGTTCAAGTGATTCTCTTGCCTCGGCCTCCCAAGTAGCTGGGATTACAGGCATGTGCCACCACACCCAGCTAATTTTTGTATCTTTAGTAGAGACGGGGTTTCACCATGTTGGCCAGACCAGTCTCAAACTCCTGGCCTTAAGTAAACCTTGGCCTCCCAAAGTGCTGGGATTACAGATGTGAGCCACCACACCCGGCAAGAATTGTCTATTTCTTCCCTCCAACCACTCAATTCTTCTCATGCTTCAAGGACTAGCTCTAGTCTCAGCTTTGCCAGCCAGGCTTCTCTGGCTATAGGCCCTTCTCTGCTCTGATCTGCAGAGGCTTCCCTCACCATCTGAATGGTTTCTTAAGAGATTTGTCCAGTATGAGTCTTGAGATCCTTCTGCACAGGCAGAACCTGGGCTGGCCCTTGTCTTATCCACAAACTAGCAAAGGGCTAGGCATGTGATGTCAGGGGAGGCTCTAGACATGCCCACTTGAACTCAGCTCAGCTGTAGAATAAGGGGGATAATGACTGCAGAGGTGGTTCTTGTTCCCCCAGTGGCCACCCTAGTGGCTCTGTCGGTCACAGCCCGGAAAGCAGATGGCCAGGTAGGCAGACAGCTTTTAGACACTGGTTTACTCATGTGTTTGTTTGATACACATTTATTGAACAGCTTCTATGTGCCCCAGGCCCGTGGTCAGCATGGAACAGGAGAGGGAATCATTTAAAAAAATGTGATTAGACACAGTCCCTGCCCTCAAAGTCTTATCCATTAGTATAAGACTATAAGTCCACAAATAATGACAATGCATCAAACCAACAAAAATCAACAGAAGTGCTCTTTGTCTTATGCAACAATGGACTCTTGGAGCTGGAAAGGACCCCAAAGTCAGAGACTCTGATATCCCATATTCAGCTAAAACATATTTATATACATTAAATGAAACAATGTGATGACAGCTTTTACTTGACACAAAGTGATGGTCAAATGAGGACAATATTGGTGATGACAATAAGACCGTGATTATTTTCCTTCTTAGCAAGCGCTAAGCCCTGCTTGCATACTCCATGTGTTGGGGGAAGCTCATTCCATTGTTTCCACTTTGATCCTTCAGAAAGCCATTCTCAAGGATGAGCTGAAATCAGCCTCCCTGTCCCCTCTCAGCAGTTCACTGGACTTGATTCTAACTCCCAGACCACACAGTAGAGCTGGGACTAGGGTGAGGCGAGTGAGATGCCCACGGCACAAAACCTAAGGGATCACACACAGAGCTGAGAGCAGATGCCTTCCTTAAATATGGCACCTCACATGCCTCACCCTAGTCCTAGCCCTGCCACACAGTCTGTGCCTCCTCCCCAGCCAGCCCCAGGGGGGAACTGTCAGATTTCTCAAGTAACTTAAGTCTCCAAAGGAGCTCTGACCAGCAGCCTACAGGATGTGTGTTGAGCTTGTGCAGCCCCCACTCCCAGGGATGGGGTGATGGGGGCAGAGGAAGACTGAGATTCCTAGGAGAGTATGGATTCTAGCCAGGGAGACTCACCTGCCCACTTCAAGCCTGTCCTGCATGACTCCTTCTGCCTGGCTTTGCCTGGTTACAGCCAACTCCCTCTCCCCTACAGCACAGGTACAAGCAGCCTAAGTAAGAATGGTGTGCCCAGATCTGGGCCCTATAAGAAGCCAGGTGGTGGGCTCTGAAAGACACTGAGCAGTGGGCCTGGATATAGAAAGTAATGAGGGTGTTTCTCCTTCCCATGGGCATCTCCAGGTAGGGATGTGTGTGTGTGTGTGTGTGTGTGTGTGTGTGCGCGCGCGCGTGTGTAGAAGGCAGAATGTAAGGTTTACAGAAAAACCCTGGAGAATGGGGGCGGGGAGGGGCATGGAGTCTGGAAGACAGTGTGACCAGCTACACTACTTCCTAGTTTGTTCACCTCAAACAAGCCACGTGATCTTTGTGAGCCTCAGTTTGCTAGCTGTAAAACTGGACTTAAAAAGACTATTTTCCTACCTAGAGGGAGGATTATGAGAGGGCCAACTGTGACAGGCCGAGATCCTGACTAGGTTCAGCTGTCTTCGTGGGCTGGGGTGAGGCCCAGGCATGCCGAAACCTCCTGGGTTCTGCCCAAACTGGAGTTGCACCCTGTCTGCTCGCCTGGGGTCCAGCTCGCTCTGTGTTGCCTGAAACCACTCCTGCAGCCTCTCTATTTCTCTCTGGCCCTCATTGATCCTGACCTTACAAATTCTCGATTTTTTCTTTCCTGTTTAAAAAATCCTGTCCACCTTCAAGGCATCTTCGGCCTCTCAAGATCCCTGAGAGGGAGGCAGTGATGGAATTCTTCCCATTTTCATAGATGCAAGCCAAGGCCCACAGCGGATTCGAAATGCAGGGTGTGGCAGGGGAGAGGAAGGGTGCTTGAATTCGGCTCTTCCAAACCCCTCCTCCCAGGCTGGCGGCCGAGAGGTCACAGAGAGACGCGCTAGGATGGGCGTGGGGGCTTCAAGGCGCAGGCGAGAAGGGCACCCAGGGCGTTGGACCCGCGCGGGGAGCGCGGCGGCCAGGGCCTACGCTTCCCGCGACCCGCCGGCAGCAGGCGCTGTGGCAGCGGCGCCCTCAGTCCAGGAGCATTAACTTAAGGATAGCTCACACTAATATCCCTGGCTGTGTGGAAACAGCGTTTTATTAAATGCTTCACACAGATTTGGTATAATAAAGATGAATATATTATATCCTTTGCCTCCCCCAGAGTGAGACAATAATAAGGGAGGAGGAAAAAAAAACTATAAAATGAAACATAAATACAACGTAATGGGACTTGGGGAGAGGGACCCGTGGCCTGTCCGGGCCGCCACAGGCGACCCCACCGCTGGCACTGGGGACGGGGTCACCGGGAGCCGGACTCCAGTCCCTCCTTGCCCAGCCAGAGGGTCCCAGGCCCTGGCTTCCACTCTGCTGCCCTGCAGGAGGAGGACCCGATCTCAGAGAGAGGCCCCTACAGAGGGAGAGAGTGGGGGACTGGCTAGGGCTGCTGTGGGTCCCGGGCTGGGGGTGCGCCCTCTTCCCCCAGCCCCTTCTCCCGTTAGGTCCAGGACTGCCGCTTGGGGACTAGGCCCCACAGGACAGACGCTTGAGGAAAAACAGATCCAAGAGCGATGGCTGCTCCCTTGGCCTGGGGAAGGCTGCCCTCGCCTCCTCGCCCCAGGGGCTCTCCCATAACATGCGGAAAGTTCCTCTTTAGGTCTTACTTCTATCTTTCTCCGGGCACTGCCAAAATCGTTTACCTGAAAATAAGAATTTCAAAGCTTTCCTAGGGCAGAAAGAAAGGAACGCCTGGAGATTCAGCCCAGCTCCTCTCGGCTTAGGTCACTCCAGGCCCTGCGAGGGCTGGATTCACCCGTCTAACGTCAGACTGTGTGGCTTAAACACAAGAGCCGCTCCAAACCCCATCTGCGTTCGAATCCCACCTGTGATGCTGGCCAGAGCATCGCGACCTTAACCTCAGTTTCTTCTTTGGCAAAATGGAGACATGGTGAGGATTGGAGGGAAGGTTTCTAATGCCTGGCACCCCATCGGCTGTAAAAAATAAAAATAAAAATAAAAAGTTATCAGCTGCTCCCAAAATACTCGTTAAAACAAACGGCCATTTCAGATCTAGAATTCTCAAGAACCTCACTTCCTCCTTAGGTCCCAACACAGGCGACTCCCTTTCTCAAACGAATGAAAAGATTTAGTCTCCCAACACCTTCTCTAAATCTCCTGCCTTTTACCAACGTCAAGACTCAGAGAGGTTGAAAGACTTACCCAGGATCACAGAGCTGGCTGGTGGCAGAGCCATCTGAGGCTAGGGAATCGCCAGCCCACCTCATCTGTCTCTGCGAAGACACCCGAGCTGCCTCTCGGAAGCCGCTCGAGACTCACAGTCCGGGCTAAGGCCACGAGGACGGCAAAGTTAGTCCAGGCCTCTCCCTAGGGGACAGGGCTGTGGCGGGTGGCACCTCACCAAACGAAAAGAAACGAATAGAAAGAAATACGTAGAGGCGGAGGGAAGAGGAAAGGAGACGGAGGAGGAAGAAGAAGATGGGGGAGGGCTGGTGGCCTCCCTGGAGGCTTGGGATCTGGCTATGCGGAATTCCCGTGAAGATCCCTTTTGAGGTCTGGTGCATGCCGGCCCCCGCAGGACTGGCGGAGCCAGGGCGGAGGTCTTGGCCCGAGGCTCGCCGCATAGGTGTAGGGAGGCTGAGTGGGGACAGGAGGGAGCGGCGAAGGAAGGGAGTCGACCTAATTAATGGAAGTGAAGGGGCTGGGGAGGAACTGGAGGGATTGAGCGTTGGTGGGTGTGAGATGGGATGAATGCAATCCCTCAGGATCGGGAACCCAGGGACTTGTGGGAAGTGGGAAGAGCCAAAGGGGCCGGGTTTCGCTCAAACGAAATAAGGTTTCGGAAGTTACGGAGTGTACCTAGGGGGCCGCGGGGAGACAGGGGAGTCTGGTCCTGCAGGAATTGCTTCCACAGGTCCAAGAAAGGCTGGGAGAGGCCCAAGTACGTGGGAGTTCAGAGAGGGCGGAGGGCCCTGCAGCTTCCCTGGCGCCTCACTTCAGGGCAAGGAAAGTCCTGGCCAGGACGAAGCAGCCCGGAGGGATCCCGGCTCTGAGCACAGATCCGAGCCTGGCGTCTTCACTGTGCTTGGAACCACGCCGCCCACGTTCCCTGTGCGGCTGGGCACTGCAGATGCTGGGTTTTCCACAGGTCAGACGTCCGCATCCCTTATTCTGGCTCCGTCTCGCCGCCTGTCTTCCCTTGCCCGGAGTCTCGGGACACCTGAGCGGCTTAGCTGAGGTAGCACTTCCCAGCAGGCGGCCCCCTGACCCATGGGGCCCGAGGGGGTTGGGACCGGGGAGGCTCTCTGAACTCGACCTGGGTAAATCCAGGATACTGGTGGGCGGGGGATCTTCCACCCGACTCCCTTTTCAAGTGCCTTAATTGGCTACTCCCCTCCGCGGGGAATTGGGCGCCGCGCGGCGGCGGCGGCGCTGATGCAACCGGCCCCCGCGCGACTGCTGAATTATTCACGTGCAGTTTATTTATTATGAGAAGCCTGACTCAGGCCTTTCCTGTGTCCATTTAGCCGGGCGGGCGGCTCCTCGGTCTCTTCGTCTGTCCCCACTAGGTCCTTCCACCTTTCCACCTGGCCTAAGCTCAGGCCCCATGCCCGGCCTGCGCCCGGCGCCCCCCGACAGTAGTGAGACCTCTGTGAAAGGGAGGGAGCTGACTACCATTAACGGTTTTTGGTCAGACTTTGATGTTTCTGGGCCGTTTGAGTTAGTAAGACAGAGGGTCAGCTCTTGGAGTTTCTGGGGATGGCAAGGAGAAGGGAACTCCAATTGTAGGCCCAGGAAAGCAGCCTCTCTCATCCCATCCCCACCCCTCACCCCACCCCATAAATAAGTAAATAGCCATCCCAGGAGTCCAGCAGCCCCTGGCTCTAGGCTGCAGACCTGCTGCCGATAAACAAGAGACTAAGGGTTTCACCCTTACCCAGTAGCTCACCGCCAGGACAACAGAGGGAGGAGCTATAGGGAACTCTGGAACCTCTCTTAGGGTGGCATCTTCGGGCTTGTGCTCGGCTGTTCCCTTTGCCTCCAGGATGGTCCCTGCTCCTGCACCTATTTACATGCTCCTGGTTTTACAAAGTTCAACTCAAATGCCACCTCCATCAGGAACAGAACCAGACTCTCCCCCCACACCGCGCCCCCCCCCCCAACACACACACACATGCTCACTTAGGTTCCTTTATCCTCTTCACAGACCCCTGGGCTACTGGAGTGGCGTGTGGGTGTCTGTTTCCTGCCACTCCTGCCTGCCCATCACCTCCCATCTTCTGTCCATTCTTCCTCTCTGCTTCTGGGCCCAACGAATGATGGGGGGGTCAATCCTATTTTCTTTCTTTCCTTTCCTTTTCTTTTCTTTCTTTCTTTCTTTTTTTTTTTTTTTTTTTTTTTTTGACAGCGTCTTGCTCTGTCACCCAGGCTAAAGTGCAGTGGTGCGATCTCGGCTCACTGCAACCTCCAACTCCCAGGTTCAAGCAGTTCTCCTGCCTCAACCTCCGAGAAGCTGGGACTACAGGAGCATACCATAACACCCGGCTAATTTTTGTATTTTTAGTAGAAACAGGGTTTCACCATGTTCACCAGGCTGGTCTCAAACTGCTGACCTCAAGTGATCTGCCCTCTTCGACCTCCCAAAGTGCTGGGATTACAGGCCCAGCCACTGCGCCCGGCCTTAATCCTATTTAAAAAAAAATCCAGCCTGGGCAACATCATGAAACTCCATCCCTACAAAAAATACAAAAATTAGCTGGGCTTGGTGGCATGCTCCTTTGGTCCCAGCTACTTGGGAGGCTGAGGTGGGAGGATCACTTGAGCCTAGCAGGTCGAGGCTGCAGTGAGCCCAGATTGTGCTACTGCACTCCATCCTGGGTGACATAGTGAGACCTCATCTCAAAAACAAACAAAAAAAGCAAATGAAGGAAGTTCATTACTAAGTCAGACCACACCACCACAGCTGGGTCCACAACCCAGGAAACTCACTCCATAGCCAAAAAGCATTAGAGAATGAGGCTTCTGGGCCCCTCTGAGTATATTGGTGTGAGCAGTAGGAGCACCGCACGCATCTGCAGGCAGCTGGCAAAACCAATACACCTACCCCTGGTCCTCTCTCTGAGGCACAGGCTAAGTTCCCTGTCTGGCTCCATTTTTGTCCCTTGTTTATTTATTTAGTTTATTTACTCAACAAATGCTTGGACCCCTTGGTGTATGCTGGGCTGGCATAGGGGCATGGAGAGGTGATTCAGGTCCTTCCTTCCCAAGTTCACAACAGATGGAGAGAGAGAGGCAGGACAGACAGACAAAGCAACACATTCTTGGCAATATGACAGTGACATCCAGGGGAATGTGCTAAGGAGCGCAGAGGAGCTGAACAGGGCAGAGAAGGTTTCCCCCAGGAAATGAGTTGAGCACTAGAGACAGAGCAGGAGGTGCCAGGAAAGGAAGGGACACAAATCATCCCAACCCTTGGATGAGGGGAGCAAAAGCTTGGAACCAAAAGAGAAGGCTGTTCTAGAGGCTGCAGAGAGTGGGCACCCAGGACTTGAGCATCTCTGGGAACTTGTCTCTTCTCCTCCCTTCCTGTCTCTGTCACTCAGTGGTCTGTCTATGTCCCCCAGTACTTCCAAAGGGCAAGCACTCCCCGCTCCTTCCAAGCAGGATTACAGTGCCTGGAGGAGGCTGGTGCATGTGGTATGGTCACCTTGTCACAGTGCTCTGAAGGAATTCAGCTCACAAAAGAAGTAGGGAAGGGGAGAATCAGGGAGGGGACCAAAGGAGTGTCCTGCCCTCAGATGGTGCCCCACGTCTTCCTGCCAGCTGAGGTCCTAAGAGCTGGGTGTGGCCAGAAAAAGCAGGGCAGGTCCAGGAGCAGGCTTGGAGCCCAGCCTGAATTTTGAAGCAGCTGCCTCCCTGCTCCCCAGGCCTGGGAGGAGGCCGCTTCCATCCCCCTTCCCCAGTGGCTTGCCTCCCTTCCCTACAGTGGCCTGATTCCAGCCTTTACCTTTTCTGGATCCCCACCCGCTTTGAGAATCCTGGGTGTTATATAATATTGCTCCCAGAAAAATGTGCCCACCTGGGTACACATATAAATTTCTGAGATTTACAGAGCCCCTGAAGCCCATTCAAAGAGCCCTTGGGGGACCTCTGGTTAAGAACCCCCTGGTTCAGGAATTAAGGGGACAGACTTGAATAAGAAACAAAACAAAACAAAAGGACAGTGTTCCAATCCTGATCACTCCAAAACAGGCTGTGTGACTTTGGATGGGTTACTTAACTTCTCTGGGCCTCATTTTCCTGTTATGTAAAATCGGGGTAAGAGCATAGCTACCTAGAAAGATTGTGAGTAATAAATGAAATGAATAAAACTCTTAGCCTGGAGCCAGGCACAAGGTAAGGGCTTATGGTATTTATTGTCATGGTTATTGTTGCTGTTACTGCAGACAGTGGCCCAGGGCAAAATGTAAAAACCAAGTGGGCAGTCCTGACTTAGCCTGGGTGGCAGGAGGCCGTTTATCATAGTCCACTTCCATAGGAGAAGAAACACTCTGAATTCCACACAGAGTGTCAGAGTAGCAGGTCTTCATGGGACAACAACAACAACAGTAAAATGATCCGCACTGCTGGCCAAGTTAACTTGTTTCAAGCAGTGTCAGACCCTTTTCTCTAAAGGAACTCTGGCCTGAGAGTCAATGCTGGTGCTTATACAAATAATCTGGAAATGAATGGGGGTACCAAAACAATCCAGAGTGAATCCAATGGAGTCTTTGGGGGTTTAAGCGAATTCTTCTCCTGTGTTAAGGTTTAACCTGTTTTGTTTGGGTCTGCAGGGTCCCCTTATTGTGGCAATTCATGAAATGCTGTTTCCCTCTTCTTTGTCTGGAATATTCCCTAAACTGAGGGAAAGCAGATTTTTGGCAGAATGATCCCTTCCCTATCCACTGAGAAAGAATAAACCTGGACCCTGGCTGTTTAAGCAGCAAACAGGAATTGAGGATCATGGTAGCATATAGATTATGCTCTGAAGACAGGTATTCCCTCTGTGGAGCAGACTCTGGGAATCAGCTGCTTTCAGCTCCAGGTGAGAAGATGCTGGCCCAGCTGACTGGGGGTGGGGAGACCCCCAGAGTGTCTGCCTTGCCCCAGCATGGGGGCTCAGTAGGGGATTGGGCAGAAAGATTGGAGCCCAGAATGTCAGGGCTGGCTCTACCCCCACTGACCCTGTGTTACTCATTTCTGGAATCCTCCTAATCTCTAAACTCCTCTGAGGGGCCCAAACCATTCCCCTCCACATTGCACAATCATGTATACCCCATTTGCTCTATGGAAAGTCATTCAACCGATATTCAGCGGGAGCCCGGTGTCTCCTAGGACTTCGAAGGTCCGAGATGAACTGGAATACCCAGAGGAAGGCTCCTGCCCTCAGGTCTGGCAGAGGAGGCAGGTAGGGGTCAGTACACAAACCCAAAACATACCTCATTGCTCTGCAAGAGGGGTACAAGAGGCAAGCGGATTGGGGTCCCAGGAGTCCAGAAGATTCCAGACCCCCACACAATGCGGTTTTTCAGCAGCGAAGGTAGGGGTGGGACCACGGTGTTGGGAAAAGGTTGGTGTAGCAGGTGGGCTGGTTTCCAAAGGTGGCCTGGATAAGGGGATCTGGGTGAATCAAAACAACAAAACACAGGGTGATACCACAGACTTCCCCACATCCCTGCACCTCACACTGCACTCCACACCCCAGCCATATGGTGTGCCCAAGTGTGTTTAACCAAGAGGCCAACCAATTAGGTCAAAAGAGCCAAGCCATAGGATTGGACAGCAGGTACAGGTCAGCCAGGGAAGAAGAGGTTTGGTGTTGGTGGTGGAGGTAACTCAGCAGATGATTGTGAGACGTCGTGTTCCTTTTGACATGGTGTGGCTGAAGACTAAAGATCTCAGTACTAGCCAGCAGGATAAGACATTAAGAACACGCCAAGCAGAGGGACCCCTCTGCTCCCCAGTTCATGTTCCCCTTCCTGTCAGCTTCCCAGTAACCCTGAACTCCGCTGGTCTTGAGGATCTGGGAGATGGGCAACAGCAGGGGATTGGCTTGTCCTTAAAGTCCTATCCTGTGGGCTAGTACCAGATGCGATGCAAAGACTGAAGAGGACAGGAAGGGTGTGGAAGTATGGGAGGAACTCTCTCTCTCTCTCTCTCTCTCTTTCTCTCTATTGGGATCCAAGGGTCCTTGTTCCTGGATCTAGAGGGGCCTCCCTGCCTCCCTGCTAGCCTCACTTGCCTGAGGCTCTGGGTCAGGGGGTTGGGGTTATGGCAGGAAAAGGCTGAAATGGGATCCTGAGGGCAGGAAGTGAGAGGACTGACCCCTCTTGGCCCCAGAGCTTCCAAGCCACCCAGATTCAGCTCCCCAACGCCCTCTCCCACCGGTCCGCCTCTGCTGGTCTCTAGGCTCTGACTCCTCTGTTGCTAGGCCCAGCAGCACCTCGTGGCTCCCAGGGCAGCGCAGAAGAGTAGAGACAGGTCTGCCCTGGAGTGGGTCTGCAGCTCTGAGGGAACTGTGATTCCCATTCTCACCAATCCTGCCTCTGAGCATTTGTCTTCCCCCCACTCGCTTACTGCCACCCCGAAAATGCAGGACAAAGATGAGTTAGAGGGTAGGGGTTCTTCCCAACATTCACAGAACTGGGGCACCAAACAAGAACCCTTTCTCCCTACACTGTCCTTTTTACCCCAGAGAGCTGCCAGCCACAATTCCAAACAAACAACTGAAGGTGAGATCATGAAACCTATCTCTGCTGTGCAGAGGCCCCCTACGCTGAGGCATCCAGAGAAAGAACCTGCTTCCCGCCCCGGAGCCCAGCTTAGCTCACTCCCTCTCTGGGGTTAGATATGAGGGGAGAGGGGGCAAGAAATCCTAATCTTCCCATTCCAACCCTTGGCCTGGGCCACAAATCCTCACTTTGGCCTCTCTGGGCCCTTTTCTGGTCCAAGCGGTGCTGCCCAATGCCCAACCTCACCGCCCACCCAGGAGTTTACAAACAAAGCCAGGGCCAGGGCTGTGTGTGTGTGGGAGGGGAACAGCCCTTCTCCCTGGACTCCAACCCCCTCTAGGTCCTCCCCTCCTTTCTCCAAGGGCAGAAATGGAAAATTAGTAAGGAGGCCAGTGGCCCCACATAAACAGAATGGGGTAGCAAGACAGGAAGGCCTGAGGGCACAGCCCTGCTGGAATGCCTCAGGGAAATGAAAGAAATAGCTGAGTTCAAACACACCTATATACCCACAGGTTCACACACATTTACACAAATATACGCATGGAGAAACACACACAAACACACATTCAAAAACACAAACACCTTCAAGTAACAATGCACACAACATGTTCTCCCGATATTCACAGATCCCGGGCCCTAAGGTCTTTAGCCCCAGCCTAACTGGAAGCCTGGCCTCCCTGCGAGTTCCTGAGAGCAAAGCCCCAGCCGCGGCCTGGCTCCCGCCGGGCCCCCGCCCCGCATCCGGAACAGCTGGAGTCGGCCTGGCCATGCACTCAAGCCGGGCGCTGGGCTAGGCGGGGCCGGCAGCGGGGCCCCGGCCGGGGCCCGGGCGGAGCGCAGCAGGGAGGCACGGAGCCGGCCCCGTTAGCCCCGGCACCTGGCCTGGCTACTCTTCAGACGCCCATCATCAGGCCGTTGGTGGCCCCAGCCAGCCTGGGGAGCGGCTGCCGGAGGAAAGTGAGCAAGATTGCCGGAGGAGGTAGGGCGGCCGCTTCGGAATCAGGCCGGGGAGAGGCGTCCAGAGCCGCCAACAATTCCCTCCTCCGCCTCTCCGCGTGGAGAAGGCTGAGCTCTCCGACTAGCCCCCTCCCCCAACCCCTGGGGTCCTCCACCCCCTTCCCGCGTCGCCCACCCAAGGCTGCGCAGCCGGCTCTGACCTCCTGCGGGCCAGCGCAGGAGGGCTTCAGATTCCCTCTCCCCAGGCGCGTCGCCCAGGCAGTGGGGTGAGGGGCAAGAGGGTCAGAGGTAGAGGCGCTGGGCTCTTGATCTCAGCTCCGCAAAGTCCACTCTGGGTGGCAGCGGGGCCCACCCGGGCTCCTGGTCCTACCTGGCCCGAGCGGCGGCCGCGTCCCTCCCGGGCTGGGGTTCCCACCACTCTTTCGGGCTCCACATCCCGGGTCGGAGAGACCGAGACCTTCGGGCCGGTGCGGTCATTGCAGCTAGGCCGGCGGGAGGCGGGTGCGCCAGGAGCGCGGCTCGCAGTTTGGGGTGGGGGCGGTGGCTTTTCAGTCGCCCGAGGTTCGGGTGCAATAAAGGAGCAGCTAATGTAATTTACAAACAGCTCGGGCCGAACGCAGCGCAGCGCCCGGACTGACAGGCGCATTAGGCAGGCTAATTCCAGCCGGCTCCTCCTACCCCCGGCCCGCTAATTAATGAGCTTCCCAACTTACAGCCGCCTGCATTGGACAGACAGAGAGTGAAAGAGAGGGCGAGGGAGAGGGAGAGAAGGAGAGAGAAGGGGGGAGCAGAGAAGAGAGAAGAGAGAGGGAGGGAGGGAGAGCGAGAACAGGAGGAGAGAACAGAGGCAAAGAAGAGAGGAAAAAGGGAGAAAGGAGAGAGAAAGAGAAAGAAGTGCCGCTGCAGATAATTGATTACACCGCGATCAAGGCTAACTTGTTAGCAATAGTCAATTGCCCCGTCTCTCCGCCTCCCTCGCAGTCCGGGATCGGCGCCCTCGCCTCGGCTCTTCCAACTGCGGCCGCCAGGACCCGGGGCCAGGAGCCACTGCCGAGCCACCTGACACCTTTAAATAGCACCGGGGTTGGCGAAACTGGAGCCCCGCGCAGCGCGCCCCGGCTCCGGCCCCGGATTGCTGGAAGCCCCAGCAGCAGCGGCGCCCGCGTCAGCGCCCTCTTCCCGGGGCCCCGCGCTGTTCTCCCCTCCTCAGCCGCCGCGCTAATCGGCCCCGCGCCCGGCCCGCGCCCTGCCCAGTGCGGCCTCCTTTCCACCCGCCGCTGCCTGCCCGCGCCGTCCGGCGCCCGAGCTGCCCGCGGGCTGGGTCCCCGCGGCCCGAGCCGCCCCGGCCGGGACCCCGAACAAGGCCGAGATGACTTCCAAGGAGGACGGCAAGGCGGCGCCGGGGGAGGAGCGGCGGCGCAGCCCGCTGGACCACCTGCCTCCGCCTGCCAACTCCAACAAGCCACTGACGCCGTTCAGCATCGAGGACATCCTCAACAAGCCGTCTGTGCGGAGAAGTTACTCGCTGTGCGGGGCGGCGCACCTGCTGGCCGCCGCGGACAAGCACGCGCAGGGCGGCTTGCCCCTGGCGGGCCGCGCGCTGCTCTCGCAGACCTCGCCGCTGTGCGCGCTGGAGGAGCTCGCCAGCAAGACGTTTAAGGGGCTGGAGGTCAGCGTTCTGCAGGCAGCCGAAGGTAGGCGCAGCTGCTGGGTTCCCCTGCACCCAGCGCCTCGCGCCCTGTGCCCTGCGCGCTTCGTCCCCTATGCCTCTGCTCGCCTCTGCCCTCTCCGGCCGCCAGGGCCTTCCAGCCTGAGCAGCTGCTTATGGGAGTGAAGATATGTGGGACGGGACCCAATCCTTATTTCCCAGGGACCTCTGGGTAGGCCAGAGCTGGGGGGTGGCAGGAGAAGGGTGGCCAAGCTCTTTCCGCAGTCTGCTTGCTTTGCCGGGCTCCCTTGCGTTCCCAGTGTCCTGGGCGCTCTTAGCCCGGCTACTCGGCGTGGGGAATCGAGAGTCTTTTGCCGGGGACCTTATGGGTAGGGTAGAGTTGAAGTGATTGGGAAGGGATGGAGAACCAACATTCACACCGCAATTAGGGTGTCTCTGTCTGGCTTTCTCATACCCTTAGAGACTTTGGGTCTTTCAAACCAACTCTTAGGTAGGGGGCAGAGACCAAAACAATTTTTCCTAGGGACTTCTGGGAGACCAAAGACAGGAGATGGTTTGCCATAGCCAAGACTTGCCCTGGTCCTGGAGGCTGAATTAAATCTGAGAAGGGAACATTGGTAGACTGCAGGCCGGACAGGCCTGGGTGGGTTACGGAGTTACGGGGGCGAGAGCCAGGGTGGGCTTCCTCTCTCCCAACGCGAGCCTACACTGTCCTTTCCTCCCAGGCCGCGACGGTATGACCATCTTTGGGCAGCGGCAGACCCCTAAGAAGCGGCGAAAGTCGCGCACGGCCTTCACCAACCACCAGATCTATGAATTGGAAAAGCGCTTTCTATACCAGAAGTACCTGTCCCCCGCCGATCGCGACCAAATCGCGCAGCAGCTGGGCCTCACCAACGCGCAAGTCATCACCTGGTTCCAGAATCGGCGCGCTAAGCTCAAGCGGGACCTGGAGGAGATGAAGGCCGACGTAGAGTCCGCCAAGAAACTGGGCCCCAGCGGGCAGATGGACATCGTGGCGCTGGCCGAACTCGAGCAGAACTCGGAGGCCACAGCCGGCGGTGGCGGCGGCTGCGGCAGGGCCAAGTCGAGGCCCGGCTCTCCGGTCCTCCCCCCAGGCGCCCCGAAGGCCCCGGGCGCTGGCGCCCTGCAGCTCTCGCCTGCCTCTCCGCTCACGGACCAGCCGGCCAGCAGCCAGGACTGCTCGGAGGACGAGGAAGACGAAGAGATCGACGTGGACGATTGAGCGGCGCCCCGGGTCTTCCGCCGCCCTGGGCTCCTAGCGCTCGAAAGCCCAACGCCTCCCGGACCGGACCGCCGAGGGGAGCTGGGACCTCCTCTGCCAACTCCCGCCTCCTCCCCTGTCCCCGGCCCCGGACTCGGCTCCTGGCAGCCGCCTCTTCCCTCTCGAAGCAATAAACCCAGGCTGGCCGGCCGGGCCGGCCGCCACCAGCGGCCTCCGCCGCCCCGGAAGCCCTCGCCGTGCAATTCTGTATGGCTTCTATATAAATATTTAAACCTATATAGCGGGTTCTTCCCACCGCAGCCTGATTTTTCCTTTCTTTTATTATTATTTTTTAAATCTCGGAGATTTCGATGTTTTCAAAGCTCTCGGGCTGCCGGGTTTGCTGAGGGCGAGACAGAAACCAGGGCGGGGAACACTAACCCTGCGGTCTAGGGGAGTGGCAGCTCCGGCTGTTTTGATTTTTCTCTGCATGTGGCGAATGCACCGGCCCGCTCCTTCCTCGCCTCCCTCGGCCTTATTGCAGTTGACTTCTATTTCCTCGGGCCTTTTTTCCTCATGTGGGAGGGGAAGAGGTGGGCAGTCAGGTCCTGACTTGCAAGTTTCAAAATCGATCTTTCCTCCCCACCCTCTGAGAGAAAAGTCTGTTTTCGATGCCATTTCTGCCTCCTAATGCCCACTAATGCTGTTTTTAAGATTCCTCCCTCCCTCCCGCATTTCCTCGGACTGACTGTTGGAGTCCGGCTCTTAGGGACAATGCAGGGGGAAATCCAACCAACCAACTATCGAAAACAGAACCCAAAGCCCTATAATTATTTTGTACTCTTTTTAGAATTTTTTTGCATGTGACAGAGACAGAGAGGAGGCCGACCCAAGCCCTCACCTCACCTCCTCCACAGCTCTGGGTCTCTCTTGCCACTTCGAACACCCCACTCCTACCCGACTTGGCCAGAGGAGGGTGGCTGGATGTGAGTGGGCTGCGAGTGCCCCTTCCCTGCTCCTCCCTTCCCCTCTCCTCCCTAGACTGTACCCAAGGCCTCTTTCTCCAATAAATAAAGTCTTTGCCATTTTACTAGAACCGGCGGCGACCGTGTCTGAGTGGTGGGCCCGTTTCCGAGAAGCAGCGGCAGGCTGGGCTTCTTGCCGCTCTTCGTGCCGGTCGCCCTAGCCTTGGAGATTTGGGGGGGATTTTCAGGACAGGCTTAAGAGTGAAGGGCGAGGGGGAAGCAGCAGGAGGAGGCGCCTCTTGCCCATAAACCTGAGGCAGCTGCTAAATCGGGAGAGAAGCGGGCTTCGCCAGGTCGGGGTAAAAAACGAGCCGTGAAATGCTGGGAGAAAATGCCTGTGTATGTGGGGGCACACCACAGTACAACATTAATTTGTGTTGAACAAAGGGTGGGAGGGGGTCTTGCCCTGCATTTCCTGCATCCCACCCCAGACCCAAGGGCATTCTCCCTGCACTCCCCGAAAACAGGGCTGAGCCCCGGGAGCGCTGCAGGTATCACTCAGTCAGACGCGGGGTGGAGCCTTGGGTTCCCAAGTTTCGATTCTAGCCCCGAGGGCCTCATCCTTGGGGAGTCGGGGGCCAAAGGCTAAAGGCATCAAGGCCAGGCTGAATTTCAATGTGGGCACCTGGAACTGTAAGCCCAAGCGTCTGGGAGCTGGTGTGAATTTCTGGCAACATTAACCAATTCTGCCTCCACACCCCGGCACACCGCTGGGGGCAGAGGTATGGATCTTGCAAGGACTCTCTCGGGTCTGCGGCGCCCCAAGGCCGGCTGGGGCGGGGGCTGAGGCCGCTTTCACTTTCCTGGACAGAGCGGGTTTCTCTCCGGGCTTTTGTTGTCGCTGGGCTGGCGAGTAGCCGCTGTCACCGGAGTGGGGTCCCGCCTCCGGGCCGCTGGGCTCTCTTTCTCCGCAAAATTGATGTGAGAAATGCGCATCTGGTCTCGGGCGGCGATGGGGCCCCCGGGCCCGAGCCAGGAACGTGCGTGTCCAGGAGGAAACGAAGAGACAGAGAGAAACAGGAAAAAAAAATAGGAGCACAGAAAGACACTCCAAAAGCAGAGAGAGAAAGCGGAGAGCCACAGAGACAGGACGGAGAAAAAGAGGAAAAAGAGAGAGAAACAGAGAAACGGAGAAAGGGAGACAGAGACAGAGGGAGAAAAAAAGAATGGGAAGAGAGGAGAAGAGAGAGAAGGAGCAGAGAAGGAAGGAGACGGCAGGGCAGCGGGGCAGGCGTGCGGCTGGTTCCTCCCGGGCGACAAAAATTGCCCTCTCTTAGGATGGATGGGTCTGTAATTCGGAGCGCGGACCATGAAGGCCGGGACGAATGGGCCTGGGCGGCCGCTGACAGGCGACAATAGCCGGGCCCAGCCCCCCGCGGCTCCCGGTGCGGGCACGGCCGCGGCCCTCCGCAGCCCAGAGCGCGCCGGCGCTGGCGACCATATGGTTTTTGAATTTTCTTCACAATTTGTAGACAATTTGATGGATTAGGTCCCCGCGCGCGCCTCCTCGGCACAAAGGCGGCGCAGGGACCACGGCGGGTCGGTCACCCGGGCATCTGCGCCCGCCGTGCGCACCCCCCCACTCGGCCCCCGCCCCGCGCCCGAAGCCCCAGGCCGCCCGCCCAACACGCTCATGAATCCCAATGAAGCGGCCCTGGCACCTCCGGCCGCTCTCTGCTTCGCGGCCCTGGGCCTGGCCCCGCTGGGTCCCTTTGGGCTGGGGGCGGCGGCCCCAGGGCTGAGCCCACCCGAGCTGCGGCGCCCGCGGGGCGCGCAGCTAAGCAGGCGCGTCGGGGCTGAGGAGAAACGGGGCCATTTATCCGCCCGTCTAGTTAAAGCGGGTTATTTGTTTGCTTCTCCGGCCTGCCCCCTCCCCTCCCTTCCCCCTCTCTCCTCCCCCGCCCTTCCCCTTCTGCCTTTTATTCTTTTGTCTCTAAATGGATTTAATGAGCCTGAAAAACATGACAATTGAATATAACCAAGAAATAAAAAATAACGAGGGAGGAAGGAAGGAGGAAAAGAAAGAATGAAAGAAGGAAGGGGAAGGATTAATAAAATAAGGAGAAAACGCAATTCAATTCAGCAAATGTTTATTGCGCGTCTTTTCTGCGCCAGGCCGCGCAGGGGGGCTGGGAAAATGGAAACGAATCAGATTCGGTTCCTGCCCTCAAGGAGCTCCTAGTCTAGTGGGCAAGACTCGCAGCACCCCCAGCGCTAGTAGAAGCGGACCGAGGGACAGGGCCGTGCCAGTTGCAAAACACTGAGAGGCAGCTACCAGGGTGTTGGCGGCTTCACAGAGGAGGTGGCTTGGGACCCGGGCCTTGAAAGGCGAAAAGTAGTTCGTTGTTTCCATAGGCCAGAGAAGAGAGCCAGTGGAAGGAAGGACCAGAGCTGCGGCGGGGGGAAGGGGTAACGAAGTGTACGTGAGAGCCTCGGCTGAACCCGAGCTAAGGAGGCCACGCGAGAGCGCCCTGCGCGCTCGGTCCCGCACAATGTGGGAAGTGGATTCGAGCCTCTCCGCAGTGTCCTCTGCTCTGAGGAATTCGCTGCCTCCATCAGGTTCCGGGTGGGCTTCCGGAGCCCAGCCGACAGCTCTGTTGAGGCCGCGGACTAGCACTGGACTCTGCCTGGACTAGCACCCGACTCTGCCTGGACTAGCACCCGGGCTTGGGGCTTATCTCTAGGTCCCATTGCGCAGGGAGGCGGCGAGGAAGTCAGCAGCTCTGGGCAAAAGCTGAGGGGCTTGGCTGTAGGCGGAGGCGAGGATCTGGGATCCAGGGAGGCCTGGGCTCTAAGCCCACTCTCTCTTTAGCTCCCCCAGTTCTGAAGAAGTCTGCTACCTGCGCGCGGCCCGGGGACCTCGGATGGTCTTGGCTGTGCCTCAGGCGCTGCCGCTGGGACCGGCGATGTGAGAGAGCCTCAAATCCCAAGTTCGGGCCCGAGGCCTCTTAGCTCACGCCTGCCGGGCCTGTCTCGGGATACTGCAAACAGCAGTGGTGTGTTCGCCCAAGTGTAGGCTCCAAGGGAGCGGGGCTTGTGTATTGCGTGTCTGTTTCTTCTCCTGGTCTGAGTGTACGAGGGAGCTTGGCCTGGGTTGTGTGAGGGGCTGTGGGCCCTACGCCCATTCTTCTGGCGTAGTTCGTTAAGGCTTGGTATCCTGTGGGCTGCCTGCCCTTCGGGCCTGAGTTCCATCACCTCCTAGAGCCCTTTGCCCATCTGTTCCCCCAGGACTCTGGGCTCTCTACGGACCCACTTTCGGTTCCGGGCTGGCCAGGAGAGGCGGCTCGGCTTTGTCTCTCCCTTCCCCGTTGTGTCCCGGGGCTCGACGGGGCTTGCCAAGTCCCGGGACGCGGGTAGTTTCTGCTCTCCAGTCTAGGAACCCCTCCGCGCGCGGACGGCCGATCCCGCTTGTTCGGCTTCCCCTCGCTCCGCCTTTCCCGGCTTGGTGGCCTGGCGAGCGGCGCGGGGTGAGGCAGAGAGGCGCAGTTCCCTATTTTACGAGGTGTCGGGCCGGTGTCAGACGCAGCTCCGATAAGTAATACTCCAGTCTGAGGGACCAGAACGTGGTAATTAATCCCAAAGACTTAAGTGTATTTTAGTTCAGGAGAAAAAAAATCACTAATTCAATCGTCCGGAAAATTGAAGTTTGATGCATGAGTCCCCCCTGAAAGGGACGAGCTGGGGCCGCGCGCCTACCCTCCGCCCCTTCCCGTCGCCGCGGGGACCCCCCCCCCCACCTCTCCATCCCTCTGAGCCGCCAAGTCCGGGGAAGTCCACTCACCCTGCCCTGGCTTTTCCAGTCACCTGAACCCGGAGGCACCTGGGCTTGGCTTCCCACCGGCAACAACTAGCCCCTCTTGGAGCGCAGAAAGTGATTTGTGGGGACAATACATATGCTCCCCAAACACATGCATCTGAGAGGGCACCACAGAAAGCCCGGGGATATAGAGAGGGCAGCCAGATAAGGGGGCAGGTTAGTAAGGTCAGGGGCTACAAAGCATGTGGAAGAAGGGACAGAGAATCTGAATGGGCTGGAGTCACAGGGGTCAGCGAGTAGGAGGCTGCTGTTGTAAAGTGAAGTACATGTGGCTTTGAAGTGGGTGGGAATGGAGGGGAGTAGAACTGGTTGTGCTGGGTAGTGGTGGTTAGGCTGTAGGTGTGCAAAGGGGTGTGTGGGAACTGGCTGCATCCCTGGACTGTACATGTGCGGAGTGGAGGTCCCTGGCAGACACTGACAGGTCTTGGAGAGCCTAGAATCTGACTCCCGGGTGTGTCCACAGGCCACATCTCCTAGAGAACAGGCTCCTGGGACTGGGGCAAAGGAAGGTGGGGGTTCCTGGGGACCAGCACCCTGGAGGGAGGAGCATTCCCACCTTGAGTGTTCCTGGGGCCCCACATCTGCACTTCCAAGTCCAGGACTGCCATCTGCAAATCACCCCGTCTTCTCCTAACAGCTGCCAGTTCTGGGAGAGATTTGGGGCTGTGGGTGTGTGTGTGGCAGGCTGCATGGGGACTAGCAAGGGCATGTTCCTGAGTGTGTCATCAAGTATGTGCAACTGAGAAACTGAGCATGTGCGGCTGATTGATGGAAACGGAGCGTGGGACTGGGTGTGTGATGCTGCGTTCCTGCAACTGATTGTTGCAAACTAGTGTGTGTGCAGCTAGGTGTGACTAAATTTGCTCAATGGAGAGGAAAAGAGTAAAGCTGTCACTGAGTGGGTGTAACCAGCAGGTAAACGATGCCCAGGGTGTGTGAGGTGTGCAGGGAGCTGGTGTGAGCAGATAGCTGGGAGAATGAATATTGATGTGGAATTGAAGCTACAGGCAGACAACCAGAATCCTAGCTCCAAACATTTTAGCCAAGCTGGCTACTGAAATTTACATTTACAATGCTGGGGGCAGGGACCACATGGCCTGACAGGAAGAGGACTCAGGAGAGGACTAAGTAGAAGATGGGATGGAGAACTTTCAGCCTGGGTTGAAGTTTATTCTGAGGGCAGCTGAGGCCGTCGAATAGGCACTATATAGGCATGGACTCTGCTTCTTTGAAAACAGGTTGCGGGGGTAGGGGCATCCTCTGTTGTGCAGTTGGGTGATGGCCAGGCTGCCCTGCCTGCCTTCTCCCATTCAAGCTGGTCACCGGGCTGAACCTTTGTCTTTGGAGTGACCTGTAGACCTGCCCTTGGCTGCTCCAGTTCCAGGTAGCGCTTGAAGGCCTAGCTTCCCCCAGCTCAGTCAAAGGAAGTTCCTCCTCCCCGTGGGGGCTCAGCCCTGCCCAAAGTGGGGAGGGTACAAATGGCAATATGCGCATGGCTGCAAGCAGAGTTGGGAGTGAATGAGTCCTGCCCACTTTGGAATCTGGTTTGTATGTGTGCAAGTGTGTGCAAGGATTGCTGTGCATTGGTGTGTGCATGTGGGCATGTTCACGCTTCCCCATGGAGAGCTGGATGTAGCTATTTGTCTGTGAATGGGGGTGGATGAAGTGGGGAAGGGAGCTTAGTTACCTGAGGGTATCCATGTAACCAATGGATCTGAGTGTGGACGTGACATCTGAGCACATGGGATGGAGGCATCCCTGAGTGTCTGTACCCCAACCCTTCCCAAATTCAGGGGCCCAAGGCTCTTCAGAAAGGGAGATCCAAGTTGGGAGCCTCCTCCAACAAGAAATGAGAGCCTTCTTCTCCCCTTTCTCACACACCTCTGCCAACCCAGAGCTGGGATACGGACCAAGGTAGGGAAGAGGTGACCCCTTCCATCTCCCAGAGGCTGTTCAAGGTGAAGTGTCTGGGTCTCTATAGGGACTGTCTCCTCTCTCCTGATGTCTATAATGGGGCCTATTGATCCATCTGCCTGAGGTCTCCCTGGGACTGCATGTCCACATGGAAATGAAGGGTAAGCCCAGACAGGCCCACAGGCCCACACCCAACACAGGCACACCTCAGAAACAAACCAAACACACACAAGGCAGGCACTCAGTTACACAGACCAACACTGCAGAAACCCGATACACACCCACAGTGACCCACAGACACACAGGATGCCTGGAAAACACAGTGCAGTCACATAAGACACAGCAAACCTGCCCAAATATGGGCAGCTAGTAGCATACATAAGAATTAAGCAGATAAACCTTGGCTGTTAAACATATACACCATCCCCACTTTATACATACAATACAGGCAAGTGACAGAGTCACAGCTCACAGTTGCCACAAGCACACAGGGCACCGGCTTCCAGACAGTTTATGCAAACATGGGAGTAGGGCAGGGGCTAGCTGGTTTAGGTGACTTCAGTGGAAATGCTGCTCGTGTTCTGATGTTCTGAGAAGAGTCCATTTGCAGAGAGGGCAGCCAGTAGCAGACAAGAGTTGGTGGGAAAGGGAGGCTTCCACTGTCTGGGGAACCTCCAAACTGGTGCCCCAGTGAAAAACCAAGTCCCCAACCACCCCGAAATGCAATCAAAGCCGCGGCCGCCCACCCGCCCTGCACAATGGCTCTGGCTGGAGTCGTTATCATTTTTGTTAACTTTTTATCGACTGTTTGCTAGATGGCGTGTCAGTAAAGTGTATGATTTGAGATGAAAAATTAGGCAGATTAACCTGAGGGGAGAGCCTGATTGATTACTAAATAGGATCAATTTGAAAGTTTTAGTCCTGGCGTTTCTGCAGAGCCTCTTAATACTTCAAACTTCAATTTTACGGGCGATTGAACTAAGCATGTTTCTGACAAAATTGATATATGTATTAATTTGCTTTAACTGGTGATTAATTACTCTCCACTGAAAGAATTATATGGAGCTGTTTGCCTGCGATTTGCATATTAATCAAATTCTAGTTGATAATTCCTCTGGTGTTGGAGGGCCGGGGCGGGGTGTGGGGTCCAAAGGTGTGAAGGAGTGTTTGCGCCTGTGCCGGTGTGTGCGCCCGTGTATGTGGGGGGGGGGGCTTCCCACCCCCCTTTTGCTCGCTCCCTGCTTAGCTGCCAGTTTAGTGCATTAAAACCAAAGATGCAGAACGAGTTTGCCCGGCTATTTGGCGGGAGCAGAAATTGCCTGTCCGGTTTTATGATCTGCTCAGCCTGAGCAGCCGGGTCCTTAATGTCCCCTGTCAAAGTGTCCGCGATTTAAAGGGAAAACGGCCCCCGCTTTAGCGCCGCGCGGGGCCTGACAAGGGACGAGGCAGGGACAAGCACCCCCTCAAATAACTCCCTCCCCTCCAGGACCATGGTTTCCCGGCGGCGTCCCAGCTCTGGGGACCCTGGAAACCGAGCCATGTCCTTGGAGTAGTCCAGCTCCTGGGATGCCCCAGCCATGGACCCCCACCCCGCCCCACAACATTCATCTACATGGGGATATATGCAGAGACCCAGAGATGTCACTGTCACTTGAGCTGACGGGCAGGAAGCCACCGTCTTAGACACCACAGACACAGTTACCCAGTCACATTGCTGTTCACTTAGACCCCTGCTCGGGCCTGTCTATAGACACACTCAGCTACCCATATGTACACCCAGACACAGAACTACACACAGGCAGGGAGCACACATAGACACCCAAGTCACGTCTACATGGCCTCTCAGCCGCACGTGGTCACACACACGCAGACACACGGAGGTCCATACACACACACCCAGGCATGGAGACACGTCGCAAAGGGATTCTTGGCCGGATATACACCAGACTCCTGCCCACACCCTCCCGGGAGCAAGCAGTCCCCATGCAGCCCCTCCTGGTCCCCTAGCCAGGCCGACCCTTTAAGCTCAAGGGGGCGGCGCCACCAAATCAACTTTTCCCATCTCTGGATTCAAAGGGTAGGAGTGTAATTAAAACCAGATAATTAATGAGACAATATTCCTCCAGCTACATCTTTAATGAACAAACCCCTTCAGGGCAGCCTCTTCTAGGCTCATTAAAGAGAAGAAAGTTGGGCGGATTGCGGACTTCCCAGCGCGTTAATAACGAACCCGTGGTGGGTGCTTCGGCCCGAAGAGCGGGAGCCACAGCGGCCCTCTCTGGCCCTGGTTCGTCCACCGCCACGTTGTCCCTTTGTCCGCCCCCACCACCACTCCTCACCCCCCAATCCCTTCAGTCGCGTGGCCTCATCGTCTCCAGCCGCCCCCCAGCGACCCTGAAAGTCTCTGTTCAGTGACCCCCGGCTCCGCCTGCGCTTTCTCTGGCGGCCTCTCACCGGTACCAGGCCAGCCATGCGCTCGGCTGCAGCCGGGTGTTGGGCCTCCCAGTTCCCCCGGCTGGGCGCTGAGTGCTCCAGGCCGTTTGGCTGGATGGAACTGGCTCTGTAGAAGGGAATTCGAGGCAAGGTAGGGGCCCGAGTCTCCCTCTGAAACTCAGTGCCCTAGGTGGGTGGCCTAGGACTGACGTTTGAGCGTCGTCCTGGGAACCGGTGGGCTGCAGGGAAGGGGAGGATGGTGATCAGCTCGTTTTCCACGCGCCCCTTCGCCCTCTCAGGAACGCGCACTAGCAACCATACTCCTGTGCACTCGCGCGCACGTGAGCGTGCACACACACAAGCGCCCACTCGGTGGTGCACACACATGCGTGGTCGCAATGCCTGGGGTCCAGACGGCGCGGCCCCAGCCTGGAGAGCCTAGTCTGGGCCTTCCCCAACCGCACGAGGTCGCTCTGGCGTCACTCGTCTCCAGGTCTCCAGGATGGAAGCCTTTTCGTTCCGTGTTCAGCGTCTGGGGCCTGGAGCGGACAATTCGGGCCGGAGAGACTGGGAGCGGGCAGCGCAGGAGGGGAGGGGGGCTCGGGCGGGCAGCGGCGGTAGCTGTGGCAGCGGCTCCGCCGGCGGCGCCTGCTTTCGCCTGCGCCGGCTTTTAGGGATGAGTTATGTGGCAATGAGCGAAGTAAATCTGCATGCGCAAAAGATGCTAATTACTCTTAATAGCCTACCCAGACGCCCCGAGACTGGAAACCCAGAAACGTAAATCTGCTCCCGATAAATATTTTTAATTGTGAAATTTCCTGGAAAGAAGGCTTTTGGTTCGCGGGCCCGAGGCATCTGGCTTTGGAAGGAGGAAAACGGCTCCCACCTGGGAAGCAGGGTCAGGAGTCAGGGTCCCGCTCGAGGGCGCCAGGCGCTGGCCGAGCGACCTGAGCCGGGCCGGCCTGCGCTGGGTAAAGTTAGTGATGTATCGCATTAATTACCAGTGTGAGCTGCAAATGGTTCGAGGCCCAAGGAAAATTAATGGGAATCCAAATTCTAATTATGTAGCTGTTGTTAAAGAGTTTAACTAGATAGTCACGGAGAAAATTGGATTATGCATAGAAATATGCAGCCAGCGCACGCGGGCCGGGCAGGCGGTCAGGGGACTCGTAGCCAGCACCCACCCCCCTTGCCTTAGAGGACGCTCCTCCTCTGCGAGGAAGGAAAAGACCCACCCCAGCGTATAAATAAAGATCCCGCGTGTCCCGATGGCAACGGCAGGGCGGGTCTCTGGCTGGCAGGAGAGGCCGAAGGTTTCAAAGGCGCGCGCTTGGATGCGGGGCTGGTGTGGAAGTCCGGGACTTCTGGGTCCCTTGGTCTGAGTAAGCGTTTGTGCCTGCCCGTTTCTCAGACTCTAGGTCGTTGCTCGGCTAATCCATCCTGCACTCCTTTTGATAATCATATAATTACATCTGAGCGCTGTGAGTTTACATTTTTTTCCACTCTCAGTTTAAGGAAATAGCCACCAAACGGAAGCCCAATTACACCGAAGCCTCGTCATTCACTTTATTAAGGACCCTGGATATGTTTCCATTTTCGCAGGAAATGAGGTCTGATCAAGCAGCACTAATACCTTGGGCCTCGGGGAGGGGGCGGGGACTCTCAGGGGCTGGCTAGATTCCGCGCGAGGCCGCGCCGCCCGCAGAGCCGAAACTGCCAAGCGGATGGCCCCACCTTGGGGCGGCAGATACCCAACTCTTCACGTCTCCCAATTCCTCCCAGGACCTCGGATTCGTTCTGTCGGGGCCACCCACTGGGCAGACCCACACCTTCCCACATCTCAGCGTGCTAGGCTCGGGGCTACCACACGCTGGCGCGGGTGGGGGGCGGATGGGAGGGCCAGGAGAGTTGAGGGGACTTTGCATTCCCAAAGAGAGACCCAGAGTCCTTTCAAGCTCCACCTACCCCCTTCCCAGGTGTTTGGCAACCTCCGAGGATGCTGCTAAGACCTCCGGAGCCGGGCAAGCAGGCCTGGAACGTCTGGGAGGCATCTTCCGGGGTCCCATGCCCCGCCTCCTTCAGTCTCTGATTCCAGTTTTCCATCGCCCCTTCAATGGGAACGTATCCTTTCCCCGCTGCCACCCTGTGCTTTTGAAGGAGAAGACGGTGGGTCCAGGTCTCACCAAGGAGCTCGGGTCCACCAGGCCTGACCCCGGCGCCGGCGGCTTTTGCCCCTCCTCGGATCTCGAGTTCCCAGACGGCGGCCAGGCAGGATCCATGCCTGCGCGGTGGCAGTGCAGCCACTTGGTCTCTCCAGGTTTTCCTTTCCCTCCACACAGGCCCCCGACTGAATTCAGGGGGTGAGGAGTGGCAGGGATGGTGCCTTTAGGCCAAGCCTCGGGAGAGGGGGATGAGCTGGAGGCAGGACCCCACAAATTTGAGGCATCAGAGTCTCTAATTTGCAAGCGCCGTGGAAGCCAGTCGAGGCCCTATGGATCGGTCCAAGAAAGGCCCCAGGCAGAGAATGGCCCGCGGCGCGGAGGTGTCCGCGAGAAACTAATTCCGATCTGGATAACGGGTCTGAATTAGACACGTTTACAGCCCCATTCCCCTTTCCTCCTGGGCGCTGGGGGGCAGTTCCTCGAAACTTGGGGGCAGATTCCCCAGGAGCAGCTGCTGTGGGTGTCCGAAGGAAGAGCGAGGAAGGGAGCCCCGGGACGCGGGAGTCTACACCCTCTGCCCTCCCAGTCGCAAGCTCAGAGCAGCTGCTCATACACAGACCCGCGTATCCTGGGAGAAAAACAGATGAGCGTGCCCTTGTATGTTTGACTCCTGGGCCAAATGTGGCCTCTAAGACCCCGAATTCTTCTCCTAGCAGCCTCAGAACGGAATCCATAAATTCAGAGAGGCAGGTGTGCCGACGACAGTCTCCCACCCCTCCAGGTCCTGGGGAAGGCCGGGGGATGCCTCCTCTCTCCCTCGCAGCGCCTGCCACGCTTTTGCCCCCCTCTTCACCTCGCCCCTTTTAAGCCTCCGGAGAACGATGGCTGCCCAATGGCCCCATGTACCCAGGCCATCCCGCTGTTTCAGGGAGGATCCTAGGGTCCAGGCTCTTTCTTCCTGCAGCCCTCTCGGGTCTCCAAGCCCGCCCCCTCTTGAGCACAGGTGTTCGAAAGGCCCCGCTTCTCTGTGACGCGGGCTTCGAGCGCCACCTAGCGGTACTTGACGCTCAGCAGCAGTGCCCGCCCTTAAGCCACCCCTTTCCCCACCCATCCGGAGCCCGGATAGCCATCCTGACGCGGTCCCACTCCCAAACTACAAGCTCCTGAGTGAACACGCTTCACCCCCACTTTATTATTATTATTATTATTACTATTATTGAGACTGTATCGCCCAGACTGGAGTGCAATGGCGCTATTTCGGCTCACTGCAGTCTCCACCTCCCAGGCTCAAGCGATCCTCCCATCTCAGCCTCCTGAGTAGCTGGTACTACTCAGACGCGCACCACTACGCTTGGCTATTTTTTTTTAACTTTTAGTATAGACGAGGTCTCACTATATAGCTCAGGCTGGTCTTGAACTCCTGGGCTCAAGCGATCCTCCCACCTCGGCCTCCCAAAATGCTGGGATTACGGGCGTGAGCCACCGTGCCCGGACTTCTTTTTAAAAATAGAGACAGGGGTCTCTGTCTGTCACTCTGACTCAGGCTGGAGTCCAGTGACATGATCATAACTCACGGCCTCCCAAAGCTGCCGCATTACAGGTGTGAGCTACCGCGCCCGACCTCTCACCCTCACTTCTTGGAACGGAGCCTTTAGTAGAGGGCCGCAAGGAATTGCAGGGGTGTGGCTAGGGGACTCTCACTTGGACCCGGCAGATGTGCGGGACACTGTTTCAGGGTTTGGGTTTGGCGTGGGGTTGAGGAAGGGACCACCCCATGTCTCTGCTGGCGGGGAGCAAAAAAAAAAAGGGGGGGTTCTCTGGCCGTGTGCGGTGGCTCACGCCTGTAATCCCAGGAGGCAGAGGTTGCAGTGAGCCGAGATCGCGCCACACTGCATTCCAGCCTGGCGGCAGAGTGACACTCCGTCTCAAAAAAAAAAGGGGGGGGGGTCTACTTATGAGCCCCTCTCATCCCTATTCCTACCCGAGCCCGGCCCCCAGCTCAATCCCCGGTACACTGCGGGCAAAGATCAGAACACTGCGGAAAAAAATCAGAACTTTCTCGGCTCGCAAAGTTCCGGTCCTCGCACCCTCCGCGGCATGGGAAAGGTTAGGTAGGAGCGCCCTCTGCCGTCTGTTATTTGGCACTGCGGCGGGCTGCGGGGCTGGAGGCAGCGAAATTCCTCTAACTGGCTCGCGGTCATCTCAGCTACCCTCCTGCCTATAGGGAGGAAGTCCCTTTCCCAAAGGCGCACAAGGGTTCCTCCGATCTTCATGGGATTGCACAGGGAAGGGAGACTCAGTGTTGCTGAGTTCCACCCGCACTGTGAGTTCTGTGCTAATCTTACCTCTTTCCCTCCTGCTGTGGGGTCAGCTTCCTCCCAGCTGATAGGATACCTGGGAGGTTAGAAATTTCTTCCCCTGCACCACAGTATATACATCATATTTCACAGCATAAATATATACAATGTTTACTTGTCACTTAAAAGTAACAATGCAGAAATTGCCGGTCGCGGTGGCTTATGCTTGTAATCCCAGCACTTTGGGAGGCCGAGGAGGGTGGATCACCTGAGGTCAGGAGTTCGAGACCAGCCTGGCCAAAATGGTGAAACCCTGTCTCTACTAAAAATACAAAAATTAGCCGGACGTGGTGGTGGGCGCCTGTAATTCCAGCTCCTCGGGAGGCTGAGGCAGGAGAATCACTTGAATCAGGAAGGCAGAGGTTGCAGTGAGCTGAGATCATGCCATTGCACTCCAGCCTGCGTGACAAGAGCAAAACTCCGTCTCAAAAAAATAAATACATAGGCCAGGCACAGTGGCTCATGCTTGTAATCCCAGCACTTTGAGAGGCTGAGACCGGCAGATCACCTGAGGTCAGGAGTTCGAGACCAGCCTGGCTAACAAGGAGAAATTGCCTCTACTAAAAATACGAAAATTAGCTGGGTGTGGTGGCGCATGCCTGTAGTCCCAGCTCCTCTGGAGGCTGAGGCAGGAAGATCACTCAAATCTGGGAGGCAAAGGTTGCAGTGAGCCGAGATCACGCCACTGCACTCCAGCCTGGGTGACGGCGTAAGATGCTGTCTCTAAATAAATAAATAAATAAATAAATGTAACAATGCATAAATAAAAATAAATTTCTTTCTCTACAGTGTGATCATCAGGCCTGACGGACGGGCCACGTTCCCCAGCTAGCACACTGCAGATGGAAAGGTCAGGGGAAGAGTGAGTGCCAACCCAGGCTCAGTCCATGGGTCTTGCGCGAATTGTTCAGAGTAGATAAAAAGTGGTAAGAGGTGGCGACAGCCCTGCCTGGCACTTCTAGAAGGGCCAGAGATCCCTGAGCTTCTGGTGACATCCTGGCAGAAAACCTAATAGGTAGTGAGTGCAGCAGGAAGTTCTATGCCCCATGAGGGCCCTCACATGCCTGACATACACATGTACTGACTCTGTGGTGCACCAAACACTCCCTTACACAGGCTCAGGCTGCCACCATGTCTTGACACTGAACTCCTGACCCTGCAGAGCCACACTCACCCAAGACCCACTCCTGAGACCTGCTCCCACCCAACTGCAGGACCTTCTCCAGCCCTGAACGTTTAGGAGAAGCAAGGATCAGAGTGGGAAGAACCCCTGGGCAGGTGTGGGAGGAGGCAGTCTGTTAAGGTCGCTTTAGGTCTTTGTCCTCGATTTTGAGACTGTCCTTAGAGAAAGGGGAGTACTGTGTCTTACTGTGTGACAGGAGGGGTACTGGGCTTCAAAAGTCCCTTGCGACCTGAGATCTGGTGACAGCCTTTCATTCGAGGCAATGCTCTGTGATTGTTTATAAGTCTCCCAGAACTCTGTCCCCAATCCCCTCTTGCCCACCTGCCATGTCCAGAGAGCGGGAATCCCCCCTAGACACAGATTAGCCACAAGTATTGGGAATTTCCACTTACTGTAAGTAGCAGGAAAATGAGAATCCTGAGCCCCAAGCCTTAGGTGGGGAAAGAGGTGAAGGAGATCCTCTGTCCCCCTTCCATCTGTTTCCATCCTTTTTCTCTTGGGGTCTTAAGTAGTTTTCCCTGGCAGAGTGTCCTCCCAGAATGGACATCTTGGGGTCCCTGGAGTCACTGCACTAGAGCCAGGATACCTCGTGTCCCTCTTCCCTTCCCCCAGGATGGGAGGGCAGCAAGGGAGAGCTGTTGATGGGCCCGGCTGGCTAGTCTGAGCTTGAAAACACAGATTTCAGGTCCTCACTTCATAGCCACTGAAATAGAATCAGTGGGGCCTGAGAATCTTCCCTTTATGAAGCAGCCTACTCCTTCTTTCTCCTTCTTTCCCTTTCCCAGACTCTTCTGGGAGAACTGCAGAATCTCTCCCCTTCCCATCTACTCCTCCCCAGCGTGACTTCCAAATGAGGAAATCCACCTGATATGTGGGATCAGATATCCTGGGCTTAAGTCTGTAACTTCCTAGCTGTGGGACTTTGGCAAGTCACTTCATCTCTCGAAGCCTCAGTTTCATCATCTGTGAGTTGACCATAATATTCCCTGTCTCAGGGGGGTGCACTCAGGGTCAGATGAGCTAATGTCTTCACAGGGTGCTTTGCAAAAGGCACATTTTAGTCCAAATGCTGGTGACTATTCAAGAATTTCAGTGCCAGATGTAGAGGTGTTGGTAAGCCCAGGGAAACCTTCTCCTGGCCTGAGCAGTGAGCTCTGGAGACAGAAGGGGGAATGATCCCGAGATTGGAGTCCAGGCAGGGCAGTCCCCTCCCTCAGAGAGCTCATCCTTGTGGGCATGTGAGGGTCTCTTATTTGCAGCTCCCCAGGGCTCCACACTGAGTGGGCTTTTCTTCCCAGCTCACCTTTCCCACCAAAGATATGTAACTGATCTCTGTGGGGGGAAGAAAGAAGGAAAATACCCATGCCAATTACCTTCTTCAAAAAGAAATTGGGGCCAGGCACAGTAGCTTATGCCTGTAATCCCAGCACTTTGGGAGGCTGAGGCGGGTGGATCACCTGAGGTCAGGCGTTCGAGACCAGCCTGGCCAACATGGTGAAACCCCGTCTCAACTAAAAATACAAAAATTAGCCGGGCATGGTGGTGGGCACCTGTAATCCCAGCTACTCGGGAGGCTGAAGCAGGAGAATTGCTTGAACTTGGGAGACGGAGGTTGCAGTGAGCTGAGATTGTGCTACTGCACTCCAGCCTGGGTGACAAGAGGGAAACTCTGTCTCAAAAAAAAAAAAATTGGGCTTACTTAATATCAGTTTCAGTCACTGAGAAACTCACATCAAGTTCTGGGGAACGTGTTAAAAATACACAGGCTGAGCTGTAGTACATTTCTGTCATGGTCTCCAGCTATTGGGATTTCTTTGTCCCTGGGGGTGAGACCTACTGCCTTGGAATACCTAGCGTTACTGATCATAAGCAGACAGTGAGGCCTCCCAGAATAGCCCTCCCAGAGATGCCCCCTCCACATCCCTGGTTTTCTTCCAAAGATGGGGCAGGGAGCAGTGAGCTGGGCAGACTATGGGGACAATAAGCTAGAGTGACATGGACTTAGAATGACAGGAGATAGGTCTAATAGAAAGAGCAGGGCTTTGAACTGTGGGGCAGGGGAGCAAAGCACGGGTCTCACTCCTTCTAGCTGTTCCTCAGCCTCGCTAAGCCAGTTTCCTCATCTGTAAAGGCGGGTGATACTAAGACCGGTTCCATCTCCCACGGTGGTTATGAGCAGCCACTACTTCCACAGACAGAGCTGCATTTTTGCAAACATATAGATGTGTGCATATATGTGTAGAAATAAGAACAGAGCATGTGTCCTATTCTGAAATTCACTTTTTTCACTTAATAACATTTCTTGGTTACTTTACCAGGCCCTTTTTCCATGGCGATAGCTTGTAAACCGCAAAACTATTGAAATGTTAGTTAATTTAAAGAACTCAGAGAAAACACTACCCTTTGGAGACGAAGGGCTGTTTTCTCATTGGGGTGTAGTGTGTGTGTACCCATGTCTTTGTGTTGCTAGGTTGGAGGAAAGGGAGGGCTTGTGAGTGTGCATGGTACTTCAGCAGCTGGAGACCCAAGTGGGATGAAGACTTTTCTGATTTTTAGGAATATAGAGTCTGGAGTGAAAACAAATTGAACCAATTAGGAAACTTCATCCCCTAGGGAGCCCTCTCAGAAGCCTCCCAGGAGCCTGCCTGCTTGGTTACTGGCCCTAGGGGGAGTGTGGAGAGGGGGAGACCTATGTTTGCCTCTGGGGTGACACAGAGGGTATGTTAAGGTATATTTAAGCTGCTGTGACAAAGAGGTCCCCCAATACATAGACTAACAGGGATAGGTGTCTATTCTTTTTCACATAACAGTTCAGTGTATAGATCTCTGTTCTATATGTTGTCATCACTAAAAGCATGGACTCTGGAACCTGGTTGCCTGGAATCAAATCTTGCCCTTGGTGACCTTATAGCAATTACTCAACCTGTGTCTCAGGTTCCTTACCTGTAAACTTGGTTGGACTTCATAGGATTATTGTGAGGATTAAGTGAGTTAGGACCCTCCAAAATTATTTATTGAGCACCTACTACAGTCAGTCATAGTCAGTCATTGTTTGGGGCTCATGGTAACTCCCACTGGTGGGCTCAAAGTGGCTGCTCTAGCTTCTGCCATCATGTCTGCCTCCCACTCAGTGGGAAGAAGGAAAGGGCAAAGGGAGCACACACCCATTCCTTTAAGGTCATAACCCAGAAGTGGCATACATCTGACCTCGTCCTAACCATCAATCAGAATTTGGTTGTATTGACTCAATAAGCTGCAAGGGAGGCTGGGGAGTGTAAACTTTAGTCATGTGATCATGTGCCCAACCAAAACTCAGGCATACTAACAAAACAAGGAAGGAATGGATACTGGTGGGAAATTAGCAGTTTCTTCTCTCTTCCCCGGGGCAGCTGCATCATTCTCATATACAATTGTTATGAGCCAAAGGGGGCTGTCTGCTCAATGTGCCAGGTTTTGAGAAAAGAAAGGCTTTTATTGCAAGTTGACTCACAAGCAGACATGAGTGTGAAGCTCAAATCTGTCTCCTCGTCTTGGCTTCAAAGCAGTATTTTTATTAGAAAAGGTTCAGGGGGTGGATTCTGAGATGAGCAGATCATTGGTGAAAGGAAAGGGGAGATCTGGAAAGTCCCTGGGCATGCGCAGTTATCTCTTCCTGGGATCTCATGGGTCGCATGTGCAAATTCAAGGGGAGTTAGTATGAAACATGCAGTGGAAATTCAGTCGGTGCCATCAGCAAGTTCATCCTGCGCAGACTCCAGTTGTCCATGTTGGTTCCAACCAGTGTTAGCCAGTTCTTTTGATCTCATAAGCAGAGGGAGTTTCAGTTGTTTCTTTTCCTTTTTTTTTTTTTTTTTTGAGATGGAGTTTCTCTCTTGTTGCCCAGGCTGGAGTGCAATGGCGTGATCTCAGCTCACTGCAATCTCTGCCGGGTTCAAGTGATTCTCCTGCCTCAGCCTCCTGAGTAGCTGGGATTACAGGCGTGTGCCACCATGCCTGACTAATTTTTGTATTTTTAGTAGAGACGGGGTTTCACCATGTTGGCCAGGCTGGTCTTGAACTCCTGACCTCAGGTGATCCACCCACCTCAGCCTCCTAAGGTGCTAGGATTACAGGCATGGCGTGAGCCACCACGCCCGGCCGGTAGTTGTTTCTTTTTTTAACCTCCATTCTGCAAACTCAAGAATTTCTGTTAGCCAGGCGCGGTGGCTCATGCCTATAATCCCAGCACTTTGGGAGGCCGAGGCGGGTGGATCACCTGAGGTCAGGAGTTCGAGACCAGCCTGACCAACAAAGGAAAACCCTGTGTCTACTAAAAATACAAAAAAAATTAGCCGGGCGTGGTGGCACACACCTGTAGTCCTAGCTACTTGGGAGGCTGAGACAGGAGAACTGCTTGAACCCAGGAGGAGGAGGTTGCGGTGAGCCAAGATTGCACCACTGCACTCCAGCCTGGGCGACAGAGAGAGACTCCGTCTCAAAAAAAAAAAAAAAAAAAGAATTTCTGTCATTGGCTTCCTTAACTCTTTGGGGCATGGTTTTACAGCTCCTGAGGACAGGGACAGAGGGAGGAGTGGCAGAGACTATGAGGAAAAAAGCAATAAAGGTCTCATTTAAGAAGGAGGGGCCTGAGACAGGGACAAGGAGCTGGGAGAGGAAAAACCAAGACCAGGGCTGCCAGCTTGTGCCAAGGATCTGCGGTCAGGGAGAGGTCCTGGGTGCAATGGACCATTTTTATGCCTTTGGATCTTCTTGGGTTTTTGTTTTTTTTATAAATAAAGATGGGGTCTCACTATGTTGCCCAGGCTGGTCTTGAACTCCTGGCCTCAAGTGATCCTCCTGCCTCAGCCTCCAAGTAGCTAGGACTATAGCACTCCCACAGTGCTGAGACCACAGGTGGGAACCACAGCACCCGGCCAGGATCTTCTTATTTCCTTCTGCTTCTTCTGAGATCCCAGTGAAGGTAGGTGGACTTCTGTGCTGAGACAAAATGTGCATTATTTTTTTGTCCTGGCCTGAGCTCAATAGGATGAAGGCTCAGAATAACCCTGTAGGGCACTCAGGAAGTCCCAGGCAGTGACAGTGGACCAAGGCTGCTCTGCCTCGGCTGCAATAGCTGAGATTCCTGAGGCTCCCAGAGAAGCAGCTGAAAAGGATGCCCTGGCTGGGGGAGCCTGCATGCAGGCAGATGGAGGGTGGTGCACAGAGTGCATTCCGAGTGGCCTCTGATGGAGCTCAGGACTGTGGGCACAGGGGCAGTGTTGCTGACACTGAGAACTGGGAACATCAGCCCCACCCACCATCTTCCCCTGCTGTCTGCTTGTGTTTTCCTTGTATCTTTAAGCTTACAGGAGCCTCTAGACCTGGCATGCTCAAGCCAGTGTCCAGAGTCCTCTGCAATTGGGAGCAGAGTTGTGTGACTATATGCTTAAGTGTGTTTTCTTTTTTCTTTTTTTTTTCTTGAGACGGAGTCTCGCTCTGTCACCCAGGCTGGGGTGCAGTGGCGCGATCTCGGCTCACTGCAAGCTCCGCCTTCTGGGTTCACGCCATTCTCTTGCCTCAGCCTCCCGAGTAGCTGGGACTACAGGTGCCCACCACCATGCCTGGCTAATTTTTTGTATTTTTAGTAGAGACGGGGTTTCACCGTGTTAGTCAGGATGGTCTCGATCTCCTGACCTCGTGATCCACCTGCCTTGGCCTCCCAAAGTGCTGGGATTACAGGCGTGAGCCACTGCGCCCGAACTTTTTTTTTTTTTTGAAACAGAGTCTTGCTCTGTAGCTCAGGCTGGAGTGCAGTGGCACGATCTCGGGGTCATTGCAAATTCCACCTCCCGGGTTCAAGCAATTCTCCTGCCTCAGCCTCCAGGGAACTGGGATTACAGATGTGTGCCACCAAGCCTGGCTAATTTTTATATTTTTAGTAGAGACAGGGTTTCTCCATGTTGGCCAGGCTGGTCTTGAACTCCTGACCTCGGGTGATCTGCCTGCCTCAGCCTCCCAAGGTGCAGGGATTACAGGCGTGAGCCACTGCACCTGGGCTTAAGTGTGTTTTTCTGCGTGGTGGTGGCATAGCTTTTATCAGACTCCTAATGTATCTATGACCCAACAGAGGTCAACAGCATAGACTTCCTTCTCTTTTCCTCACATCTGCTGTGAAGAAACCACCTTAATTTGATTTTTAAGCTCCTACAACTGTGCTTATAGCCAGGCGTGGTGGCTCATGCCTGTAATCCCAACATTTTGGGAAGTCAAGGTGGGAGGATCTCTTGAGGCTCAAAGTTTGATACCAGCCTGGAGAACATCGTGAGACCTTATCTTTACAAAAATAAAAAAATAGCCAGGCATGATGGTGCATGGTCTGTGGTTCCAGCTACTTGGGAGGCTGAGGCAGGAGGATCACTTGAGCCCAGGAGTTTGGGGCTGCAGTGAGCTATGGTTGTGCCACTGCACTCCAGCCTGGGTGACAGAGTGAGACCCTGCTTCTCAAAAATAAATAATAATAAATAAATAATTTAAAAAGCAAAATACAATCCTCATAAAGCATTTGAAACTATTTTGGCAGGTGCCTCAGTCATTTCAACAAGCAGTTGCACAGAGTGCAGAGCCCCTTGCCTCTGATTCCCTCCTTCAGTCCCCAGAACAACCTGGAGATGTAGGTACTGGGAGTTCCGATGCCCATTGTACAGACGGAGGCAAGAGACTGGGGTGCGGGGTGAGGCACCTGCCTGAGTGCAGGTCTGTGGACTTCTGTGTGGAGACAAAATGTGCATTATTTTTTTTGTCCTGGTCTGAGCCCAAGAGGATGAAGATGGAGAGTAACACTGTAGGGCCCTCAGGGAGTCCCAGGTGGCGAGAGCAGACCAAGGCTCGGCGTGGACCTAGGTTTACCTGAGGCTGATCGCAGATGACAGTTGGCAGTGGGAGACCAGAATCGAGCCTGTTCTCTGAGGCTGTGGAGCCTGTGCTCTGCTCTCCTTCGGGCCGCTCGCCGGGAGCTGGGCAAGGTAGGGCATGTGCGACTTCAGGGTGGCAGCCTTTCCTTTCAGCATCTCTTCCCCTACCCCCAGGGGAGTGGTGACATCCAACTCCCCAGTTTTTTGCAACTCAGAGTGTGGTCCTGGGACCGGCAGTATCAGCAGCCCCTGGGAGCCAGTTAGAAAAAGTGGAATTGCGGCCTGGCGCGGTGGCTCATGCCTGTAATCCCAGGACTTTGGGAGGCCAAGGCAGGCAGATCATGAGGTCAGGAGTTTGAGACCAGCCTGACCAACATGGTGAAACCCTATCTCTACTAAAAATACAAAAATTAGCCGGGCGTGGTGGCGCACACCTGTAATCCCAGCTACTCATAAGGATGAGGCAGGAGAATCACTTAAACCCGGGAGACGAAAGTTGCAGTGAGCCTAGATTGTCCTACTTCACTCCAACCTGGGCGACAGACAGAGCGAGACTCTGTCTCAAAAAATAAAAAAAGAAAAGAAAAGTGGAATTGCTGGGCCCACCTAGGCCTGTTGAGTCAGTATCCACATGTTAATGAGATTTTCCTGAGAGCTTCTTGCCTGCATTGAAGTTGGAGAAGTTCGGCGCTAGACCTCTCCTCTATCCACAGGTATGAGTCTCATTCATAGGAAGACACTTCCTCAGGGATGCGGGGGGCAGGGATGCCTGTTTTGTTCAAGACCTGCAGCTTTGAGCAGGGCTCAGTGGTTCCCCAGGCCTGTAATCACAGCTACTTGGGAGGCTGAGGCAGGAGGATGGCTTCAGCCAGGAGTTGGAAACCAGCCTGAGCAACACAGCAAGACCCTATCTCTAAAAAAAGAAAAAGACGGCCAGGCGCGGTGGCTCACACCTGTAATCCCAACACTTTGGGAGGCTGAGGTGGGTGGATCACCTGAGGTCAAGAGTTCAAGACCAGCCTGGCCAACATGGTGAAAATCCAAAATACAAAAAATTAGTTGGGCGTGGTGGCAGGCATCTGTAATCCCAGCTACTCAGGAGGCTGAGGCAGGAGAATCGCTTGAAACTGGGAGGCGGAGGTTGCAGGGAGCCGAGATCGCACCATTGTGCTCCAGCCTGGGCAACAAGAGGGAAACTCCATCTCAAAAAAAAAAATAAAATAAAATAAAGAAAGAAAAAGAAAAGAAAAAGGAAAAGCTCCGCTGGGGCTTCTGCCTTCCCAACTTTCCTTCCCCTTCCAAACCAAAGCCAGATCCTCCTGCCCTCCCCCATGCCCCTGCCTTACCTTTTCATTTTCTTTTATTTTTTTACCTTTTTATTTAATTTTTTTTTTGAGACAAGGTCTTGCTCTGTCGCCCAGGCTGGAATGCAGTGGCGCCATCTCACTGCAACCTCCTCCTCCTGGGTTCAAGCGATTCTCCTGCCTCAGCCTCCCAAGTAGCTGAGACCACCACGCCCAGCTAATTTTTGTATTTTTAGTAGAGACGGGGTTTTGCCATGTTGGCCAGGCTGGTCTCAAACTCCTGAGCTCAAGTGATCCACCCGCCTTGCCTCCCAAAGTGTTGGGATTACAGGTGTGAGCCACTGCACCTGACCTCCCTTTTTATTTTAAGTAACCCTTTTCTTTTAGAATAGTTTAAAGCTTATAGCAAAGTTGCAGATAGTACAGAGAGCTGTCATGTACCCTCACTCAGGAGCCTCTGTTGTTAACATCGACGTCACCATGGTACATTTGTCACAACAAGCA